>NC_000010.11:106658246-106961277 GCF_000001405.40 Homo sapiens | reverse complement strand
GACTGATAATTGGCATAGGAGAGACTGCCTGTCTTATGCTGCTGGCAGGTTAGTTCATTTCAACGCATACCTGTAAATAAGGCTTTTTGCCCTACTGTTTTGATACAAAAGAATATTTTTCACTGACTTTTGGTAATTTACAGTGGAACAGTCTTATTAGTCATCCATATACCAGCATCTGTTTGTGAATGCTTTTGTTCTGTAACCCAGTGCAGAAAGAGGTTGGGGCTAGAAGGGAGGAATGTAATTGACATTCTCCTCTCACAGAGTCCTTTGTGATGGTTTCTCAACTCCCTATCCAGAAGGAGTGAGGGCTAGAGTTGATGGAATTATTCAGTAGGAGCTTTGTAAGGGCCTGAGCAAAGGGTCACTAATAGTTTGGGAGCCCGGGTTATGAAAATGTGGCTCAGTGCTGTGGGAGAAGAAGCCCTTGCCCACTCCCTTGGACCCTCTCCCATTCCTGCACAGAACCTGACCTGGCACTGTTTCTGGCACCCTTCTACCCTCCAAGGAATGGGTGATTTGAGAACAGCAGCTTGGTGAGTGGGCACTGGCATCCTCTCTCTAAGTATGGACTGGCTGGGCGCAGTGGCTCACGCCTGTAATCCCAGCACTTTGGGAGGCTGAGTCAGGTGGATCACGAGGTCAAGAGATCGAGACCATTCTCCTCAACATGGTGAAATCCCATCTCTACTAAAAGTACAAAAATTAGCTGGGTGTGGTGGCGCACCTGTAGTCTCAGCTACTCGGGAGGCTGAGGCAGGAGAATTGCTTGAACCTGTGAGGCGGAGGTTGCAGTGAGCCGAGATCACGCCACTGCACTCCAGCCTGGCGACAGAGCGAGATTCCATCTCAAAAAAAAAAAAGAAAAAGAAAAAGAGAAAACGTATGGACCAAGTGAAGTTCCTCCCAAAAGTTGTGTAAGCGATAGATGTGGCAAGAAGGAGTCACAGTGAAAGAAGTACAAATGTCATGTGCTGACAGCAAGTCCTAGACTGGCGAGGGGGATACTTGAAGCATGTCACTGTGGAAATCCCAGAAATAACTGGATGCAGAGGTCCTGGTATGGCATAGGTGGAGGTTATCAAGTCTTAGATAATTTGGGTCATAGCTATTTAAAGATAATATCCTAAGATTTAGAGAGGAACCTTAAAAAGCTAGTACCATATTGTGACCACTTGTTTTGAATCAGGGATGTTTTAACACTGTATAATGAAAACAAGATACAGAAATAAATGGGGTGCTGATGGATATGCCACTTTGTGTGGGGGTATATATGTTCATATGCATTTTGAGATGTATATGTGTTCATCAAAACAGCTTTGCTTTTTGATTGAACTTGAATACTCTACACTTGAACTCAGTTTTTCTATACATGAAAATTGTGTGCTGAATGAATAAAAATAAATTATGTGTATATTATTTAAGCACATACAACATTTCACTTAATTGAAAAGTTCCACTGAAAGCTGGACGCAGTGTCCTGCACCTCACTCCCAGCTACTAAGGAGGTTAAAGTGGGAGGATCCCTTGAGCCCAGAAGTTGAGACCAGACTGAGCAATAGAGCGAGACTCCCATCTCAAAACAAAAACGAAAGCAAACAAAACAGCTTCATTTTGCCCCATTTTGAGTTTGAAAAATACAACAAAAACAACAGAGAATAAAACCAGAATAGGGAGGCAATTTCATTTTTTCACATTTTCTCATTTAAATGTAGTGATTTTGGCTCTGGATCCCTTAACAGAAACTGATTTGTGAAATAGTATTGCTGTCACAGAAAAGCAAACAAACAGCAAAACATATCTAACATAAGGATGCATCGTTGTTCAGTAATAAGATGGTAAATAATGCACAGAGGCAGTGAAGGGAAAAAAGAAAAAGAAATCTCAAATAATCGATTGAAAACTAAAGGTTAGCAGTTGTGCCTTCTTTCTTGCTCTTGTTCTGAAAACAGAAAGATTAAATAGATTGATTCAAGCAGATATGCTTTCAAATGTCATAAAGGACTCTACTTCTGGTGCTGTGTTGATAAACTGCCTGAGTGTATCACTGGCATTTCAGTTTTACTAGCCCTGCAAGAAGAGGCAGGGAGCGGTTTCTACCTCCCTGCCCGCCTGCCCTGGGATTGCTTAAACAATTTCTGTGTGCTTGTGCAAGTGGCTCCACACCATCACATGCTGGGTTAAAGGGTTCCTTCTCCGGGGCACCTTTGAATTCCCTCATCACAAGAATGGGAGACACAGCCTGTGACCAGCTGAACTTCATTATTTAGTTTACTGCGGTCTTGTATCAGGAGAGCAACTACCTAGAAATGCTTTATGCCCACACCCCTATTTTCTTGGTGGGGGATTTATAGGCTTATTCGGCAAAATTGTACTGAGGTGGAGTAGGAACATCATTCTGTGTCTTCAAACAAACAGCCACCCTGCTGCCACTGATCAGCGTTCCTGGGATGGCGGTGATTGAAATTTAGCACTGAGAGCGACTTAATTGGCACATGGATCTGTTAAGCATATGCCCCCACCACAGGCATGCCATCTGATGTGTCCATGGGGTGCCCCGCACCTCACACATGCTCACGTTTTGCTAAAGAAGCAAGTTTTGAACAGGACCTGGAAGGAAGGAAGCTGTGCTGTAGTTTAGGAGAGGGGCGGCCTTAGATGACAGGTACTCAGGGATCTCTGCCTGTTTTTAAGTTACTGTAATTTTTTTTTCCTTGAACTCAGAACAAACCTAAGGTCAGGGAGTTCCAGTTTGCTTGCTGTGAAATTAAAAAGTTAAGAATGTGTTCACTGATGCTTGTGCCTTCAGTAAATCAAACGCTGTGCTAGTAGAGTGGAACTTGGACTCAGCATTCCTCAGCAGCTTACAGCCCCGGAATTTAAGGTTAGAATGTTCTATGCTTACTGTGGCTAGAACTGATCCCTTGGCCTTCAGAGAAGAATTCAGGAAATCAATGTCAACATTTTTCTGCTGAGTTGGAAACAGCTGGGCTGGGCCAAATGTTCTAGGTTATGAGTACCAGGAGGAAAATACGAACTTCGACAGAAAACTGAGCAAACCCATAATGTTTTTCCCTTATGTAAGAAGAGCAAGTAAAAGGTGGAGAAATCAGTGGTTAGGAACACACACTGCTCTGTGGAATCTTCGCAAGTGTGCTTGGGCTCATGTATTTCAAATAACCAGGTGGACTCTGTTCATTGCTGCAGACACCAAAAGAAGCTGTCTTCCGGAGCAGCTGTAACGGGAAGGGTTTTGGTGTGACTGAGAAGGGGTATATAGCTCTTTATCAACTTCCCTTTTCTTTCATGAGCGCTTCTGTCCTAACTGGATCACGGACTCATAGACGGAATCTGTTTTTCTTTGTGTTCTCTTCTGGCGTCAGACAAAATCCTGGGCTCCTAATAAATGTTTAATAAATGTTCGTTGAATTCTGAAAGAATGAAATAGTTTAGGTTCCTCTGGGTAAAGTTGGAAATAGTGCTGCTTTCTATTTCGGAGGAGGATTTGCTGTGGAGCGAATATAGCTTAAATTTAGCATTCCACAATTCTACGGCTTCTTTCCTGAGACCTGTTCCTAATTTTTGATTTTCTCTGTTTCTTATGGAGGGTTCCATAAGAAATATATTACACGGTAATTATCTGGACCCCATGAAATAGATTTGCTCGTTAAAATGCTGTCGTTTAGCCCTGCCAATGTGGCTTCTATTTAATGGCTTTCCTAGAAATTGGAAGTCAGAAGAAAGTTAAAACCAAGCTCACATAGAGCAAAGGGAAGGAATTAACATTTAAGAATCCTATGCTAGGCCAGGTGCGGTGGCTCACACCTGTAATCCCAGCACTTTGAGAGGCTGAGGCAGGTGGATCACCTGAGGTCAGGAGTTCGAGACCAGCCTACCCAACATGGCGAAACCCCATCTCTAAAAATGCAAAAAATTAGCCGGGCGTGGTGGTGGGCAACTGTAATCCCAGCTACTCGGGAGGCTGAGGCAGGAGAATTGCTTGAACCTGGGAGGCAGAGGTTGCAGTGAGCCGAGATCGTGCCACTGCACTCCAGTATGGGCAACACGAGCGAGCGAAACTCTATCTCCAAAAAAAAAAACAAAAAAAACAAAAAAAAACCACATGCTAATAGATATGTAATTTGTATTTATTTCCTAATTTAACTTCAAACAGCAATTCTTTTGGGAGATAGCATTACTGTTCATCCCCCTTAATAAATGAGCATACTGACATTCTTTCAAATAATTCTTTGCTGTCTCCCAAAAAGATGGTAGCTAGGCACATTGGGTAATCTGCTCAATGCACCCAGCTACTAGGGCTGGAAACTAATCATTGACCTTCCTTTCTCCCAGGCATCTGCTCAGTGAGTACCTGAGTTGTGTGCATATTTGGCAGCTCTGCCAGCCTTCCCTAAAAGCGCTAAACCCACTAGGGAAAGAAATGCCTGCAGGAGCAGGTAACCCTTGCTGCAGGGTGACAGGGAGAAAGCTGGGGAGAGGATAGGCCTAAGCAATTCAGTGGAAGGCAGAAAGACAAGCCAACCTTTCCCCAGTCAGTGTGGCAAATGCTGTAACAATTCATTCAATTATGTTAAGTGACTATTAAAGGAATCCTAAGCCCTCCCTTGGGCCATTTCAGTTCTAAGAGATTGTAATTGTTTGAGACTAACCATGATTTCTTCTTTTGCCTTCAGGTGATTCTCATTTTGACAAAGCTCTATGACTATAACCTGGGGAGCATCACAGAGAGCTCGCTTTGGAGGTATGTAGATAAATGGAGCTAATAATTACCGTGTTATTTAAGCATGATGCCTGCTACTGCTGTCCCACCCACTTTTTCCTGGCAGGAAGGTTCCTGGTGATATGCACTGCTTGCTTTCTCTCTTTCTTCTCTGTTTCCTTTAGTGATGCGCTGGGCTTTATCTCCAGGCAGGCCAGAGCTTTACTTTCTTTATAGACCAATTCTTTTAGTCAGCCAGATTCTTTTGCTAACCTGTATGATAGGTTGTGTTTATGCACTGTCTCACTGACCTGTGAGTTTATTGGAGCAGAAGTGAGACTGGAAGTCTCTTTGCAGAAGAATCAGCACAGCCTCTAGGTCTGCAGAACGAGGCTCTCTACCAGGGAAACTTTTTTTTTTTTTTTGAGACGGAGTTTTGGTCTTGTTGCCCAGGCTGGAGTGCAATGGCGCATCTCGGCTCAGCGCAACCTCTGCCTCCCGGGTTCAAGCCATTCTCCTGCCTCAGCCTCCCGAGTAGCTGGGATTACAGGCATGCGCCACCACGCATGGCTAATTTTTTTGTATTTTTGATAGAGATGGGGTTTCTCCATCTTGGTCAGGCTGATCTTGAACTTCCAACCTCAGGTGATCTGCAGGCCTCAGCCATCCAAAACGGTGGGATTACAGGCATGCGCCACCACGCCTGGCTAATTTTTTTGTATATTTGGTAGAGACGTGGTTTCTCCATGTTGGTGAGGCTGATCTTGAACTTCCGACCTCAGGTGATCTGCCGGCTGGCCTCAGCATCCCAAAATGCTGGGATTACAGGCATGAGCCACCGCGCCTGGCCCAGGGCAACATTCCTTTACTAACTTCCCTTCCATGGTGGTCCTGCAGCTCACCAGCAGCACAGGCATGCATACCCACACTCATGCACACCCTTATCTTTGGGATTCACACTGTATTGCTTCACACATATAGAGTATGGAAATGATACAGGATTTTTTCAGTGCCTCTTCGCCAGCCAGAGACCTCCACAGCCGGCAGTGCCTCTGCTTGAGTTTTGCTTGTGCCCACAGGGCTTGCTCTGCCCACTTAGCCCATCAGGCTGCACTCAGCTCATACTACTGGTTGATATCTCATGCCTGCCAAGGGCAAGCCAGGTGCGCCAGCTGCTGTGATGGGGTGGGCAGCTCCAGCATTGGCTCTGTGCAAGGCTGTGGCTGGACCAGGTGTATGACAAGGGGCCTCCGCCTTGGGCGCTGGTGTCTGGACGAGGGGAATGCGGTGGCGCCTTAAAAACTCGGGGACACCAGCAATCATGGAACTGCAAAGGGGGTGTTACAGCATAACACAGCCCTGGCTTGGGGAGCCGAGGTCTAGGCCCCCAGAAGGGTCATAGCTCTTCTCTCCTTCCCACCAGCCACAGTGCAGCAAACAGGGTGGGGGTGGGTTTCACCTCATTCGTGTTACAGCTCGTTCAGTCCCACTGCTCTGCTCTAGCCCATGCCTCCTAGGCTGGCCCAGCGCCACTGCTACTTCCCGTTGTGTGGGGCAGCTGCCTGGCGCCAACAGAGGACAGGAAGGCTACAGTATTACAGCTCCTTTCTCACTCGCTGTTGGGTGGGTCCCAGGTTCTTGTCCTGCATCCAAGAAGAGTTTTATTGAGTGACGGAACAGCTCTCAGTGGAGAGGAGACCCAAAGTGGGTAGTCCCTACCAGAAGGCGGGTAGTCCCAACGTGTGGCTGAGGGCAGGGTTTTTATAGGCTCAAAATGGGGGAGGTGCAGGCCGTAGGTAGAAAGAGAAAAACATATTGGGTCTCGGAGGAGCTTCCCATCCATGATTTTAGACCCATGGTAGCCCAACTGCCCAGTCATGCTGGTATTCAAGGAGCTCCTCTACGCTAAGGGATTTGTACCTATTCATTTGAAAAATTATTGTGATAGTAGTAGAAGGCCAACAAATTCCTAGGCAGATAGGGACAAGCCCCCAATGAAACCCAACCTTCAAGCCACAAGACAGCCTGAAGCCTGAAAACTAAGCTTCCAGTTCTGGATATAGTCCCTGGTTACAGGGATGTAACTGAAAGTGTGGGAAGTTTGGTAGGGGACTTAATAAAAGTATAATTTTTTGTGCATTAAGGAGCCCGCACCTACTATATTGCTTCAATTCTGTAACCCTTCATCAGAATCTCTGTGACTCTGAGCAACTTCATACTTCCCTGATAGATTTCTCTAATGGATCTCCATGTATAAGAGTAAAAGCCAGCATTTTTTTCTGCAGTGCATTTTCCATATAAAGTATAGTCTGCATATTAGAAATTTAATAGATAATGCAGTTTTGTCTCACTGGGACAGAGGCTTACGCAGTCATAACTCTCCACCTGCACAGTGGAAAGAACATGCCTGCAGGGCCTGAGGAGCAGGTTGCCCTAGACTGTGGAAGCTCAGGTTCAGTATGCTTTTCTCTCCATGAAGGGGCATTGTTACTGATGGCCCAGTCTAAGAAGAATGTCCTTTTCAAACTTAGTGGAAAGGGTTAATTTAAAAAATGGCATCACATCCCATTAGTATCAGGCTTCCCTTCTGAAGGAGCAGTCTACTTGGGTGAAATCTGGGAAAGTGTGGCGCGAATGACCTGCTGGCTTCTCAATCTTAAGATGAATTTCACTGAAGGATGCATACTGTCATGCACTGCGTAATGCCATTTCAGTCAATGACACCATATACAATAGTGGTCCCATAAAATTATACTGTATTTTTCCTGTATCTCTTTTGTTTAGACATATTTAGATACACAAATACCATGATGTTACAATTGCCCACAGTGTTCAACACAGTAACATGCTGTATGGATTTGCAGTCTTGGAACAATAGGGTGTACCTTATGCCTACATAAGTAGTATGCTATACCTTCGAGGTTTGTGTAAGTATACTGTATTATGTTCACACAATGAGAAACTCACCTAAGGTCATGTTTCTCCGAATTCATCCACCTCATTAAGTGATACATGACTATATATATATACATATAGTCAGCCTTCCCTATCTGTGGGTTTTAGATCTGTTAATTCAACCCATCTTGGATCAAAACTGTTGGGGGAAAAAAATTTAAAAACAACACAACACTATCACCAATACAAGTAAAAAAATACAGTATAGCAATTATTTACATAATATTTATATTTTATTTGGTGTTACAAGTAATCTGGGAATGATTTTAAATATACCAAGGAGAAGGTCAGTAAGTCATATGCAACTACTACACCATCTTCTATCAGGAATTTGAGCATCTGCGGATTTTAGTATTCATGGGGGATTCTGGAAAAAATCCCCTCCAGGTACTGAGAGATGACCATGCGTATACACACACGCATGCACACACACACACACACACACACACACACACACTATACCCACAGATACATAATATATTTCTAAAATATACGCCTAATAGTCATTTGCCATATGTCATATACTGGTGTGACTACTTCAGGTATGTGATATATTAGAAACTGGTAATTTTATTTATTTTAAATTATTATTATTATTAGTAGTAGTAGTAGTATTTGAGACAGAATCTCACCCTGTCACCCAGGCTGGAGTGCAGTGGCATGATCACAGCTTACTACAGCCTCAAACACCCAGATAAAAGTGATCTTCCCACCTTAGCCTCCCAAGTAGCTGGGACTACAAATATTTGCGACTACCCTAGGCTAATTTTTTATTATTATTATTTTGATAGAGACAGGGTCCCACTTTGTTACTCAAACTGGTTTTGAGCTCCTGGGTTCAAGTAACCCTCCCACCTCAGCCTCCCAAACTCTCAGGATTACAAGCATGAGCCACCACGCCTGGTCATTTTAGTACTTTAATAGGAATGACACATACCTTACTGAAAATGTAATTTAGAAAACAGAGAATAAGGTGGAAAAATATGTATAATACTTCATATTATAATATATAATATAACATAGTATAATATAATATAATATAATATAATATAATATATAATGTGTCATATATGAAACCTCGGTAGGACTTTTGAACAGCTCACAGTGCCCGTACTCAAGAGTTTAGGAAACCTCCATAGGTATGTTAATACAGAGGAGGAGTGGGACAGGCCTGGGTGGGTAGAGGACAGGGCTCAGGAAGAGAAAGCCTTATGGTTCTGAGTTGTCTAGCACAGCCTTGCTTGAGGGAAACTAGGTGGCCTAGCACAAACTGACTTTCTCCTGCACCAGCTCATACTGTTACCAAAACACCAGGGATCCAATCTCAGCCCTTCTGGTCACTGCACAGAAAGCCAATCACTGAGACAACTATTATTGCCAAGGAAGAAGGCTTTAACCGGGTGCTAGAGCTGAGGAGATGGGAGATGAGTCTCAAATCCATCTCCCTGACTCACTAAAGTTAGGGGTTTAACATAGCAGGGAAGAAATGTAACTGTGTTGGAAAACAGGAACTAGGGAAGGGTAAGGAGATAAAATGAGAGGCCTGGCATCTCATTGTCTGAATGCAATGAGCTAGTGAGTTTTACTTCTTTGATACTTTTTGAGAGGCTTCCAGGGCCTTTCCTGAGGAGGGAACTCAGATGAAACAAATGTTAAGTTTCAAGCTTTAAGACAGGAAGGGCCAATTCCTATTTTTATCCAAAAGAAGTGTCTATGGGACTATTGGGGAGGTTTCAGTACTTTATGCTCAGAAAACCTGCCTATGCCAAAAATTGGGGACTATGACCTCAGGCAAGTCTTAGACATCTGCAAGGTACCCATGGCCCCAAGTACAAGACTTAGCATATAGCTAGTGCTCAGTAACTGTGTTTTTAAACAGAGCAGTGAGCACAACAGACTTCATGGTCATCCAAAGATAATTTTATTATATTGTATTTTATTTCTTTTATTTATTCAACAGTGTTGTATTGATTAACTCCTTTATGCCTTGGAATGATCTGGTCCAGTGAGGGGAAGGTGTGTGTGTACCTAGATCAACAGCAGATAGGCTCTGTCCTCCAGGTGTTCCGTTTTTTTTTTTTTTTTTCAGAGACGGAGTCTTGCTCTGTCACCCAGGCTGGAGTGCAGTGGCGTGATCTCGGCTCACTGCAAGCTCTGCCTCCTGGGTTCACCCGCCATTCTCTTGCTTCAGCCTCCCTAGTAGCTGAGACTACAGATGCCCGCCACCATGCCTGGCTAATTTTTGTATTTTTAGTAGAGACGGGGTTTCACCATGTTAGCCAGGATGGTCTCGATCTCCTGACCTCGTGATCCACCCACCTCGGCCTCCCAAAGTGCTGGGATTACAGGCGTTAACCACCGTGCCCGGCCAGATGTTCCTTTTTAGAGGGGGACAAAGATCTGTGGACAGTCAAGGTGAGAGGGAAATACACTTGCATGTATCCCTCCTTATGTAATTGTATTGAATAAGTTATTGAAGCAGCCGCCCGGAAATGCCAGATCCCAGAATAAGACAGATATAATGTAAATAGACTTTCACACAACCATAAGTGTTGTAATAAAAATATGAGATAAGTGTTGCTTCTTTACTTTCCTCATGTGGATATTTTCTCTTCGTAACTCATCTTTGAGTCCTTGAACCCAACACCTTGCTCGTTTAGTGATAATAATGATAATGGTAATAATGACAATACTGGAAACCTTTATTGGGTATTCACTGTGTGTCTGGCATGATGCTGAGTGTTAGACATGTGTTATTACATCCTCTTAATTCATTTTTATGGTGTGCCCAAGGTCGCACAATTAGCAAGTAGTAGCCTATAGACTTACAGACATGTTACTGAACTCCATACGTTCATTGCTTATCTGTCTTCCAGAGCTCTGCCTTCTGGTGGATCTTTCTATACCCAAACAAGCAACAGGATATTTTATAGAAATATATGTGTATATTATTATATAATATCTATATATGTATTGTGTGTATATATATACACACACAGACACACACACGTACAAACACCATATACAGAGTGAATAGGGTTTTCTACGTGCTGTAACATTCTGAGCAGCAATTGCCTTACTCCTGAAAAATACTGGGTGACAGAGAAATGGCTTCTTGTCCAACAAGTAGATACGTGCACTTTTCAATTGAGCCCTTATTCTTTACAAGTTTTAGCAGCTGAAGAGTCAGAAAGGGGCAACTGGCAAATGCCCTTGAGGTGGTAGGGTAGTCAAGAGGCCAAGAGGCTGTTGACCTTATAGTGATGTCCTAGGGCTGTAAGCCTTGCTGGATATCAACAAACCAGGCAAGACAGAACGAGATGTCACTGTACCAAATTAATGAGCTTTTGCTCCCGGTTGGTCTTGTCATTGATTACACATTAATCTTGGAGCAAGTTGGTGATTTTTGTTTCGTTTTGTGTTGTTCTTCACTCAGGGAGTCAAAATGAGAGGAAAGGGGGATGATTTGATGCAGAACAATTCACTGCACCTTAAAATTGTCTTCACTTTATAGTGGATTAAGCTTTGAGAATTGGAGAGCGTGGTGGTTTTATCATATTGGTACAAGATAAGCTTAAAGGTTGAGATAGATAAATTGTCAAAATCTAGAATATGGTACTTCTGAGAAGAAATATATTCATCTTTTTTTTCCCTGTTATACTAGGGCAATCAGTACTCTGTTGAGAGAGGCTTAGCTGGTGAGAAAGCCCTAGGCAATTCTGGAAGGAGCTGGAAGTCTACTCTCTTAAAGCAGCACACAACCTGCAGTGTCTGTCTATCTTAGAGGTTGCCTGACATGGCTGACTTCTCAAATTCAGTGTCCTGTTCTCAGATCCACATGGGACACAAGCAGGCTTCTAAGTAGGTCTCCAGAAGTATGTACTTCTCAAACAGCAAAACCTGCTTTTGGAGGGGCACAAAGCAAGTGCAATTTAAGGAGAGAGAATGTGTTAGGCTTTTGATGTGATTCTGTATTGGTAGCCAGCCCTGTCCCATTTTCTCAGGAGACACAATTTCGTGGCCATTACGCATCATGATTATCAAGAGAAGTTCCCCAGTAGTGTTTGTGAATAATGGCCTTGAGTCAGAGGCTGTGTAGGGATGAGGGCAGCCTGTGCTCTCTGGAGAACTCCCTAGGTTCAGGCTGGAGGGAACTCACCTGTGTGTTTGTTAGCCCTCTGCAAGCCCTGTGAGTGAGTCCCAACGCCTCCCTTCTCCTCCACGCCACGTCCAGGGGAAGAGCAGTGGGTGGCTTGGGTCAGATTGTTAGTCCCTGCTTTGAAAGATGTTTTGCTACCAAATCCAGTTTTCACTCTGCTACAAACACAAGGCTATATGCACATCCTAAAAAGAAAAAATAATAATAATAAAACCAGAGTGTGATAACTTCCAGGCAAGAGAATCCTTCATGTCACACAGATTTAATGATGCTGTTCACACCTGTGCGTACAAATGTTTAGTACCTCTCCAGAGTCTAAGGGAGCTAGTCAAGCGTTCAGGCAGGATCCGGAGGTGTTCTGGATTGTGGCTTTTTGGATTCTAGATTCTTTTGTGTTTTGTAACTCCCATTCCATATTTGTGTCACTTGGAGCTGGTTGTGGTTCCTGAACTTACACAATTAAAATTCTTTTTTTTTTTGGATACAGAGTCTTTCTCTGTCTCCTAGGTTGAAGTGCAGTGGCGTGATCTCAGCTTACTGCAAGCTCCGCCTCCCAGGTTCATGCCATTCTCCTGCCTCAGCCTCCAGAGTAGCTGGGACTACAGGCGCCTGCCACCACGCCCAGCTAATTTTTTTTGTATTTTTAGTAGAGACGCGGTTTCACCATGTTAGCCAGGATGGTCTCAATCTCCTGACCTTGTGATCTGCCTGTCTCAGCCTCCCAAAGTGCTGGGATTACAGGCGTGAGGCACTGCGCCCGGCCTACAGTTAATTTTTTTTTTTTTTTAAGAAACAGGGTCTTGCTCTGTCACTGAGGCAGTGGAATAATCATAGCTCACTGCAGCCACAAGCAGTCCTCCAGCCTCAGCCTCCCAAGTAACTGGTACTACAGGTACACACCACTGTGCCAGATTAATTTTTAAATTTTTTTGTAGAGATGGGGCCTCACCTTGTTGCCCAGACTGGTCTTGGACCCCTGGCTTCAAGCAGTCCCCTTAACTCAGCCTCCTAAAGCACTGGGATTACAGACGTGAGCCACTCTACCCTGCCTACATTTATTTTACTAAACTATGTTTTTTTAAAAAAAATCACAAAAGTAATGTATGCTCATTACAATGAGCCAGAAAAAACACAGATACATTTTTTTTTTTTCAAAAAACTGTAAATAGTTTCTTACATACCACCTAGATTCAGCTTTCCTGATATCTGTAGTGGTGAGTTATTGTTTTTTTTCTCTTCATATCTTTGTGACTCAACTAAAAAGTGTCAACAGATATATACATACCATAGGTCTACTTTTTCATTTGTTTAAGAAAATAGAAGTATACTATTCACTGGATTATGACAACCTGATTTATTTCACTTACCAATGACTCTTGGGTGTCTATCCAGATGAATGCATTGAAAAAAATGGGCCAGGCTTGTAAGCATCCCAGAGTATGCATATTGTACAGTATATCGAATTAAACAACTGCATGCTTAATTAACTTATGTATTGCTTCCTACATACCAAGAAGTGTTTTCAGTTCTTTTATCCTTTTAACAACCCCATAAAATAGGTACTGTTTGTAGCTCTAGTTTCTTTTTCTCTTTTTTTTTTTTGAGATGGAGTTTCACTCTTGTGAAGAGTGATGGCATGTTCTCGGCTCACTGCAACCTCTGCCTCTCTCTGGTTCAAGCAATTCTCCTGCCTCAATCTCTTGAGTAGCTGGGATTGCAGGTGCCTGCCACCAGGCCCGGCTAATTTTTTTGTATTTTTAGTAGAGACAGGGTTTCACCATGTTGGCCAGGCTAGTCTTGAACTCCTGACCTCAGGTGATCTGCCCACCTTGGCCTCCCAAAGTGCTGGGATTACAGGCGTGAGCCACCGCGCCCAGCCTGTAGCTCCAGTTTCTAGATGAGAGAAGTAAGACTTAGAAAGATTTAGTAGCATGCTTAATGGTCTGACAGCCAGCTAGTCAGACAGAGCTGGCTCCTGACTATTCTCTGAATGCCTGTGCTACACTGCTTCTCCATTACCTTTCCGATAGATCTTTAGTTCATTTCGTCAAGAGTTGTTACTACACACAGTGCTCCGATAAACATATCTGTAAACATATCCTTTTACTTTGGTAATTTTACCTTTATAAAGTACAATAGAATTCTTAAGATGATATTGTTGTATCAAAAATGAATGCATTTGTATTGTAAATGATACTCGAGATTACATTCCAAGAAGGTTGCAACAAATCATACACGTGCAAGCAATAATAGTTTGCAGATTTCCCCAGGCTTTCATCAGGACTGGAATTTTCAATACGTAACTTTTAAATCAGTATTTTGGATGAAAGTGATGTCTTGATCTCAGTGTATTTTAATGGGTATTTTCCTGACCACAAGTGATGGTGATCATCTTTTCATATGTGTATTGGACTGTGGCACTGTGGACCTCTCTCTTTCTCCCTCACTCCTCAGGCAAAAATAATTGCTTCTTTCTCATTAATCTTGTAGTGAATTATGTATCTTTGACTTATAATGGTTATCAGATGTATATTTATTTTGTTCAACAAACATCTCTTAGACCTACCTGTATGCCATGCCAAGCAGTGTACTAGATAGTCAGTGGGAATAAGCATATAAGTAAATAATTGTTCCTGTCCTACAGAAACCCCAAATCTAGTTAAGAGCAGACTTTCAGTGGATAGTTACAGAAGTGTGCTAAATGCAGGGTAAAATGTATGCATAAGTTATTGTGATGTTTGTCTGTTTCCATACTGTATTATTAGTCTGTTCCCGTGCTGCTAATAAAGACATACCTGATACTGGGTAATTTATAAAGGAAAGAGGTTTAATTGACTCACAGTTCCACAGTGCTGGGGAGGCCCCACAGTCATGGTGTAAAATGATGGAAGAGCAAAGCCACGTCTTACATGGCAACAGGCGAGAGAGTTTGTGCAGGGAACTCCCATTTATAAAACCATCAGATCTCGTGAGACTTACACACTAACATGAAAATAGTATGGGGGAAGACCCGCTCCCATGATTCAATTACCTCCCACCAAATCCTTCCCTTGATATGTGGGAATTATGGGGGCTACAATTCAAGACAAGATTTGGGTAGGGACACAGCCAAACCATATCACATACTAACCTGGAAATCCAAAGACTATGACCATGTCTTATTTTCATTTGGTTCATACCCAAAATAGAACTGGTCTTATTAAGTATCATTAAATGCTTTTTGCTTTGAAGAGTATGTTATGAAATGATTTAGTGTCACTGAAAGCCAGGCCTATGTCATACACTTGTTTCTATCCTAAATTTTTAACCTACTGCCTTATGTGTAGGTGATACAGTTCTGAATAATGTGCTACGTGACCTCGAGAAATTCCATGACATTGCTGTCAAAGAAGAAGAGCATAACCAGTGCCAAGTGGGAAAAGCCCAGAGATTCAAGGCAGGAATCTGTTATTTCCACAGAGCTCTAGGCATTCCTGTTCAGCCCCCTTGATTTTAACAAAATCTTAGAACTCACCATGTGAAAGCTCGTTCTATAAGGATCTGCATGTATTCATCCAAAAGATGCTATAGACCTTCCTGAGATGTGTGAGACCATCTGTGAGAGTCTGGCCTCAGCTTGCACCCCTGCTCTCCTTGTTTGCCTCAGTGATTGACACCCTGCTGAGTTCCCCACTTTTCCTTTTAGCAAGTAATAGATGAAATACACAGAAAGCAAACACTGTCCTGAGGTCCTAATAACTTTGCCAATATAAGCTGAGAAAGCAAAGGCAAAAAATTTTACTAGAGAAAGCAAAGCAACTGACATTCTGATATCAAACCTGGTTATAGATTCAGGAAGCATTTAGAATATTAATTCCCATTTTAGTACATTGGTATGAACACCACGTGGTAAAATTCTACATCTGTGAAGTCCCTTGAGATACAGATCACCACCATCCAGTTACCTTCCACATCCTCATAGTTCCTCAGAAGGCTTTCCTATGTATTTACTGTTTTGGATTGTCCTTTTATGTCAAAATTTAAGCTTAATAAGCAATCAAACAATGAAAATTAAGTGCTATTTGAGTATAGTGTCCTGTATTGGGCACAAAGAAAGTCAGAAGATCCTCAGAACACAATTTCATACCTTCTAGGAACACAAAGTCTCTTTATTCTTTCAGCATGACCAGATCCTCCATATTTTTCAGGTCATAATCCAAATACCAACTTCTTTTTAAGAAGCCATTCGTATCTATACTATTAAAAGTAGGCTTGGCTGGACATGGTGGCTCACACCTGTAATCCCAGCACTTTGGGAGGCCGAGGCAGGTAGATCACTTGAGGCTAGGAGTTCAAGACCAGCCTGGCCAACATGGTGAAACCTTGTCTCTACTAAAAATACAAAAAAATTAGCTGGGTGTGGTGGCTCATGCCTGTAATCCCAGCCTCTCGGGAGTTTGAGGCAGGAGAATTGCTTGAACCCGGGAGCCAGAGGTTGCAGTGAGCCAAGATCACATCACTGCATGTCAGCCTGAGTGACAGAGCGAGACTCCATCTCCAAAAAAAAAAAAAAAAAAAAAAAAAAAAGAAGGCTCTTTCTTGCTTCTTTCTACCATAGCTCTCTTTGTTTCTTTCATTCACTACATGTGTCATGATCTAGAATGATTTTATTCATTACTTCTCTATTGTCTGATGCCACCATTAAAATATAAACTCGCTGAGGGCAGAGACCTTGTCTGTCTTATTTTCTGTGTCC
This sequence comes from Homo sapiens, assembly GCF_000001405.40. Lineage (NCBI taxonomy): Eukaryota > Metazoa > Chordata > Mammalia > Primates > Hominidae > Homo > Homo sapiens. Next base: position 106,944,705 of record NC_000010.11, on the reverse strand, counting down.
AGGAAATTGCCTGGCACAAAGGTATTCAGGTGAAATTTGGCAAATTAATTGAATGTATAAATACGTACATACATAGATCCATGCTAACTGGTATAAATCCAGATACAAAGAAGATCATATTGTTGTCCTTAAGTAATTTGCAGCCTGTTGGGGAGACAGATAAATACATGAGAGATTATGTCAGTATGTCAAGTGCCATAGTAGAAGTACCATAGGTTCTCTGGGTGGGGAAGGAAGAGCTTTCTGGAGGAGAAGAGACCTGAACTGAATCCAAAGAAGGAGTAGGAATTAGACTAGTAAGGGAGGCTGATTATTTAGTGAGTACATCCCATATTTCAGGCGCCTCTAGGTGCTGGCAGCATGGCTTATTGAGGAAATTGCACTAAATCACAATACAGTCTGTGTGTGCAATTGGTCAGTTCTGTGCTAAGTATTCTGACATTTATCCCAGAGGAACTAATGCATCTTTGAAAGGTCTGGGGCAAGTAAAAGGGTTGATGAGATATGAATTTCACACACAAAAAATTACCTTGGTGTCATGTTATGGATTCACCTGGCAAAGAACAAAACTGGTGACCATGAACAAAGTAGTCAGTGAAACAAGAAGTAAGAGATGAGAAGGGGCCAACCTTTTTAGAGAGTGGAAAAATGGAGTATGACATATAGAGTGTGGGGGTGATTTTAATAGATTTTGTAAGGGAAAGAAGCACAGGACCAGTTGTTGGGTGAGTTAGAAGGTGAAAGGGAGAAACATATCTGCAATGACTTTCTCACTTTTGTCTTGGACATTCCAGAGGATGGTGAGATTATTTTCTAGGAGAAGACGGAGGAAGACAATTTTGGAATGGGAGATGGGGATGAGGTGAAGAGACAATTAATTAATTAATTAATTTTTTGAGATGGAGTCTCACTCTGTTGCCTAGGCTGGAGTCCAGTGGCACGATCTCGGCTCACTGCAAGCTCTGCCTCCCGGGTTCACGCCATTCTCCTGCCTCAGCCTCCCGAGTAGCTGGGACTACAGGCACCTGCCACCATGCCCGGCTATTTTTTTTTTGTATTTTTAGTAGAGATGGGGTTTCACAGTGTTAGCCGGGATGGTCTTGATCTCCTGACCTCATGATCCGGCCACCTCGGCCTCCCAAAGCGCTGGGATTACAGGTGTGAGCCACTGCACCTGGCCTATTAATTTATTTTTTAACAGATTGAGGTTGAGATAGAGTTAGACAACTCAAATGGAAATTTTCAGATAATTAAAGTATACATGGCCTTGGAGTCCAGGCAGAAGGACTGATGTGAAGACATATTTGGAAGGCATGAGCTCAAGCAGTAGAAGCTGTGTTCATAGGAACCTAGGGAGAGTGTGCAGAAGAAAATGAGAGAAAAACTGAGGAGATCCCCAGTTCCTAGACATACAGAAGTCTGAGGAGGAGTTGGAGTTGCTGCTGCTTGAAAGTTGGAAGAAAAATTAGGCAGAGGAACAAGTGAGAAGAACATTAAACACCACAGATAGTTAAGTAAGAAAAATATGTGTGAAGTAGCCACCAAATTTATCAATGCAGAAGACATTGGCTCAGCTGAAGTGCCGGAGGGAAGGTTGGGTAACAGGTGGCTGAGAAGGTACATCTGTCTGTCCTAGTGATGCCCACTGAGCACCTCTGACTAGTGGATGAGCAGTCAGGGAATAGGGACAGGATATGAAGACAGCTCTCTCAAGAAGGAGCTGTGAAGGGAAATAAAAGGAAGAGACGTGATTTTGTAGAAAGGAGGTGACAGACTAAAGGAACATTTTCCTTTCTTTAAGTGAGAACAAACCTGGCCATGTTTACATTTCCCAGGGAGAAATCAGTGAAAAGAGACTGAAAATATAGAAAAATTAGTGGAGAATAGAACTGATAGAGAACTGATAGAGAATTGAGTGGTAGAGAAGGTATGGAATCCAAGGTCAGGTGGAGGAATTATCCAGTCGTAGTAGATCAGGGAGGGCAAGGGGTGGACCGAGGGGAGCTTTCCTTTTACCAAGAGAGGAGGCAAGGATGCCAGGATAGGGACTCCCACAAATCAGCTTTCCTGAGCCATGTGGGTTAAGGGGTGTCCTGCCATTTGGTTGTATGTTGAGTGGGAGATGGACGTGAGATGGGACTTGACATTTTGGAAGAGTCACTGAGAAGACAGGAGAGGGACAGCTCAGGAGCTGGCATGCACTGTGCTGAATAATGCTGAGATCCAGATGAAGCCACACCCTGGGGTCAGCATGACTGTGCTTTTTTTGTTCCAGTGAGCCTTGTGTAACACACAAGAAGGCATTTGGTTATGATTCCAGGAGGAAGGACAAGAGGTTGGGGAACTGAGGGGCTTGAGTGGTAGATAAGAGGTCTTGACCAAATAGAGAAAGAAGAAAGGGAAGCCGGAGGTGGGAGGAGGACAAACAGTGAAACAGTAGGACCTTCGATCCATTCATATTTAAGAGCCTGAAGAACACTTAAAAAATAATACCCAGAGGAGTGTGAATTTTTGTATTATAAAACTTGGAACATGTCTTGTCCCCGGGGAACTCTGTGAATGGGAACTGGTCAGAGCAGGTGGAGTTAATCAGAAAAGCCTTTTATAAAAGCTACTTTTAAGAAATTCACTCAGCTCTCTAGGAGAAGGCACTGCTATTTTTCTGCATTTATATGGAACAACTAGATCTACTTGTCAATTCCCCCCACATCCCTGAGTTATTTGTGAGTGACAACCCACCTCCACACCTTTGGGGAACACTAAGCAGCCTTCTCCATCCTGGTTATGGGAGATTTTCTCCAGGCAACTGTCTATTCCCAGAACTAAGACTTACAGATTAACCACAACCGGCAGTCCCTGTGATACCATTGTCAACACAGAGTGAGTCGCTCAGATATTAGGCTGAAGTAATACTGGTTTTCTTGCTAGTCACCATTTTTTACCCTGCTCCTTACTCTGAAGCCCATTCCAAAATTTCTTTTCCTTTTATAGTTAAAAATATATTTTTTAGAGTTTGGTTTTCTGGAGTCTAAGTTGACCTTACTTTGGCTTCTCCAATCCCTCTCCTACTGGGAGCCACATTCCTTGGTATTGTTCATTTCACTTACTAAAATTCTCAATAAAGGAAGGGTATTGTGTGTTCTAGCCACGGTGAACTACTTATAGGTTCTGCCAAGGCAACACGTGCCCTTGGAAGGCCATCCATGTCATGGGTCAGCACGTGGGCTTTGGCCTTGGGCTGTCTGGGCAGGAATCCAGGCTCTGTCCATTTACTAGCTCTGAGACTGTGGGGAGATTTTTTTTTTAAGTCTCTGTGCTCCATTTCCTCATCAGAAAAAGTATATTTATCTAATAGGCTTATGGTGACACTGATGTTGAGTGTGGATCACCTACTAAACATACATTAATAATACAACACCAACAGACAAACACAAATCTTGGATCTTGTACTTCTGTGGTCTTTGCTGGGGATGCCTTTCCCCTTCTATTCAATTTGCCTACAAAATAATACTGATAGCCATTTATACTGACAATTTACTATATGCCAGGCATGGCTTCAAGTGCTTTATATGTATTAACAAATTCCCAAAATATTTTTATGAGATTGGTACTATCGTTATACCCTTTTTGTAGACGTGGAAACTGAGGCATAGGGAGGTAACCCGAACAGGGTCATAAAGATACTAAGCAGTAAAGAAGAGATCTGAACCAGTCGAGCTCCAGAGCCCAGGCTTTGAACCCCACAAGGACCATCTTTTGTGGGATCCTTCCCTAGCCATCTCTATCCACACAGAGAATAATTTTTTTTATTATTATTTTTTGAGATGGAGTTTTGTTCTTGTTGCCCAGGCTGGAGTGCAATGGCACAACTTAGGCTCACTGAAACCTCCACCTCTCGGGTTCAAGCAGTTCTCCTGCTTCAGTCTCCCGAGTAGCTGGGATTACAGCCATGTGCCACCATACCCAGTTAATTTTTGTATTTTTAGTTGAGATAGGGTTTCACCATGTTGGCCAGGTTGGTCTGGAACTCCTTACCTCAGGTGATCCACCCACCTTGGCCTCCCAAAGTGCTGGGATTACAGGCGTGAGCCACCATGTCCAGCCAAGCCTACTTTTAATAGTATAGATATGAATGGCTTCTTAAAAAGAAGCCACACAGAGAATAAATTACTGCTCATGTGCTCTGTTTTACATATTTTTCCTTTTGAATGTATTGGTTTGAATTGTAAGCACTTTCTATTCATCTCTTACCTTTACCAGGAACATTTCGAAGGACACATGCTACCTTCTTCATTTTTGTATACCCAACACCAAGTACAGACCTTGGTGCATAGTAGTATGTTCAGTAACAAGAAGCGCCAAGTTAAATGTAATGAGGAAAGGAGATTTTTTAAAAATATGTTATCTGTGTCATCTGTGGGTTTAATTCATATAAAGCATGTCCCATATTAGTTATCACAAGTAATCAATGGTTAACAGAATATAGTTTACTCAAATGTCATGTTTTGCTCTAATCTATTGTCATTGCACTTGAGGGAGGTGACAGATATTAATTTAATTTCAGCAGGTTGCTTGACACTGCTATGCTGAATGTCTGTAATGATGCTTTCGTGAGTGCTGGAAGCTTATCTAATGCTAAAGCAGAGGTACATTTGTTCAAATACAAATGTAATGTCTGGCGCATTGAATTCCCAGTCCCAAGGGCTGCACCTTGTGCTGTCTCCTGACAGTTCACTTTAGGAAACAGGACACAGGTCTCCACTACGGACCTGGCTCAACTTTGAGCAAAGGCCACCAGAGGTATGTGTGGCACTGAAGCGAGTATCCATGGCTCAACAGGCATTATATCGTAGGATGAGGAAGATGAGAGCAATAGTACTGGAGAACTTTAGAAAAACCTTTTTCTTATTTCAGGTGAAGTTTCCGAAATACAGTACTGCTCCTCCATAAATCAGGCTGGGGTGCTTTCAGCTCTTCTCCTCCTTCCAAAGGGAAATGGTGTGCTGAAGAGTTATTCCTCAGCACAGCTTTATTTCTTTCTCCTGCTGGGATGTATTAGCAAGGTCATCACCTTTGGTTTATTGGCTTCAAACAATCTGTGATTGCAGAGGATTATGACTTCTTAGCTTGCAGAAGCAGGAGATGCAATCAATTCCTGAAAGGCACAGGACTGCGTTTTCTTTCAGAAATGTATATTTATTTCTGCCATCACTTCTGGGGACCAAAACTTTAAAAAGACTTTTGAAAGGAATTTATCTTTGAATGTCCTGCATCATCGCCCCTTTTGAATGAGAACATTGAGTCAGACCAGTGTGAACTATCTGAGTTTGAAAGAAATAAGATAATTTCACAAGTTTGTCTTCCCCATCTCCAATCCTAAACCAAATTAATTGGGAAATTTATATTCATTGCATTATTCCAAACGTATACCCTTTGAAATAATCGAAGACTTGGATTAGCCATGCCTGCAGGTTGATGAATACATTCTCTTTGCTGGGGCAAGGGAAATGTCCGGAAATCTTTGGAACTTGATTGGTATTTATTGTGATGTCAGTTTTCTTTCTAATTTTGCCATTATCTGTCAGTTTCCTAGATTATTTTTCTTAAATTTGGTATTGCCCTTCTCCCAATTAGGAATCTATCACTTCTGACCTCAAAAACGAGTCAGAATTTACACTATTCTCTTCCTTCTACATTACATGGGACGTTTTCCCTTTAGGGTTACAAAAACACAGTCCCAATAATCTCTCTCTTCAAAACTTAACAAATTAATGTCACAACATGGAGACTATACTTTTGCTAGGCAGCAGGATGTCCCAGCCTACAATAACCTTAGCAGTCAGAGTTTTGCTGACACCAAGTGCTGCACTGTTAATAGAGGTCTGGCCTCTGAGTTCCCATTTTGGCAGCTCCCCAGAAGTCAGGGGTTGATGTTCTGATGCTGATATGACATAGGGATTTGTGGACTCTGCTTAGAATAACCACTTTGTTTGTTTATTTGAGTAGTTTTATGGAATCTACAGAACCGCAAAACTGTTACTCAAATGGTTGCTGCCTGCTTATTCTTTGGGCCATCTAAGCACATGATACAATTGCTCCTCCTGTCACCAGGAAGCATGTGGGAAGGAGGAAGGAATAGTGTGAGATCAGCTACTGTCTGGACTGCAGGATGCAGGGTGCATCTGTAATGGCTGTATCCATGGTCGTCCTGATTAGCTTAGCTATACTAGCTAGCGTGGTGGCCTGAGGTCCATCAATTTGCCACTTCTGCTCTTGGGAACTAAGTCATCCATGTTCCCCATCTCTCCAAACATAAAACTCTACAGGATATCATCAGACTGAAAATATCTTCAGGCCATTTTTCTTATTAGACTCGTTGTAGTAGGGCAAAGATCAAGGTGTAGCTACCAAGCCAGTGTATAATGACAAACATCAACTTGATGTGCTAAGTTCCTGAAATAGGCCTGTACACTAGAGCAGATTGAGATTTTGAATTTTGGTCCCTCTTCTCTCTACTTCCTGGACCTGCTTTCTTCATTGATTTGACACTCCCTGCCAGGCCCTAGTTTCTACATCCTCTTCTCTTCTGAATTATTTATCCTTGTAAAGAAGATAGAGTTGAGATGGATACCTAATCTGTCCAAGCTGTGGTTAAGGATGCCCTCTCTGGACCTCATTTTCTTCAACTGGTGTATTAGACCACTTCCTTTCTTTCTTTTTTTTTTTTTTTTTTCTTCTTTTTGAGACAGAGTCTTGCTCTGTTGCTCAGGATGGAGTGCAGTGGCTTGATCTTGGCTCACTGCAACCTCCGCCTCCCGAGGTCAAGCAATTCTCCTGCCTCAGCCTCCCAAGTAGTGGGGATTACAGGCACCTGCCACCATGTCCGGCTAATTTTTGTGTTTTTAGTAGAGATGGGATTTCACTGTGTTGGCCAGGCTGGTCACAAACTCCTGACCTCAGGTGATCCACCTGCCTCAGCCCCCCAAAGTGCTGGGATTACAGGCATGAGCCACCGTGCCCAGCCTAGACCATTTTCATACTGCTATGAAGAAATGCCTGAGACTGGGTAATTTATAAAGAAAAACAGGTTTAGTGGACTCACAGTCCACATGGTTGGGGAGGCTTCACAATCATGGTGGAAGGTGAAGGAGGAGCAAAGGCATGTCTTATATGGCAGCAGGCAAGAGAGCATGTGCAAGGGAACTGCCCTTTATAAAACCATCAGATTGGCCAGGCACAGTGACTCATGTCTGCAATTCTAGCACTTTGGGAGGCCGACAAGGGTGGATTACTTGAGGTCAGGAGTTCAAAACCACCCTAGCCAACATGGTGAAACCCTCTCCTACTAAAAATACAAAAAAAAAAAAAATAGCTGGGCATGGTGGTGGGCACCTGTAAATCCCAGCTACTCAGGAGGCTGAGGCAGGAGAATTGCTTGAACCTGGGAGGCGGAGGGTGCAGTGAGCTGAGACCATGTCACTGAATTCCAGCCTGGGCAACAGAGCAAGACTCTATCTCAAAAAAAAAAAAAAATCAGATCTTCTGAGACTTATTCACTATAACAAGAACAGCATGGGAAAAACCTACCCCCATGATTCAGTTACCTCCCAATGAGTCCTTCCCATGACACATGGGATTATGGGAGCTACAATTCAAGATGAGATTTGGGTGGGGACACAGCCAAACCGTATCATCTGGTAAATGGGGTTATTAGTACTTCTGCATTTTAGACTGGAGTGGACACATATATGCTAGTTTAAGATTAGATTGAGTTTATAGTATTTAACCACAGCATAAGTTTATCAGAAGTAGAGTGGTCATGAAGAATTGCTAGTAATTTTGTCCTTGAAGAATAGTTTCCTACCATATCTGAGAAGTCAACTATTTTGTTTTCCATTATCCCCTTAGAGTTGAACCTTGCATTATATTCAAGAGCAGTCTTTGCAGTTGATGCTTCCTCTTAAGGGAATGAAGATACAACTTTTCTCAGGGCTTTATGCCAGTCTTCTCATCATCAAGGCCATACCTGATCTTTGGAGGAAATCAGAGTTCAGGAAATTCCTGAACAGTAGCTCTGCCAGCATTCACAAAAACTTATTCCCTCACATATTTATCTCATATAGACTTATTGCAAGGAAGAAGATATTTGAAGCTCCAGATGAATAGTAGGATCTCATTAAATGTGAGTTCCCTCCATTAGTGGCATGTTCCATACATTCTTCTCTGCTTGATGCCAGAAGGTATTGGTGTTGGTCCACTGAAAGATGCACTAGGGTTAGGAAAAAGCCTGCTCTGAGATTGTCTAACCAAATCTATGTTCCTGTCTTGGACTTGAGTAGCTCTTCACTGCATTTCATCTCAGTTTTGTGCTGTTTCTGGGAACAGGATTCCATGGAATAGTTAGCAACCATCTTGTTGTTTGCCTTAGAAGATTATGCAACTGAGTGCCCATGAGATACCAGTCAGGATGTAAATGGAAACAGGAAGGAAAAAGACTGGTGAAGGGCTGTGTCCCAAAGTCTAAGCACAACTGATGGCTTGAGGCCAAGTCAAAAATTAGAGAAAAGGGGAAGTGAGATTTTCAGCAATTAGTCAGTATTTAAGAATAGATAGCTTCCTGCACCATACTGCAAAGATCACTTTTGCAGATTTTCAGGAGGCAGTAAAGAATAGTTAACATTCAGATATGCTCCAATCAGATGATAATAGGGGTAATTTGAGTTTACAGGCTACCAGTTCTTAAATTTAATTCTCAAGTTTCAAAGTACTTTCTAGAAATGTTAGAAATTCTAAATGCAAATTGAAATAGCTTCACCTACTTGAATTTCCCTCAAACTTTTGCAAAGACAATCAAAACAGTAAAAAGGGACATTATCACTTTGATGAATCCTGTGAGAAGTAAATAGTATGTTCTGTGCATATTGAGAGTAGGTGTGAGCATGTCCTGTGTTCTAAACTTAGCACTGCCACTAATTGTGTGATCTTGGGCAAATTGTTTTATTTCATAGAATCTTGGTCTTCTCATTTTTAAGAAAAAGAATTTGTACTAGACAGACTGATTTTCAACCTAGCTCTAACATTCTACATTTCTAATAATTGCTGCCCCAAATATTTGCCTTGTTTACAGCAGGTATCCTTGCATATTTTGGAATGCTAATGATAAAACATTGCTGTTCCTATTTCTTCTAGGAATTTTTTTTAAAAAATGTATCCATTATAACTCATTATTGGTTGACTGCAGGTAGACCCAGACAGGTCAACCCACTATCATTTTGCAGGTAGGAAGCCAGGTATTTTGTGACTACTAAATTAGAGGACTTAAAATGGTAAATATTAGAATATTATCTCCACCAAGTTTCCATATCTCTTTGGACATTTATTTCTATATTCTATATTAGGGATAATAATAATTTGATCAATTAGGTTACAGTGAAGAGTAAATATTTTAAGGACCCTCTAGGCACATTCTAAGAGGTAGAAACATAACTGAAACTCAGCTCTTCTGATTGTAAAAGCTAACTGGGAAAAGAGCTAACTATAAAATACCTAAATGCTTCTGAGTCTCAGTTTCCTCATTTGTAAGTGGGTATTCCAAAAATTATTTTCTTTTCTTTTTTTTATTTGTAAGTATTTTTTTAATTTCAGTAGTTTTTGGGGTACTCGTGGTTTTTGATTACATGGATGAATTGTATAGTGATGAAGTCTGAGATTTTAGTGTACCCATCACCTGAGTAGTGTATATTGTGCCCAATATGTCATTTTTTATTCCTCACTTCCCCTTCCGCCCTCCCTTTTCTGAGTTTCCAGTGTCCATTATGTCACTCTGTATGCCTTTATGTACCCATAGCTTAGCTCCTGCTTATTAAATGAGAACATATGGTAATTGGTTTTCCATTCCCGAGTTACTTCACTGAAAATAATGGCTTCCAGCAACATCCAAGTTGCTGCAAAGGACATTATTTTGTTCTTTTTTATGGCTGAGTAGTATTCTATGATGTACATATACCACATTTTCTTTATACACTCAATCGTTGATGGGCATGTAGGTTGGTTTCATATCTTTGCAATTGTGAATTGTGATACCTAGTAGTGGGTTCCTGGATTGAATGGTAGATCTACTTTTAGTTCTTTAAAAAATCTCCATACTGGCCGGGTGCAGTGGCTCATGCCTGTAATCCCAGCACTTTGGGAGGCCAAGGCGGGTGGATCACGAGGGCAGGAGATCCAGACTGTCCTGGCTAACACGGTGAAATCCCATCTCCACTAAAAATACAAAAAAAAATTAGCCGGGTGTGGTGGTGGCGCCTGTAGTCCCAACTACACAGGAGGCTGAGGCAGGAGAATGACGTGAACCCCGGAGACCGAGCTCGCAGTGATCTGAGATCGCACCACTGCACTCCAGCCTGGGTGACAGTGCGCGACTCCATCTAAAAAAAAGAAATAAATAAAATAAAAAATAAAAAATCTCCATACTGTTTTCCCAAGAGGCTGTACTAATTTACATTCCCATAAGCAGTGTATAAACGTTTCCTTTTCACCACATCCACGCCAATGTCTATTATATTTTCACTTTTGAAATTTTCTTTCTTTTTTTTTTTTTTTTTTGTTTTTTGAGATGGAGTCTCACTCTGTTGCCCAGGCTGGAGTGCAGTGGTGTGATCTCGACTCACTGCAACCTCCGCCTCCTGGGTTCAAGTGATTCTTCTGCCTCATCCTCCCAAGTAGCTGGGATTACAGGCATGCATCACCATGCTCAGCTAATTTTTGTATTTTTAGTAGAGATGGGGTTTCGCCATGTTGGCCAGGCTGGTCTTGAACTCCTGACCTCAGGTGATCCATCTGCCTTGGCCTCCCAAAGTACTAGGATTACAAGTATGAGCCACTGCGCCCAGCCAAAAATGTTTTTCATAGTTGAAGTTGCTATTGATATCTGGTAAAGTTAATGATGCTCCGTGTGCTCTACAAGTTGTAGAGTCCTCTGTGGGTGTTAGCTATCCTTACTTGGGAGTTGGAGCAGGTAAAACTTGACCTTTGTGCTTTCCTCTGCCATAGCTGGGGGTGGGGGGGCATCCTGGATACAACTGTCTGTTCAGATATCATTGTGTTTCACTATTGGACTCCTTGAGAGTAAGTGTTTAGTTTGCAACTTCTTGGCCTTGTAGCACCAGAGTTACCACATAGTGGTACTCATTAACTAGTTGTTTAATAAATCAATGAATTAATAAATCATTGATTATATTTTAGCTACCATTCTATTGATCCTAAGCCTGGAAATATGCTAAATACATTTTATACTCAGTGGCTGTCAATCCTGCGAACATTAACATCTTCTGGGGGACATTTTAAAATAGTATATGTGTGGCCCCACCCAAGACCAATTGAATCAGAATCTCTAGGACTGAGCCCAGGACACAGGTAGTGTAAAAGCTACCCAGGTGATTTTAATCTGGAAAATACAGAGAATCGATGAACTTTGGCCCATTATTTTTCTGGGGTTTGCTTGACTGAGCTGCTCATTAGTGTTGCTGATACCTTATTTCTGGGCTTCCTAGTTTCAGTGAACATGTTCTCCCATCTTGCCATTTGTCATGGCTAAAATATTCTGCATTTACAAGGATGCAAATTCATCATCTACATGTAATCTCTTTTGCATTTAGACCTGAACACGATCGTGCTGTCCAGGTAAATCATAAACTTAGATCCCTTTGTGGTGTGAAAGAAATACAAATTAGGATGGGGAAAATTAATGTTGACAGAGATCACTGATATGCTTTAAATTGCAGAGGCCCGGGTCTCAGATTGGTTTCAGAATCACAGCTATTGATAATCATTCTATAACATTATAAAGTGAGGAGGCAGTGCCTGGAAAGTGGTTTGAATTGGAGTCTAATCCCCAGTTAAGCATTTAGCTTGCAACTGTGTTGGCACAAACCAGCTAAAATTTACCATTGCTGCGAGGGGAGTGCTCACCTTGAAGGTGCTTCTGATTCTACAGAAGGCAGAGCAGACAAGCTCATTTTGCATGTTTGTCAAGGGTGTCCTTAGAGCAAAACTTGGTCTGGATTTCTTGGAATTATGGTGCTTTGTTTCTCTTGGATAGTTAACATTTTCATTTTCCTGAGTCTTGCTAAGGTGTCATTTTGTCCAAGAAGCAAGCATAAGTTGAGCTGGAGACAGGCATACACACATGTGGTGGGAACTGGGGAGAAAGATCACTATCACTCTAAGGCAGCAAGGTATACCTTTTCTTTGTCACCAGTGACAAAGTTAAATAACAACTTAAGATTCCAGTAATAACACAGGTGACAGTAGTGCTGTGAGTTGCTTCAGGAAAGGGGGATTTGATGCCAAATGCATGGTATCAGGGGAGCAATCAGCAGCCAAATGTGAAGTTATTTTTACTCAAGACAATGCTTTCTACTTTGTTTTTTTAAAAATTTCAGGATATACTCAAATATATCAAAAAAATCATGTAATTCTCAAAAATAATAATATATTTGTAGACTATATTAATACTATAGTATGCTTCTACCAGTGTGTATGGAAGGGGATAAAAATTCACATAACATCAGTGCTTTGTAAATGGGGGATCAAATTGACTAATGATCTGCTTGACACCTTTCCCCATGAGAACATCCCCAGGGTATAACTGTCAACGTCCCCAAACCCTGTGCTTTCCTAAGCTTCCTGGAAGCATTCAAGTCTGTGAATATTACTGCTGTTATGGAAAAATTGGCTTTTGTTTTTCCCCATGAGATATTTTTCCTGTCTTACTAGCATGTATGACCAGCATTTGCAGTGCATTTATCTCCTATTACCCTTTTGTTTTTCTTTTTGCTCTTACCTTTGATTCCAGAAATGTTTTTAAAATAATGGATGATAGTTAATACACAGCATGGCAGGCAGGAAAAATGAACAGCAGTGAGTTCATTTTGATAGACTATGCTGTCTGCAGATAATTTACCAGGGCAGAGTGCTGACATACACAACCCTAAAAAAAGGACTTATCCCTGTTCTTAAACCAAAATCATTCTTGAAAGTTTCCATTATTCATAAGGCAACATCTCTGAAAACTGCAGGGGGCTTTCCCACGATGATGCCTCTGAGCTAGTGGCTCTCTGGTTCAGGAGTTACAAACGAGCAAACATCTGTATTTGTGCACTTGGGGAGATTGCCAGCTTTCAGAGGACTTTACACTGAAGGCCAGCATGGTGAAACAGTTTCCTGTCCTTATTACCAAGTATTTTCCCCACCCGCTTCCATGCTCTTCTCAGTGAGTTCTGACTTCTGAGATTCTGCTCTTGCAGTTGTTTTTGTAGCTCCATTGTGTTGACTTTATTTCATCACTTTTCTGTCCTACTGCTACTGTAAACCCCTTGATGGTAGGACCACGTTTCTTTGTATGTACTGGTTTACTGGAGTGTACATTAAGTAGGCTTATCAACATTGAATTAGTTAATTAACAGCCAAAAAAGTATTTCTGGAGCTCGCTACATAGGATTTAAGTACAAATGCCTCTCAAGTATTTTTGGTCCCTGAGAGTCTTCTAGGAGAAGAAGGGTAGGGCAAGGATTTTTATGAGTCTTCTTAAAATTAGGAAGGAAATTAGACAACCAGTGTATATTTTTCCAGGATTCAACTCCACAGCATGTGGTTTTTCCAGAATCACACGGCTATAATTTGTGGTAATTGGTGGGGATTATAAAACCACAGTTATCAGCATTAATACATTTCATAGCCAGTTCCACCACAGTTGTATCTTAGGAAATTCTGATTGCAAAACTCCCCTGAGATCTGCTGAAATTACCTTTTCTTTGAAGGGCAGATTCCCCATGTCTTGATTGAGAAGGCTTTGAGCAGATGTGGTTTCAGAAGGAGTTAGTGGGGAAGCATTAGAACACTAGGTTCCCTGGACTTTTGAAGAAGTTTCACCTAGAAGCCTTATCTGACTAACCATATTATTAAAAAAAGAAAAAGTTCTGACTCCTAAGAACCATCATATCTTTCCAAATTCTGAAGAAAAAAACCAAAACAAAGCAAGATGAAACAGAATGCACCTGATTCAAGCATGCGATGTTATAAAGCCCTCCTGTGTTGGTGTTGTGCCTGTGAGCTGGCTATTTTCTTGAATGTGAAGATAATAATTTATAATGAGATGCTCAGATACATAAATACACACATGAACATACAATGCCAGCTTCCGTGTATCCCAGTAGCAAAATGAAGCAAGGAGAGCTGAGGGTTCTGCAAATAATTTGTATTCAATATACAGCAGCCCTGCCACTTATTTTGCAGGGTAGCTGATGACTGTTTACCCTAAGCATAAGCATAATGAGTCTGTTAGGAGTGACCTTTCCTGGTGATTTTGTAACCAATCTGTCTTAACCTTTTAATTCATTTTTGTTTTTTTGTTTTTTTTTTTTAGAGACAGAGTCTCGCTCTGTCGCCCAGGCTGGGGTGCAGTGGCACGATCTCGGCTCACTGCAAGCTCCGCTTCCCGGGTTCACGCCATTCTTCTGCCTCAGCCTCCCAAGTAGCTGGGACTGCAGGCGCTCAGCACCACACCCGGCTAATTTTTGTACTTTTTTTAGTAGAGACGGTTGGTATTTTTTTAGTAGGGATGATTTAATATGTCTCATCACCGTGTTAGCCAGGATGGTCTCAATCTCCTGACCTTGTGATCCACCCTCCTCGGCCTCCCAAACTGCTGGGATTACAGGCATGCGCCACTGCGCCCGGCCATCATTAATTTTCTTAAGCAAAAGAGGTCCTCCCATCCATTCTCTGTTAGCAAGCATTCATTTTATGCCATATTCGAAATATTAGTTTAGGATTTTTAATGACCATACTCCATTTATTTTCATCTTTCTTGCTGGGATCTCAGCAACCAAGTGCTCTGATTAATACGTGTGTGTGTGTGTGTGTGTGTGTGCACGTGCACATGCCTGTGCCCTCACAATTGTGTGTGGTCATTTGTTTGTTATAGGAACCTTGCTGACTACTCCAAAATTCAGCCAGGAACAGCAGCTTAAGTTGACGAAGTTTGATTTCCCATAAACTCAGGCTACTAAAACAATGGAGGGAAAATGAACCAGAAAGCCTGCAATGTAGGCGTTTTTTGGTTGATCTGCTTTTCCAGAAGCTGATTAGCACTCTAATCTCTCTCAGTGTGGTTTCATTGTTAGAGACGGAAAAAGAAAAGAGACAGGGCTTTTCTTTTTATAAAAGGCCATGTTAGTAGGGAGGGAAAGTAAACATAAGCCACATCTCTGTAGATCTCAGTTTTCCCTAATGGGCCAATTCACATCTCTTTTTAATTCTGATACCCCAGGTCTTTTCCCTTCTTTCTTTCTTTCCTTTTGTGACTTGAATTTTTCTATTAACTGCCACAGGGATCCCACATAAAATGTATAGTGGAAAGAAGATAGAAAAAGGATGAGTAATGCACAATTTCTAAGGGTTTTAGAAATCATTTGTTCTGGGGAAAAATTCATTCTCTTCTGATCTAAAAGTATAATCCCCTTCTAAGTCTCTCCTCTAAGGCTAAGCCACCCTTGAACATGAAGCAGTTCTTAACTACTGAAGCATATTCATGGAGATAAAGTGACACAGAAGGAGCCATTGCTTTCATACCTATGAGAGCCTGTGCATTTCTTATGGATGATTTAATATGTCTCATCATCAGCATGCTTTAATTGCATGTAACTGCAATTTTAAAAAGATTTGTTCTATTTTTCCTATAAAATTATATATATAATTTTAATTTTATAATTCAGTGAATATATATATATAGGTATATATATTTTCACTAAAAAATGGAAAAATACAGAAAGTTTATTTGCTAAAAGGCAAAAAATAGATAAAAAATAGGTATTGGGGGTAGGTGGTCAGAAGCTGTTAATTCCTTTTCCCCTTTTGAGACACCTTTTAGCCTTTCTTTTTCCTACTCCTCTTTCTCCCTTCCCGGGAGAATAGGACACCTCTGCTAATAGTCTATGTGAGATGTGAGGTTGCATGCTCACATGTGGCTTTGCTTCTGTGGGGTATTGAGAGGTGACAGTGTGCTGGCAGTCTTCACAGCCCTCGCTCGCTCTCAGCGCTGCCTCTGCCTGGGCTCCCACTTTGGCGGCACTTAAGGAGCCCTTCAGCCCACCGCTGCACTGTGGGAGCCCCTTTCTGGGCTGGCCAAGGCCAGAGCTGGCTCCCTCAGCTTGCAGGGAGGTGTGGAGGGAGAGGCGTGAGCGGAAACCGGGGCTGTGCTCGGCGCTTGCGGGCCAGCTGGAGTTCCGGGTGGGCGCGGGCTTGGCGGCCCCGCACTCGGAGCAGCCTGCCGGCCCCTGGCAATGAGGGGCTTAGCACCCGGGCCAGCGGCTGCGGAGGGTGTACTGGGTCCCTCGGCAGTGCCGGCCCACCGGCGCTGCGCTCGATTTCTCGCCTGGCCTTAGCTGCCTCCTCGCGGGGCAGGGCTGGGGACCTGCAGCCCACCATGCCTGAGCCTCCCCGCCTTCGTGGGCTCCTGTGCGGCCCGAGCCTCCCCAACGAGCGCCGCCGCCTGCTCCACGGCGCCCAGTCCCATCGACCACCCAAGGGCTGAGGAGTGCGGGTGCACGGCGCGGGACTGGCAGGCAGCTCCACATGCAGCGCCGGTGCGGGATCCACTGGGTGAAGCCAGCTGGGCTCCTGAGTCTGGTGAGGACTTGCAGAACCTTTATGTCTAGCTAAGGGATTGTAAATACACCAATTGGCACTCTGTGTCTAGCTCAGGGTTTGTGAATGCACCAATGGACACTTTGCATCCAGCTACTCTGGTGGGGCCTTGGAGAACCTTTATGTCTAGCTCAGGGATTGAGACACCAATCGGCACTCTGTGTCTAGCTCAAGGTTTGTAAACACACCAATCAGTACCCTGTGTCTAGCTCAGGGTTTGTGAATGCACCAATCAACACTCTGTATCTAGCTACTCTGGTGGGGACTTGGAGAACCTTTGTGTCAACACTCTGTATCTAGCTAATCTGGTGGGGACGTGGAGAACCTTTGTGTCTAGCTCAGGGATTGTAAACGCACCAATCAGTGCCCTGTCAAAACAGACCCCTTGGCTCTACCAATCGGCAGGATGTGGGTGGGGCCACATGAGAATAAACAGGCTGCCCGAGCTAGCAGTGGCAACCCGCTCATGTCCCCTTCCACAGTGGTGGAAGCTTTATTCTTTCGCTCTTTGCAATAAGTCTTGCTGCTGCTCACTCTTTGGGTCCACACTGCCTTTATGAGCTGTAACACTCACCGCCAAGGTCTGCAGCTTCACTCCTGAAGCCAACGAGACCACGAACCCACCGGGAGGAAGGAACAACTCCAGACGCGCCGCCTTAAAAGCTGTAACACTCATCTGTGAAGGTCCGCAGCTTCACTCCTGAGCCAGCAAGACCACGAACCCACCAGAAGGAAGAAACTCCGAACACATCCGAACATCAGAATGAACAAACTCCGGACACGCTGCCTTTAAGAACTGTAACACTCACTGCGAGGGTCCACAGCTTCATTCTTGAAGTCAGTGAGACCAAGAAGCCACCAATTCTGGACACAGTATTACATTAGAGGCTCAAGGTCTGGCTATGACAGGATCATGCACTCAGGTTTTTTCTATCCTGTCACTCTCATCCAAGTACCTACCTCCAAAAAACTGTGGTGACAACTCTGAGCCATGTAGTATTGTATTATGTATTATTATATTGTTTTTCTTTCTATTTATTTTTCACTCCAGTAACTGGATGGATAAACTCATACTACAACCAACATAGACATTTGTCATTCTCTCTCTCTCTCTCTCTCTCTCTCTCTCTCTGTGTGTGTGTGTGTGTGTGTGTGTGTGTGTGTGTGTGTATATATATTCCTTAGAAATTTTGGAGGAAGAATGGCTATGGTTTGAGACCCTTGATCTAGTACCATCTTAATGCTACTAAAATCCATTAATGCTACTAAAATCCATTAATAATTATTTTACTTCAGAGTAAAAACCTGCTATATTTGTGTTTGTTCCTATGGATGAGACTTTATACTCTAGTTTGTTTACTGTCTTGTTAGTTTTAACGATATGAGATTTTCAAATGTTGACTACATTTGAACTATAAAAATGGCAGTTTTATGAGCCTCAACCTAATAATAGTAAATGTTCAATAAAAGGTAACTTTATAATTGGCTAAGCACTTCAAGGGTATCATCTCATTTAATTCTCACAGCAGCCCATTCAGGCAGTTACTTTTTTTTAATCCCCACTTTTCAGATGAGACAGTTGAGGCTCAGGAAGATAAGGAGATGAGTTCAGTATTAAATAGCTGGTTAGGAAGCAAGCTACTATTAAAACTCAGTTATTTTTGACTTTAGTCTTTTTATTCAAGGCACACGATTATTTAAAAAGCACATATTCTTAATGGCTGCATAATGGCTTGTATGGATTTACTTTATTTTTATCTTAAAAACATTAACCCCCTGCTTATCATTTAGGTCATTTCTATTCTTTCATTACCACAAAGAATGCTGTGATAAACATAACTCTTAAGGATACAAATAACTATGCTTTAGCTGGGATTGAATGCACTTGCCATATCTTGAATCTACTCCTGTGTTGTGCATTGATGGATAATATTTGATATAAGCCTCGTGATTTGCCATCTAGGAAATTATTTTTCAGTCTTTTTTTTCTTCCAAAGTGTCTTAGAATTGTTTAAATATCAAATTTCTGATAAAGTCTATAAAACATTATTTATTTTTCATAAATTGTTTATACACAGTTGTCCAGGAACAGAACTGTTTTAGAGAGCCCAATAAACCTGTCATTGCAGCCCCTTACCAAGTCTTACCAAAATCATTAGCTTTATCTCTCCATGGAATGGACCCTCCGTTGGGCTCTAGTGTTACCATCAAATATACAGTGCAATTGTTCTCTGTTGTGTTGTTTTGCTGGGAAGGTACAATTTCATCATAAAAACACAGAAATATACTTGAAGTAATGATATGTAAAATGCTGCATGAACAAATTTTAGGTTATCTAGATATAAAAGTGAAAGCTTGTTGTTTGAGCTAAAATATTCTTACTTCTCAAAAGCCTTTGTTAAGTGGAGGGAACAGTGAGGGAAGAGATTGCTGCTGGCATTGGAGAGACTCAATCTGACTTTGTCTTGGGATATGAAGAGGTTACATATCAGTAAGCAAGCTTGAGACCATCAGGAGGGGCCACCTCTTAGCCTCTGTATTTCAAGCTAATTTCATGCTAAGCAGGGTGTCAGTGTAATTTGAGTAAGTTTCTGCTGCAGGGACAGCCAGTTAAGTGTGGGTCCCATCCAGGAATCCAGAAGCATGGAGTGAATGCTATACCTTGTGCAGCACTAATCATGCAGAGAGGGCAGCCTGAGTGCTGGCCCACAAAGGGCCCTGGAGGAAAATCTGAGGCTGCTCTGGCCTCTGGCAGAGGCAGATAGGATAGGGAAAAGGGCCTTTCTGCTGTACAAAAAAAAAACAAACAATAGAGAAGACAATCATTTATGCAGAATTGTGAGTCTTCCTCTTCTCCAAATGAGCAATACTGCCAGAGCTTTGATATTTTAATTTGCAAATACTCAATCATTACAAAATGATTTTTAAGTACATAAGATATGATATATAATATAGCATATAAAAGTACTATTTTTAAAATAATTTTTGAAGTAAATATGGTTTAGAAAGTATGTGTTTCTTTAATGTAAATATATCTTGTGAGTGAGGAAAAGAATTGTCAGTTTGCATAGATCAGAACATCTGAAGTTTGTTGAAAACAGAATGAAAACATATAAACCTGAGATACTTATGAAAGTTACACAAGGAATACATCTTGCTTGTCCATTCTTGTCAAGATGAAAAGCATTAATTCACACTGCAATCAGGTTGCCTTAACATAAAAAAAAAAAAAAATCCATGCAGTTAAATGTAAAAATTGAAAAAAAAAAAGACTTGGGAATCCCTGTTCATCTGTTTCTCAGGGCTGTCACTAGCAGCAGCACCAACATCTGTAAAAATAGAAAGTGAGGATGGTGGACAATTATTTTTGACAAAGTCCTTCCATACCACCTATCCTCTTGTTCTTACGCTTCCTTTCTTTTCAATTTCCTCTTTTGCCTTTTGCCTCCATATGTTTTGGAGTAGCTCCTGCCCAATGCAAATTAGATAGATAGATAGATAGATAGATAGATAGATAGATAGATAGATAGATCGATAACTGTGGAATTTTCATAATATTAAAAATTATCAAAATTTTATTTGCATGTTTTAATTTTGCTTTGCTTTATTTTTACCATATCATTTATCTAATACAATAAAATGTTCCTTTCAATCACTGAGCAGTTCCTCAGACACTATCATTATCATGCATTTCTCACTAAAGCAAATTGTTTTTAATTAAAAGGTAGTTTTTTTTTTTTTTTTGAGATGGAGTTTTGCTCTTATTGTCCAGGCTGGAATACAGTGGCACGATTTCGGCTCACTGCAACCTCCACCTCCCGGGTTCAAGCGATTATCCTGTCTCAGCCTCTCAAGTAGCTGGGATTACAGGCATGTGCCTCCACGCCCGACTAATTTTATATTTTTAGTAGAGATGGGGTTTCTCCATGTTGGTCAGGCTGGTCTCGAACTCCCGACCTCAGATGATCTGCCCTTGGCCTCCCAAAGTGCTGGAATTACAGGCATGAGCCACTGCGCCCAGCCAGATTATTATTTTAAAGCCATTTATCAAAAGAATGAGAAGACAGTCCACAGATTGGGGAAAATATTTGCAAAAGACCTATCTGATAGAGAACTGTTATCCACACTATACAAGCACTATTACAACTCAATAATAAAAAAAGCTTTCTTTAAAAAATCAAACACAAACAAACATGCAAGCAAACAAAAACGGGCAAAAGATCTGAACAGATAACTGGCCGAAGAAGATATGCAGATGACAAATAAACATGGGGAAAGATGTTCAACACCATGTAAGAGAATTGCAAATGAAAACAATGATAGCCACTAACACTTATTAGGATGGCTAAAATCCAAGACACTGACACCACCAAATGCTGGTGAGGCCGTGGAGCAACAGCAACTCTCATTCTCATTACTGGTGGAAATGCAGAGTGGTTCAGCCACATTGGAAAACAGTTTCGCAGTTTCTTATAAAACTAAACATAATCTTACTGTAAGATCCAACAATCAAGCTGCCTTTACCCAACTGAATTGATGAAAACTTATATATTCACACAAAGTTCATTCAAAACCTGAATTCATCTAAGATGTCCTTTGGTAAGTGGATGGATTTTGGTACATCCATACAATGGAATATTATTCAGCTAAAAAGAAATGAGCTATTAAGCCATAAAAAGACATAGAGGAAAATTAAATGCTTATTACTAAGCAAAAGAGCCAATCTGAAAGGGCTGCATTATCTATGACTCCAAATACATGACATTCTGGAAAAGATAAAACTACGGAGACGGTAAGAAAGTCCATGGTTGGCCGGACCTGGTGGCTCACGCCTGTAATCCCAGCACTTTGGGATGCTGAGGCGGGCGGATCACGAGGTCAAGAGATCGAGACCATCCTGGCCAACATCGTGAAACCCCGTCTCTACTAAAAGTACAAAAATTAGCTGGGTGTGGTGGCGTGTGCGCCTATAGTCCCAGCTACTCGGGGGGCTGAAGCAGGGAAATTGCTTGAACCCGGGAGGTGGAGGTTCCAGTGAGCTGAGATTGCGCCACCACACTCCAGCCTGGGGACAGAGCGAGACTCCATGTCAAAAAAAAAAAAAAAAGAAAAGGCTGCATGGTTGTCATGGGTTGCAGGAAGGGAGGGATGAATAGATCAAACACAGAGGACTTCCAGGGTAGCGAAACTATTCTATATGATACTAAAATGGTGGACACATTGTTATTATACATTAGTCCAGACTTGTAGAATATATAAGTCTAGGATGAACCCTAACGTAAACTGCGGATTTGGGCGATAATAATAGGTCAGTGTTGGTTCATCAGTTGCAACAAGTGTACCACTCTAGGGTAGATGTTGATAGCAGGGGAGGCTGTGTGTGTACAAGGGAGGGGGACAGGAGTCATATGGGAACTCTCTGTACTTTCACTTAAATTTGCTGTGAACCTAAAGCTACCCTTAAAAGAAGCCTAATAAAAAAAATCCCCAAAATGTCTTTGACTGGTTTCGTTATTTGATGGTATCAAAGTTTTGACTTTATTATCAACGGGCTTTTGTTTTTTCTTTGTCTATTTGTGTTGTTTGTTTATTGTTGGAAGCCCTTCAGGGGATGACAGAAGATCTATCCAGGTGCCAGAGTCTGCTGTAGTCTTCATGTTGAGAAGTCAGCTGCTCTTATCTCCCACATCCCTAGCAAGGCAACCCTGTCATTTCTTACTCTGTTGAGGTTCTATGTTAGTGCTCAGTGGTAGTTGTGTGTTTAGCGTATGTCACCTGGAACCCGCCTCTGAAATTCATAACTTTGTCCTTGGCTCAAAATTAAAGTGCTGAAAGAAACTTATCCCTTTCATTCTTTCCTAAGCTCTAATGTAAGCTTTGTTCACCACCTGAGGAGACCTGTCTGCTCAATAAGACTGTCCATTTACAAGTGGCATTTTCAGATTTTTGACCTTTCTTATATTTCTTAATGTTTTTCTACTTCTGGGACTTCAGAAGTTCAGCAGATCAGAGGGGATTTCTCAACTTGGTATGAGATGCAGCACGATGGAAAGCAATTTCTTAGATTTCCCTTATGGGAATAAGGTGCGTGAATTATATGAGGTCAGACCCTAGAGAGGGCTTTTCTGGAAATGCAGGCAACATAGCAAAGAAATAAGCATTGTTCAGATTGAATTTGTAATAGTTGGAGGATAGGTGTCAGCTTGCTTACCTGGTTTTGCCTTTTGGGGCACTGGACCCTTAGCATTAATACCGACAGAGTTTATAGTTTCCTATTGTTTTTATTGAGTCCTTATAGTTTCTATAGGGGTAGCAATGCAGTGGATGTCATGGTTCCAAGGCATGTGTGAGATAGACTTTCTCCTTCCTCCCGACTCCCTGTGTCCCTTGCACTGAGTTATTAAGCAGATGATTCTTTTTAATAACATTTGTTATTAAATGATTATATAATGATTCTGTTTAATACGATTTGCGCTCTTCAATCAAATAGAGGAGTCAGATAAAGAATATTGAAATGGAATTAAGAGAGGAGAAAGTGAGAGAACATTGTAAGTCTGATATATCTAGATGAAATTATGCTCTGAAGTCCATTTTCCCTATGTCAGGAATTTGGTTCCTGTTGCATCAGTGGAGCCTGATAAGGACCAGGGAAGCAGAGGCATTCTGTAGGTCTTGTATGTAAGGAGCTGAGTGAAGAGAACTTGAGAAAAAGGCATCAGAGTTCTGGGCTATTTTCTTTCCCCATCACATAGGGGTAGGAGGAGTCTTCCCCTCACTTTGAGCCCCATGAATGTATGGGCTTCAAGAGAGCTTTACCTGTATCTCTCCAAATTTGGGGCTTTAAAAACTGGAACATAACACTTGACTGAGATAATCAAAATGGTTTGTAGATTGAGATCTGATGCCTGCCTGGGAAATGAAGAGGGAGAGGCAAGAGCTGACCACCTGCAAGACGATGAGCTAGAGATGTTCTTGCCGTGGTGCCTTGGAGCTGGAAAAATGGGAGTGTTTTCCCAGGAGCATGCCATGGAGACTGTTGCTGGGGTCCTCTCAGGTCTCGTTCAACAGACTTCTCTGGAGGGACAAGCAGGCCTCATGGTGAAGAGGGCTAGAGTTGAGCTGCCAGGTGACAAGCAGTTGAGAAGGGTGACTCCACCCACTATTTGGACTGGAGATGCACCCATCCAGGTCATAAGACCACAAGGCAGAGATCCAGCAAGAGATTCTAAAGAGCGCACCCAAGAAAAAGAGTCACTTTCACCATCTGCCAGGCCCAGAGTGCTGGAAACCTCCCAGCCACAAAAGAACAGCCCTCACTTCCTACACGCTTTTCTCTCTTGCTTTCCTGGAGCAAGGCGGCAAGTTGAGTCAAGAAACTCCATTAGGCTCATTAAAGAGCAGATGACCACACGTCCTTTCTGCAGTGCAGGTGGCAGCCTGAAAAGGGTGGGGGAATTCAGGGACAGGGTGGGTGTAGGGATGAGGACATGGGAGGGAGAAGGGGTGGATTTAATATAGTTGTATACAGGATTTTGATTACTATCTTCAGCCGGACATTTTATTTACAGAAATTAAGACCATGCGTGTGATTTAAAGTGACTCTGGGACTATCTATTACAAAAGAATAAATAGAAAGCCCGGGGGCCTGCCAGAGTTTGTATCCAGGAGCAAGGGAGATTGCTCCCGAAGAAGAAAACCTAAAGAAAGACCATGCTTTAAGTTACTAGTCATGTTTGCTTACCACTGTGGTTACAGACATAGGTTTGGATGTGAATGTTGGTCTTGAGTCCCAGTGGGTGGGCGGTGGCTCCCTGCAGCTTGTGCTCACTGTCTGCATTTCTCTTCATTGGGGTCATTGTTCTGGTGTAAAGTGGTGACTGGGGGTAACAGTGGTGTCTGTCCAAAGCTTCTTTTTTGGGAAGTGATGATATAACTTTGGAAGGAGGAGGCATTTACCACCTACTCCCTAAAACCTTTCTATCGTCATCAGCAACCTCTGAGGAGGAAGCATACCCATTTTAAAAGTGACTAAATCTGAAACCTGATGATATGTTAAACCAATCAGGTATATTGTGAAACTCAAGCCGTATTTAGCATGACTATATTGTTTAACTTGATCAAACTAGAACCCTTTTAAGAATGGGCACTATAAATATTCATATTGAAACAATGGGAATAAATTAGGATTGTCCTGAGCCAACCAGGACATACATGGTCACTCCACTCATATTCTGTTGCTCCCAATCTATAGAAAAAAGTGTGACTTTATTTATACATTTTTATTTTTTTGCTAGAAGCAAGAACTAAAAACCTATCCAATGCTTTTGAGTAGTTTCATGACATTTACTATGTAGTACCGTTAGGCATCTCCTGAACCAAATAGCGCAGGGAATTTCCATTTTTTTCACTTCATGCTCTATGGTATTGCGGGTTACACACACACCTATCAGAATCCAGCCAAGGCACTTAAACCAAGGTATCTGATAATGAAGCAATGTGTATCTCTTCAGGAATCCTTACATGTTCCTGGACAGGGGTCCCAGTAAACATCCTCTTCCCAGGCAGACCATATTCCAGAGGAAGAGAGAGAAAAAGAGTACAACTCACAGGACAGAAAATGGGAAATCAGTAGTATTAGATGTTTTCCATTTAAGAGTCACTGGGATCTGAAGGGGGAAAAACCCCATATGGTTTAAAATCAGAAGACCTGGGTGAAAGTACCTCACACTAATATTGTGTGAGGTTTGGCAAATATTTTACCTTTCTTCAGTGAAAAGGGCATAGCTATCATACCATCACCTCTTTAAATAGAAGTATTTAAGTGGTCTGTACTGTAGAAGACATTCAAATGCACAATATGCAGGCCAGGCATGGTGGTTCATGCCAATAATTCCATCACTATGGGAGGCCAAGGTTGGTGGGTCACTTGAGACCAGGATTTCAAGGCCAGCATGGGCAATGTGGCAAACTCCATCTCTACAGAAAAATACAAAAATTAGCTGGGTGTGGTGGTGCACACCTGTGGTCCCAGCTACATGGGAGGCTGAGGCAGGAGGATTGCTTGCTCCCAGGAGGTCAAGACTGCAGTGAGCCAAGATCATGCCACTGTACTCCAGCCTGAGCAACAGAATGATACTGTCCCAAGGAAAAAAAAATATAATACACTATACAATTTTCAATTATTTTCAAATTATACAACAGGAAGTTATTATGAAAGCTCCTGGTAGTTAATTTTTCAGTAAAATTAAGTATAAAACTTTTTCAGCCTTGCCTATTCTGTTCATCTGAGCCCAGATGTTGAAACTTCTGGTGAGGAGATAATTGCTTGTTTTTTGCTTTTTTGACCACTGAATATTCCCTGCCCCACTCTCTCCCTTTCTCCCCCTTTCTCCCTCTCCTCCTCTATTTTTCCTCTTCCCTGTCTCCCTGTCTCCCCTCTCTTCAGTATGCATACTGTTTGGTGAGACATTGTATGTGAGGGTATGTAGCAAATGACAAAGTTCAACCAGGATATTCGCTATTAAGAAAACATCTTTAGCCAGGCACGGTGGCTCATGCCTGTAATCCCAGCAATTTGGGAGGCTGAGGCGGGTGGATCACCAGGTCAGGAGATTGAGACCATCCTGGCTAACATGGTGAAACACCATCTCTACTAAAAAAATACAAAAAAATTAGCCAGGCGTGGTGGCAGGCACCTGTATTCCCAGCCACTCGGGAGGCTGAGGCAGGAGAATGGCGTGAACCAGGGAGGCAGAGCTTGCAGTGAGCTGAAATCGCACCACTGCACTCCAGCCTGGGCGACAGAGCGAGACTCCGTATCAAAAAATAAAATAAAAAGAAATGTCTTTTCTTGGGTTCTCTGCTGTCTGGCAGAAGGCACTTCAGTAAAACAGGTGCATATTCTTACCCTCAGGAGGATGTCCTGGACAGGAAGATTTTTTTTTAAGTTACAATGATGGAAACTTAATTGGCGAGTTCAGGAAATAGTAAATAAGATAAAAATTTATGTACTGTTCCAAGGATGTTCAAAATGAGCTGCAGCTATTGAGAAAACAATTACTAAGGAAGAAGTTAGCATAGGCTCCTGGCCAAATTGGCATCAGTTTCAAGCACTTGAAGCGAGCACCACTCATAGGAGCTGACAGATATTTTTAGATATTTGTTCTGTACCTTGGCTGTAGTGGAACAATTTCTCTCAGAGTCTGAGGGACTCTTTAGAACCCAGAGATTGCCAAGCCACCTTGCAATCTATTCATCAACATTGATTAAATTAAGCACTTAATCCACTGCTTCTCAGCAGGGTGTCAGGGGCAGATTTTGCCCACATAGGATATCTGGCAGTGTCTGGAAACATTTTCCTTGTCACAACAGGGTGTGGAAGATGCTACTGGCATCTAGAGGCCAGGGATGTTGCTAAACATGCTGTAGTACACGGGGCATGTACTGCATGAAAAAGAGTCATCTGTCCTCCAGGGTTAATAATCCCCAGCCTAATCTAACTGTGGGTTTAGTACCATCGGGGATACTAAACAAGCAAAAATATCATGTCTTTCCTCAAGAGATATAGAGCCTTGATGCAGAGGATACCAAAGCTATAGACCATTTAGTGGAAGTAATTTTTCAGCCAACAGTACTTACTGAGCACCAACTATGTACCAGGAACTCTGCAAGGTTTGGGTATTAATTACAATTATAGCAAAATAGATGTAGTGCCAGTCCTCAAGAAGCTTAGAGTTTATCAAGAAACACAAGTGTTAAAAAAAGAAACTCAAAATTTGCTGTATATTGGGGTAATCATATTTGGAATGGAAAATTAGAGCTGCCCTGAGAGAGATTATACAGGAGTTTTGTTAGATTGGATGGTCTGGGAACACCTCTCCAAGAACATCATACTTCAGCTGAGAACGAGCTGGCCAGGTGAAAAATGACAGGATAAAAAAGAAAAATTGGAAAGTGGGCTGGGTGCGGTGGCTCACGCCTATAATCCCAGCACTTTGGGAGGCTGAGGCGGGCAGATTATCTGAGGTCAGGAGTTCGAGACCAGCCTGGCCAACATGGTGAAACCCCGTCTCTACTAAAAATACAAAAATTCATGGTGGCACATGCCTGTAATCCCAGCTACTTGGGAGGCTGAAGCAGGAGAATTGCTTGAGTCTGGGAGATGGAGGTTGCAGTGAGCTGAGATCGTGCCACTGCACTCCAGCCTGGCCGACAGAGTGGGACTCTGTCTCAAAAAAATAAAAGAAAAATTGGAAAGTAAACCCTCTACTTTGTGAAGCTGATATAAGCAACTTTATGTAGAAGAGATCTTTAATGGAAATATATATATATTTATATAATTTATTATTTTATAAATTTTTTTTCCAGGTCCAATTTCTGATTTCTAATTGTGCATATGTGTGTGTGTGTGTGTGTGTGTGTGTATATATATGCACACAATTATATATCATCGTGTGCATAGATACACATAATTATATATAATACATAATTATGTACATAATTATATATGTATATAATATACATAATACATATATACATAATATATAATCATATATACAATCGTGTGTATGTGTATACCCCCACACACACATACACAATTAGAAACAAAAAATTGGACCTGGAATAGCCAATAGTATAATGGAAAAAAAATGTATTGCCATCAATCAACTTTCCACTTCATTCATTCATTAAATAAATAGTTTGAGTGCCTTTGATGTACTAGACCTTGGAAACATATTAGTGACCGAAAGCAGAAATGATTTCAGCTCTCAGAATGTTTACATTTTAGTGAAAGAGAATGCACTAAAATAAAAAAATAATTAATTGAATAATGTATTCACAGAGTTAAGTACTGGGATGTGCAGATCTTTATCTTTATGAAAGCCTATGCTAGAGGATTCTACCTAGGCAAGAGTGACAGGGAAGATTTTTTCAGTAAAGTGATGAGCAAGAGGTGTGTAGACATTGACCAGGTGAAGTAGGTTAGAAGGAAGTCTCGATAGAGCCATCAAGGTTTTTAGGATACCTTTCATTGCAAGCAATCTTTTCCTGCACCTTTCTTATCAATTGGCTTTCTCCTAGAAGTTTCCATTGCTCCTCCTGGAGGAGAATTTGGAGCCAGGTCCCTTCAAAATAGGTTATGGCTCGCTCTTCCTACTTTGTTGCTCTCACTTGGTCCAGGTGTCCCAAAACACTCTGGGAGTGCAACAAACTGGAAGGGGGCAATACATTATTGGAAGTCAGACATCTGTAATGAAGCCACTCTTCCTCACTTAAAACAGCCACACAACCTCAGTTTTCAGCTTTTTTTCAGTGTGAGTCTACTATGTTCCCCAAATATATCATGCATATCAAATTCTCTGGGAAATCGCCATGTGGATCCAAGAAGCACAACAAGAAAGAGGAATGGAAATGACTCCAATGTGACTAGAGTAGAGTGGGCCTGGGAGAGTGGGGTGTGAAATGAGACCACACAGGTAGGGAGGAGGAGGAGGGAGGTTGGCAGGATGGCAGTGGAGTGGGATGAGGAGGGGAAGGAGTGGGCAAATATGCATTTTGAAAGGTCGAAGAGGAAGTGCTGCCAAATCATGTAGGAAAATATTATAGAAACAGGGAAAGGATAATGCATAAGCTAAGGTTTTATTGGTAGAAATGCATTGGTTTGTTTCTATTTAAGAAATTCTCAGGGAGTAAATGATAGGGCTTGGGGATGAACCAGTTAAAGGGATAGAGGTGTCAAAGATGAGGGCTAGGTGCCTAGCATGCCTAACAGGACAGATAGTGGTGCCATTCACTGAGAGAAGAAACTCTAAAACAGGACCCATTTTGGAGGAGAATATCACAAGTTCAGGTTTGGAAAAGTTGACTTTGAGGTCAGTTTGAGACACTTAAGCATAGTTACCAAATGCAGGTCTGGAACTGAGCTGAAGATAAGCAACCACTGTGCTCCTGCTTAATGAAAACCTGACACTCATCCTTCTGTTAGTGGATGCTGTCTTGCCCCAGTCACAGTCTCGTGTCTGTTACTCCACATGCTTGAAATGGGAACATCCAGCTGTCAGCACCACTGATTGGAAACTGAGCAAGGAGCCAATGGGAGTATAAATCCAAGATCAATGTTGAGCATGTGTTGAAGGGAGAAAGTGAATGAATGGCTAGAAATCAGATTTGCCAGCATGAGAGGGCACCACTTCCACCGCCATAATTTGGAGAGATGAGAATTAAGGTCCCACGCTAGTCATTCGTATAAGTCCTGAGGTAACTGATTAATATTGTGCTGGCTAATGAGCTAATTGGATAATTCGATAATAGGACTGTAGCTTGGAATAGGACTTAAAAAGTTATCTAGGTCAATTCATGCCTTTTTCAGTTGAAATTGAGGTCCAGAGAGGATAAATGACTTATCCAGAGTCACCATGCACAATAATGACAGAGCATGGCCGCCATTGATCTCAGTTTATTTCACAGTCTTACTTGGTTCTGTCCAGTATTTTGCATGTGAGGGGAGTGACATACAGTATTATTTTACTGCCTGGCACATTGTGTATAGATGTTGGTCATATAGCCCCAGGCCCCTTTAGTTAAAAGAGACAGTGTTTTGTGGCTTTTTGCTCGCACATACTTATAAATCACCCCCCGGAAATCCAGAATAGCTTGGATAATGATATGAACCTTAACTACGAATTTAACAGTCTGTAACAGCATCTAGCAGTTTTAGTTTATTACTGTCCCAATGGGAGAAAGGAGAAAAAAAACAGCATAAGAAACAAGCTAATAAATTTGTTTTTAAAACCCAGCATCCTCCTCCCTTCCTTCAGCAAATGTTGTAAATTCTGGGCATTTATAGTTTGCTTGAGGAAGCAAGCTCAATGTCAAAAGTGTTTTAATAGCCTTTGATTTACTTTTTAAGTGCTTATTAGCATGATTGATGATAGTGTTTTGAAGTCAATCACAGACTTGGGAGAGATGGGAACTTCACAGCCATCTTCCCACTGGCTGGATGTGTGTATTGGTTGATTTGGTTTGGTTTGGTTTGGGGAGGACCTACAAGCACAGAAGGGACTCAACTTGTATTTTCTTTTCTCTGTGAGTGGCAGGTGGCTCTTATTTTTCACTTTTGCCTCCTAAAAGAATGTAGCAACTCAAGGACATTTCTTAGGCTCCTGTCCCTCAGATGCCCAGTTCCAATGGCCACCTGCTGAGTGAGATTTGAGTGGCCTGCTCTGGGGGCTTCACCCTGCCTTCAGCATTTACAGGAAAAATGATCTTTCTGTGTGAAGTTATGAGCTGAGACAAGAACTAGTACTCCATTTTGCATGCGTTAAAGTTCTACTGAAAAGCTCAGCAGGAGTTGAAGCAATAATTGGCTTGAGTTTGCATTTGTTCATGCCATAATAACCTCCTCACCATACACAGCACCCAGCTACGAAACCCTTGTCTCCTTAATAGATAGAATTAAGTTGCATTTCATCCTGTGCTCATTCAGGAATCCCCAATAGCCAGCATAACTGAGAAAGCCGTAGAGTAGGCTTTTGAGATGTAAATACTATCGCCTCCACATGAAAATCCATGAAGTCAGTTCCTGGGTCTTTACTTACAAGATATTTAAATGAAGAATTGGTGTATTGCAGTTCCAGCAGCACCTTTCTTCTCTCTAAATCCAGCCACAGTGTTCATCAATGTGTTTAATAATGCCTGGGGAGGCTTTGGTTCTGGCATTGAATAATGAACATTCGAAGCGCCCACTGCTTTAAATACTTTCTAAATTTGTGTCCCTTTCTGTATGCAAAAGGCAAATGGACAAGAAAGAGACTTTCTTTTTCTCACTCTGAAGAGAATTGACATGGAGGAGTTTGTTTAGGAAATGACACCTGGTCAAAGAAAAGACACTTTAGCAATGTAAGCCTTGCGTTTTTTTTTTTTCTTTGCAGTCCAGTGGCATTGCCATTATCACACAGGCTCACGATCTGGCTTTTAATCAGAACTCTATATGAATCTTTAAAAAAATTCAGCAATGCCTGGCCGGGCGCAGTGGCTCATGCCTGTAATCCCAGCACTTTGGGAGGCTGAGGCGGGTGGATCACGAGGTCTGGAGTTTGAGACCAACCTGGCCAATATGGTGAAACCCCCATCTCTACTAAAAAAATACAAAAATTAGCCGGGCATGGTGGTGTGCGCCTGTAGTCCCAGCTACTCAGGAGGCTGAGGCAGGAGACTCACTGGAACCCAGGAGGTGGAGGTTGCAGTGAGCTGAGATTGCACCAATGCACTCCAGCCTGGGCGACAGAATGAGACTCCATTAAAAAACAAAACAAAACAAACAAACAAAAAAAGCAATGCAGGCACTACACCAAGGATGCATGGGGTAGAACCAGGAATCTATATTTTATATTTCTTTTTGTTTTGCAATCAGGGCAGAAAACCCCAGAAGGATTATACAGTGATCCTTAATGCAATCACTTAGAAAGTGGTGGTCCGAAAATTTTGTGGGCTTAGGTGCTCTGGGATACCTATTGAAATGCAAATTCCCTGGCAAACAGAGATTCTGATTGCTTTAGGTTGGGAGTGAGAATCAGAAATTCACACTTTAACAAGATCTTCCCATGTAAGAAATAAAAGGATCATCTCGTAAAAAAAAGCGGTACAGGTGGACTGTCGGGGTGGGCACTATTGTGTTTTGCTTCGTTTTGTTTTGTTTCATGTTCAGTTATTCTGACTTATGGGATTTGGCCAAACTAAGCACAATAATTGGATTTCATTCTTACTTTTCTCCATGCTCAGTAGGTGCAGCCTTACCGTCTGGCCACAGTTAACCTAAAGTGGCAGAAGAAGCCTTTACTTCTGAGCAGCCTTTTTTTGTTTGTTTGTTTGTTTGTTTTTTTTTTTTGAGACGGAGGCTCAATCTGTCGCTCAGGCTGGAGTGCAGTGGCAGGATCTCAGCTCACTGTAAGCTCCACCTCTTGGGTTCACGCTATTCTCCTGTCTCAGCCTCCTGAGTAGCTGGGACTACAGATGCCCGCCACAACACCCGGCTAATTTTTTGTATTTTTTAGTAGAGACGGGGTTTCTCCATGTTAGCCAGGATGGTCTTGATCTCCTGACCTCGTGATCCACCCACCTCAGCCTCCCAAAGTTCTGGGATCACAGGCGTGAGCCACCACACCCAGTCCCTGAGCAGCTTTTAATATAAACTGATGCCTGAGTCCCCCGCTTCCACCAACAGATCCTAATTAAATTGGTTTGGGATGGGTCCCAGTTATTGGCATTGAGAAAAATCTCCCCATGTGAATCTAATGGACAACCAGGGTTGAGAACCACTGGTGTAAGTACTCTGCAAAGCCACAGGAGTTCTTGGATCAGCCGAGAAATGCCAGGTGCCAATGCTGTGACTGCAGGTGCTGACAGTATTTAGTGGGGTCAGTGACATCGCCTGTGGGGACTACGCTGCCCAATACTGAGTTCGTGATCCTGGTTCTCTGGTACTGATGCATGCAGCTAATCTATAAATAGGATAGGGCTGAGGCTGTGTGACTGAAAAAAAAAATATGAAATTTAAGAGGAGAAGAAAAGGACATTTGCAGGTTTTGTTGTCCTCAGTGGACACGAGGGTGGTGTTAGCTATACCAGCAGTGACCCCCCTGCTACTACAGAAGGGAATCTCAATGTGTCACCGGATGGTGGTACACTCTGCTGTAAATCCTGAGTGAGACACATCAACCAGGGAGCTTATGAATGAAGGACATTCACTTCCCTTTGAAAAGCCAGCTTTTCTGTTGTTGAAAGCTAATCTACTGGTGTCATCAGTCGCAACAAAGAGTTCTTGGACATTTACTGAAAATTAACACCATGCTTTACAGTTTACAGAATACTTTGACTTGCATTTTCTTCCTTGATCTTTACAAGAGATCTGTGAACTGGTCCAAATGAAGCACCTGGAGCTTAGAGAGTTTAAGTGATTTACCCAAGAACAGGCATCAGAAATATATAAGACCTAGATGGGATAGTAATTCAAGTCTTATTATTCTGCTTCCAAATCCAGGTAATTATCATAGTTGAAACGTGGATAGACAGATTTAAAATGTTAGTTATTGCTACTTATGCACATTAAGCAATGATTAACGGCTCATTAGACCTATGATGTCATAGTTATTATCTTAGAACAAAACTAAGAAATATCGTTGATTTAAAGAAAAAAATTAAAAGTGAACAATAGCACGTGCCATGGTCCAGGATCAGGTAGAATCCTGCTGGCAGCACACTGAAGGACCATGGATGGGCAATACTGCTCTGGTCACATTATTATTGTATGTGTATCTTTGTTCAGTAGATAATAATTTGATATGTTCAGTGGAGGAAAACTGTGCTATTGAAAAACAACTGTCAAATTACTAGGGCTGTTTTTGCCTTCTGTGAGCGACGGTTATATTAACTTATATCATTGGTAATGATCTGTCTGGATACTACACATTTCTTCAGTGACTGATGGGATGAGACCTCTTGTATGACCCCCTGTCTAAGGCAAACATTTAAGAGGATTAACTCTGCGCCAGGTGCCAGATGAGCACCTTTTCCTCTCATTTAAGCTTCATGCAACCCCATAATATGATACTGTCATTAACTATATAAAATGTGGCCCTCTCTCTCGCTTGTGAGCTCGCTCACTCTCTATATATATATACTGTCTCACACACACACACACACACACACACACACACAATGTAAAGAGACGGAGGCATAGAATTGTTAAGTAGATTATCCCAAATTTCACATCAGTAGGAAATCAGCCTTCTTGTATCCAGAGCCCAGTTATCAACTACTTTCTTCCACCTCAACTATATTTAAAACTTGTTGCATGTGCCAAGGAGAGCAAAATCGGATATTAGTTTAGAGGTAGAAGCCACAGAGAATAGAATTGCTTTGCATTATATATTTAGATAAGTTATTTGGCCTTGCTGAAACAGAGAGGCATGGCTATTAAATTCCAGTATGTAGGTAAGAGTGAGTGAAAATTGCTATATAGCTTTTAAAGTCATTTTCTTGCCATGATATACAACATGGATTCTTCCCCACTGTGACAAGCTCTGGAGACTTAACCATTCCCCCCATATCAGCAACCACATGCATAGCAATACCTGCAATCATATTGGGTGGATAGGTATCATT
Source organism: Homo sapiens (assembly GCF_000001405.40). NCBI lineage: Eukaryota > Metazoa > Chordata > Mammalia > Primates > Hominidae > Homo > Homo sapiens. Next base: position 106,909,836 of record NC_000010.11, on the reverse strand, counting down.
TGGTCAGTGCATATGTGTGTGTGTATACGTGCATAGATATTGAGGAAAGGAGAACGAATTTCATGGACAGTGGAGGTCCACTGGAGGTGATTTGTAAAAGAGATGGAGAAACCAGGTTGGAGCCAAAAATAATTTAAAAAATTAATCATTCACAGAATGCACACAACTCTTGGGAAGGATGTGGGATAAAGGGATTTTAAGCTGTCAGCTGGATAGATAAGCACACACCACCACCCCCTACTTAGACAGTAATGCATAGTAACTAGGAAAGGCATGCCCATATGCTGTTTTGCAGAGGTTAAGTAGAGAAATGAGAATGTGAATTTCAGAGCTGGTCTGATGCATGGTCTGGGGGCAAAGAATCCCTCTCTCTGTAACCATCTGGGTGTGAGTCTGCATTTCTACCTCTCAATTTCTATTCCTGAGTATATTCTCTCTCTCTCTCTCTCTCTGTCATTTGTATTCTCCTTCCACTCTATACCTATAGCTACTTTGCAAGGAAAAGATGGTGACTTGTGACAAAAGGAAATGCATTCTTTTCACCCTAGTGAAATCAGCAAGGGTCCTCAGCATGAGAGCAATAGATTGAGGGCAAGCAAGGCAGCCAGGCAGCCAGGAGAAAATTGAATGCAGTCCTCAAAGACCATATGTTCTGTGGATTTTCAAAAGCCCGTGTCAGAACCTCTCTCCCAAACATCAAGGAGCCTAGGATACCACACCCAGTGAAGGAGAAGGGTGGAGAGGGCAAGGAACTGCTTGCTTAGTGGCTGTTGTGTGGTTAGCTGAGGTGTGCATCTCAAGAAAGAGCTGACCTTGGAAGACAGGCAAACATTTCTTCCCAAGAATCTGAAGGAGCAGAGAAGACAGGGAGGATACAAGTACCATGAAGATAAAAAAAAATAATGGAGTAAATGGACAGTTTAAAGATGGCTGAAGAAACAGAAATTGGGTGGTGGAGGCTGAAGATGCCTAGGGCAGATTTTAATGGCTTCCATAGATGTAGATTGGATTCGTTCTTGAAGTCACCAATGAACTGCTCAGAGGCTGACTGGGAAAAGCGGAGCTGTGCAGCCTGCTCACGTAGGGTAGTTTCCATTGCCTCAAAGAGCGCCGTTCTGTGGCAGGCTTCCTCCATTGTTAATGGCATGCTGTGTGTAAGGGCTGCTGGGCTCTTGGGAAAGAATGGACAGAATGGATAATGAATCCCACTGAAGATGCATCCAGCTTGGGCCTTGCAGGGGACACATTCCCCCGAGCAGAGCTTCAGCCATAGCTCTCTTCAGCTGTGGCTGAATCCGAGAAAGTTCTGTCATCCACACCAGCCCAGAGAGGGGACAGAAGTCATTCATTCCAGCCCAGAGAAGGGACAAAAATGCTCATTAGAATAAAAGAGGATCCAGCGGAGGGCTCCTGGAAACTATCAGTGTTGATAGGCTGTTACATCAGCTTCAAGTTTGACATCTATATTCTACGTAATGGTGTGCTCATGAAACTTCTTAGAACAACTCAATGGTAAAAACTCCTAACCCGTATTTAAGACATATGCCAGTTAGGAAGTTAGGACAAGGGGTGCTGGCATATGCCCACAGCTCATAACCCGTGGAACTGTTACCCGACAACATTAGGGAAAAAAAATGAAAATACTTGAGTGTGACACTATATCAGCTGCCATTTAGAGTCCAGGGATTCAAATCCATAGAGGGACATATAAATACATACATATAAGAAATGACATATAGTCCTGACCTGTATAGAGAGATCTCTACCCAGAAAAATGGTCATTAAGAACTTAAGGCACCATATGCTGAGTGACAAATGATGGATACTTTTAAGATGTCAGAGAAAGGATAATGGTCTGTGGCTATTAATAAAACTCTCCCAAGAAAGTAATTTCAGTATTAATAGAGTTTCTGTATATGTGATGTAATTTTTTTTTTTTTTGAGTGCAGTGGTGTGATCTCGGCTCACTGCAACCTCCACCTCCTAGGTTCAAGCGATTCTCCTGCCTCAGCCTCCCAAGTAGCTGGGACTATAGGTGCGCACCACCATGCCTGGCTAATTTTTGTATTTTTGGTAGAGACAGATTTTCTCCATGTTGGTCGGGCTGGTCTCAAACTCCTGACTTCAGGTGATCCACCCTCCTCGGCCTCCCAAAGTGTTGGGATTACAGGTGTGAGCCACCGCACCTAACCGTGACATAATTTTTTAACATTATTCATGGATACTCATTTTTGTCATCAAAATAAGAACATATTTACTAATTTGCTGATTATCAGAGTAATATTTACTTATTTTTAAGACTTCAATATTAAAATAATTGAAATAATATAGAATCCACTGTAATCTTAGCACCTTCAGATAAAAACTGTTAATCTTTAGGTATATATACTTCCTTTTTTTCTGTATGTATGGACACAAGTAGTTAGTTTAATGACAATATATTTGAACTGTATCCTTTATTTCTTCTCCTATCAGTGTGTACTAATCGTATTTTCATGTCAGTCAGTATGAATCTATATTATTTTAATATGTCACAATATTTAATGGGTATGTCATAAAATATTTATTGGAATTCCTATTATTAAGCATTAGTTTCTTTCCAGTGTGTTATTACTGTATGTAATACTGGGATAAAACCCATTGACCTAGCAAAGTCACTGCTAGGAAATAATAAGAAAATCTTGCAAAGATTCTGCAAAACCATGTACACAGTTACTCTCCAGAACAGTTGCACTAAATATGCATCTACTGGCAAGTTATTTGGGTGCCTGTTTCCCCACACACTTGGCAGCAATGAGTATTATCATTCTTTTTCAATCTTTGTCAATATGTTAGCTTGGAAGAAAAAGCACAGTGAAATAGCATTGTTTTAGGTCTATAATACCTTTATTGTGTCTGGATGCTGATTCTTTGATATTACAGCAACTTAGTCCATGGCACATTTCCTCAACCAAGTACTCAGCCCCTTCCCTGGGTGTTACAGTTGAACATCCCATACTCTATTGATGACAGATGCTTTGGAATCCAAGCAGAACATTTAATTTATGTATCTGGATTCTCAGGTTTGTATCTGAACTCAGACTCACCTGTTATTGTTCTAATTAAGTTATAGTCATGATATGGTTTGGCTGTGTCCCCACCCAGATCCCAACTGGAATTGTATCTCCCAGAATTCCCACGTGTTGTGGAAGGGACCCAGGGGAAGGTAATTCAATCATGGGGGCCAGTCTTTCCTGTGCTATTCTGGGGATAGTGAATAAGTCTTGCGAGATCTGATGGGTTTATTAGGTGTTTCTGCTTTTGCTTCTTCCTTATTTTCTCTTGCTGCTGCCGTGTAAGAAGTGCCTTTCACCTCCCACCGTGATTCTGACTGAGGCCTCCTCAGTCATGTGGAACTGTAAGTCAAATTAAACCTCTTTTTCTGGCCAGCCACGGTGGCTCACACCTGTAATCCCAGCACTTTGGGAGGCCGAGGCCGGCAGATCACCTGAGGTCAGGAGTTCAAGACCAGCCTGGCCAACATGGCAAATCCTGTCTCTTCGAAAAATACAAAAATTAGCCAGGCGTGGTGGTGGGCACCTGTAATCCCAGCTATTTGGGAGGCTGAGGCAGGAGAATTGCTTGAACCCAGGCGGCTGAGCTTGCAGTGAGCCGAGAGCATGCCAGTGCCCTCCAGCCTGGGCAACAGAGTGTCTCAAAACAAACAAATAAACAAACAAAAACCTCTTTTTCTCTTTTTCTTCCCAGTCTTGGGTATGTCTTTATCAGCAGCATGAAAACGGACTAATACAAGTGGTTAAACCTAAAAGTTTTCCCAAAGGATGAAAGAGTGTTGATGTGAGGTAGATGAGATTGAGTTATGAGAGGATAGAAATTAAGTTAGTTATGACCTCAGAGATAGTACAAAAAGTTTGCAGATTATCAGAGAGACTGATAATACATTATGGGATTGTTTTAAAGCTAATTAGAGCCTTTTAATTCTAAAATTCAGTGTTTCAATGTTTGATAGAGTTAGCAGACATGCGATAACATTTATCATTCTGATATACATACAAATGCATACAGGCACACTTGTGTAAACATGCACCCTCTGCTTGTGTTATTGAGGGAGAAGGTGAGACTCACAGAAGTGGAGATTGGACCAAAGCCAAATGATGTAGTATTGGAAAAACAGCCCTAACCCTCTCAGCTTGTTTTGCAAATGTTTTCCTTTCTATTATAACTATTTTAATTAGAAAATTACCTGGAAATGAAATTTATGTATGTTTAAATCACTTGCAAAATAGCCATCCACTACAAACTTTTCTTGAACAGGGCAATGTAGGGAGGAGGAAAGAATAGTTTTCTAATTATGGGACAAGAATAGTTTTATAGTCTTGCTCCACAATTCTGGTAACATTTAAAAATTTTTCTTTATTATATTTTGGCAATATCTTTTTTCTTAGAAATGTATTTATTCCACCTAGATTTTCAAATATATCAACATGGAATTGAAAAGAGGAATCTATTTATAATTTAAAGATTGTGCATTTATCTTTTCCTTCTCCAACTTAATTTTCTAAATAAATTCACCAGGTTCATACATTAATGCTTAATATAGTATACTAATTATGTTTTCCTAAGAAACAACTCTTGGATTTATTTAGCAATTTGGTATTTTTCTTTTATTTTTCCTTCTCTAAATCAACCTTTTCTGCCTTTACTTTTATTTGCTTCCTCCTGCTATTTTAGAATTGTGGTTATTTTTCTACTTTCTTCAATTAAATATTTACTTTTTAACTTTATTATGAAAGTATTTAAAGTTAAACATGTATTCATCTACACAGTAGAGTTGTGTTATATTCCGTTTTTGACAGCAATATTTGCATTTTCATTATTTTCTAATTAGTCTGTAATTGCAGTTATTATTTCCTCTTTCAATAGTTTTTGTAGGGCATTTTTGATTTCTAACATTGTTTTTATTTAAGATGTGTTTAATTACGTAATTTGACTTCTTGAAGTTAGTAAATTAACATTGCTAGTACAGAAGTCCTCATTGCCAACTTTTCCTCTTAGTCTAGATGGAATATCTCAATACAAATGGGCCAAAACGGGTCTATCAGTTGGATCCATTTGTGGGATAATTAGGTAAGATTTTTCTAAACATGGCATAGTTTAGCTAAAATCTTACTTAGATAGTTTAGCTGCACTCCGCCACGTAGCTGTGCATCTTTTTATGACTTTGTGCGTTTGTCCAAAGTATGGGATGGAGGTCTGGATGCCCTGACAGTTAATGATCTATCCCAAGTCTCAGTTTAGGCACCAGGCTTGCTCTCCTCAACAATCCTCTACAATCCTCACACACCCAGAGCTGTGATTTTTTTCCCCATCAGTAGATGCCCATGGTACTTACATGCATTCCTCTCTGTGGCACTTTTTGTTTTTCCCCTTTTGGGGCTGAGCCATTGATATGTATATTTCCTTTCCTCCAGTAGAAGGTAAATTCCCAGAAGGCCCTTATGTGTCTTGATTAGAGCTGAAGATATTCAATGACCATAAAAAACACGAAGTAAAAGTTTGTTAAATAAACATTTAGACCAAGTCTAACTTTTAAATTTGGTATAAATCTGCTAAATTTGGCAAATTCCATGACCACCTATAAGATAAATAATGATATTAGATCTGTATACTGAGGATATTCCTAGTATCAACTACTGAAAGTATTCTGGAGAGAAATTTAAAGGAGCTGGATTATATCTATGATTTCAGTAGCAACTTCATAAACTTAGGCGTTGCCAATTAATTTATCTCTGTTTCATCTATAAGCACAAAACAGCTGTGTTTTTCAAGAGATAAGAGTTCTGATTGCTGGATTCTAAGTGAGGATTGAGGGAAGAAGGATGATTTTTCTAAGTCATTATAAGGAAAGCAGTGGTAATGATGCAACCCATCATTTGTTTCAGAGAGACCACAATAAACAGGCAAATAAAACTATTTTGTCCCATGCATACAAGCATGGACATAAATTATGAGATTTGCAAATATCTACAGACTAGTACCTAAAGCAGAACCAACCAAAGCAGAAAGAAAACATTTTCCCAAGCTAATGCAAAATCTCATAGTAAGTAGAATTTGATCCCTTTGTCCTACTGAGAATGTTGTTATTAATGTAATTTAAAGGTAATTAAAAATACATTTGGTTTCTTGTTGCTTTCCCTTCAAAATCGTCACTCTTTTCTTTTCTCTGAAAAAGTCCTGCTGAGTCAGTTTGATCTTCCAAAACAAACAATGTTCATTAATTTACAAAATTTCAGGCAAATTTGTTGATTATGGAGAGATGATGGTGTCGGAAATTAACACAGAGCCAAGTAACAATAGGATTGTCTTGGACTGTAGATTTATATTCTGTAACATTTGTTCTGCTGCAACTCTTGGAGAGGACAAGAAACAACTGGCACTCACAGTAAACCTCTTTTTTCTCAGTCAGGAAAGCAATTCATTACCAGATGTATGGCCTTGGCTTTACTGCTTTGTATACTTGTCAACTGCCATTTTAATGGAAACCGCAAAAACAAATGCTTTCATAAGAGTCCATGAATCCTTAGAATTAGCAAATGCCCATGAACCACAAGACTCTCCAATGGTGGATGTTATGGTTGGAAACATTAAAATGGAGAAAGGAAGCATGAACCCTCCAGATTTGGAGGATGAATTAGGCAAAGAGAGCACTACATAAATTATTTTGTTTTACCAGCTAATTATTTTGTTATTATTATTTTTGAGACAGAGTCTTGCTCTGTCACACAGGATGGAGTGCAGTGGCGTGATCTCCATTCACTGCAACCTCCACCTCCTGAGTTCAAGCGATTCTCCTAACTCAGCCTCCTGAGTAGCTGGGATTACAGGCACCTGCCATCACACCTGGATAATTTTTTGTATTTTTAGTAGAGGCACGGTTTCACCATGTTAGCCAGGATGATCTCAATCTCCTGACCTTGTGATCCACTCGCCTTGGCCTCCCAAAGTGCTGGGATTATAGGCGTGAGCCACTGCATCTGGCCCAGTAATTTTAATTTAATCCCTGGTGTCTTGTTATGCAGGAATAACCACCTATAGGTTTAATTCCTAAGTATAGCAAATTCATGTTTTAAAATAACTTCATGTAAATATAAAAAGTATGCATGCATATTTTATACATGTAAATAAAAAGGTAACCCATAAGACCACCACCAGTTATACCTATGAATCTCTTCATGTGATTTTCTTTTATCTTGATTTATTAATATTTAAAATAAGTTCATGCCATATATGAAATTATAAGCCGTGCATTTTTTAAGCTCTCTATATTATTTTCTCATGCCATTTTTTAGTTTTCAAAATCTCAAACTTTAATGTTTAAGTATTCTAATGTATGGTTAAATCATTTATTTCTTTTTCTTGTCTTAATGGGCATGTGGTGATTTCTTTTTAATTAGCTATTATAAATAATATTTTGATAATTTTCAAGACAAATTTTTGTTGTATGTAAGTATATATGGGTGTGAGTTGTATTCTTAAGGCAAATCCATGGGGGGAAGATACTGGACTAAAGGTTAGGGACTATTTTAAAAATTGCTAGGTCAAGTTGAGGGTCTGTATCAAGAAACCTATTATAAAATGCCAAATGCATTTTCAAATAGATTTCACCAATTTATACTCTCATTGATATTATACCAGAGTGCCTATTTTACTAATTACATGAGTATTGTACATTATCATATTTTAGTATTTGCTAATATTGTGATAGAATAGTAAAATCTAATTTTTTTTTTTTTGAGACAGAGTCTCGCTCTGTCACCCAAACTAGAGTGCAGTGGCGCAATCTCTGCTTACTTCAAGCTCTACCTCCTGGGGTCATGCCATTCTCCTGCCTCAGCCTCCCGAGTAGCTGGGACTACAGGTGCCCGCCACCATGCCTGGCTAATTTTTTTGTATATTTAATAAAGGCAGGGTTTCACCGTGTTAGCCAGGATGGTCTCCATCTCCTGACCTCGTGATCCACCCACCTCGGCCTCCCAAAGTGCTGGGATTACAGGCATGAGCCACCTCGCCCGGCCAGTAAAATCTAATTTTTTAAACTTTGTGGCCAGGGACAGTGGCTCATCCCTGTAATTCTACCACTTTCAGAGGCCAAGGTGAGCAGATCACTTGAGCTCAGAGTCAGAGACCAGCCTGGGCAACATGGTGAAACCCCATCTCTACAAAAAATACAAAACAATTAGCCAGGCATAGTGGCACATGCCTTTAGTCTCAGGTACTTTGGGAGGCTGAGGCAGGAGGATCACTTGAACCCAGTAGTTTGAGGCTGCAGTGAGCCGAGATCATGCCACTGCACTCCAGCCTGGGTGACAAAGTGAGACACTGCCTCAAAACAAAACAAAACCAAAAAACTGCATACCTTTAATTTTTATAAAGTTGAACACCTTGATGTGTTTTCCTCTCCATTATTTATGTTGTAGATAAATTTCTGTCTCTTACGTAGCTTTCTACCATGTCTGGTTTGCATAAAAATTACAAAACAAAATAAAAAAAACTATAGAAATGTACTTTTGCTTTGTGCATTGCATTGGGCTGCTTTCTAATACCTGTGAATTAATCCCTCCTATCCTGGGTAATCACAATGGCAACCCTGTTCCTGCTGACTCCCTTGAGTGATCTCTGTGTTATTTTAGGGAAAAGTTTAGTTTACCACTCTACTGAGTTGCCAGGCTCAGCTATTTTAGGTGCTGGGCTATAATCCTTCTCCAGAGGGCTGCCTTTTGAATCAAGGGCACCATCAGCCACTGATATGTGAGCATTTTCATTAATGATGCTAAAGAGATCAGAAGAAGAAAGTTAGTGGGAAAAAAGCACACACACACACAAACCAAAACCAAAATATGCAGACAAGTTTATGATAGATTGTCCTTTCAATGACATGCTCTAAATTTACCGAATTTTAACCTATCTGTGCCTCAGCTCCCTCATCTGTGTAATAAGGATGATATGAATTCCTACTTCACTGAGTTATATAATTGTTTTTAAACTTAAAAACATAGTATTGGATACTGTCTTAGTCGAGTTCAACCAGAAACAGATTATGAGGGTAGGATTTGGATATAAGTCATTTATTTGCAAGACAACCCCTGAAAATAAAGTTTGGAGAGTGGGGAAGTTAGGGATGGAATGTCAGCCAACGTTACGGAGCCACTGGAGCCATTCACCAGTGGGGATGATTGAAGCTTAATCTCACTGTGAAAGTGTAGGAGTCAGTGTAGAGCACACCTCTGAGTTATCCTATAGGAGGGATGTATTTATATAACCTCTTTTTGGCCATTGGTTGAGGGCTGCTACAGTGAGTGTTAATTCACCTGCATGTGCTGTCTGACTCTGTAATCACTGAAGGGGAGCGAGACTCTTGCAACTAGAGAAAAGCCACAGAGAGCAGTAGGGCTATTAATAGGATATAAGTGGACATTGTATACTGTATAATCAAAAGCAATATAGCTTTTGATTTCAATTCTATTAAACAGGCATTGTTACCAGACACAGGGAAAGGTACCGGGGATATAATGGCTGAGACATGGGCTCTGAACTCAAGTAGCTCATACTTTTGTTTTTACAAACAGAGAAGTAAGCCAACAGTGTGGTAAGCGTTCACTGTTTCAAATGCAAAAACAGGATGTAATGAAAATTCATAGGAAGAGCAATCATGAGAATTCTTGACGGAAAATATGCCTATTTAGTGTGCGGTTTGGGAAGGATGGTCCCAAGGGAGATGTCCCTTGAGCTTCTTTTCTGAGGTTTGAGGAGTAGGTAATAGCCTTGCAGAGAAGGAAGAGATGGACATCTCATGGAGGAAAAAAATATGTGTGTGTGTATGTACATACACACATACATATACGTATATAATATATAGAGAGGAAGAGTGCAAAAGGATGGAATAGTGAAATAACATGGCTTATTCTGCTATTTACATGTAACCCTGTATACTTGGAAGGAAGCATTCATTTGGGCAAGTGGTAATTGTTGAATCTAAAGATCCATGCTGGTGCCAGGAACTTATGAAGGAAGTTAAGGGATTTTGAATCTATCTTGAAAGCCCTTGGGAGTCATTAAAAGACTCTACACAGAAAGATCTTCGAGGGACATTTGGAAGATACTTTGTGGAAATGCAGCCCTGGAAGCATAGAGACCAGTTCAGAGGCTACTGTAAAAATTTTGGACAAAAAAAAAAAAAAAAAAAAAGCCCTGGTGGCAGGATGGATTTAAGTAATAGTAAACAGGTGGAATGAAAAGGAAGTAAGTGAGATGGCGCAGCCCTGGATGATTTTTAGAACTTCAGACTAGACAACTGACTTCATAGTCCCGCAGCTTATCCACATGGGGTGCTGGAGAGAGAGTTGGACGCTTTTGAGGGGAGAGGACTGGGACATGTAATAGGGCAGGATGTTGCTTATTTATCTTTCTTTAGGATCCACCATTCCTTCCCTTACTCTTCTCCTATTAATGCCTAGTTTAGTTCTCAGTCTACATAGAGAATGTTTTACTTTTCTTGCCAAACCCATATTGTTAAATCCCCAGGGCTTAGTGAGGAATTCAGAGAGGGAACTTCATGGCTGCCACTTGGGTTCATGTGACTGACAGGAAGAGCAAATGTGTTAGAATAGGGTTGGCTTATAACTATTACAGAAAAAAATATGGCTTGGTTCTGTGTTCTCAGCACTACCACGTTCTACTGGTAGGACTTTGGAATGGGTCCTTCACTACCTGGAAAGATTATTTTGAGAAATGAATGATTTATGGAGTAAGAATCCACCTGGTAAACCACTAAGGACCATGTAAATCTAAAATCAATTAATCTATAAACTAGAGAAAGAAATTAGGCCAAAACCCAGCACTATTCTGACCAAAGAAGTCAAGACCAGGCAGTGAGTTCCTTTACTTAGGAGCTGGGGACAGAATATAAATAAATGGGCCTTTGGGTTTGTGGGAAAAGGAGATAATAAAGATAAAGGCAACAATGAATGGCTTGGAATGGAAAAAGAACCATCAGAATTGATCATTACAATTAGGAGCTATTTCTTTGGGAAAAAATAAGGAAAACCCAAGAGGGAATAAGGAGAATGATATAATCAGGCTGGCAGCCCTGTGTCTTCCACTCCCCCACAAGTCTGGCTCCAGCTGCTGTCAGCCACACCACCTACATCTTCTCAGCAGCGTATCCTAGATTTGCACCCTGACAGCTACCCCTGACCCCCTACGCAAAAATTATCTTTTGATCAGTGACAGTGGCCATTTGTTTGATGCTGGGAGGTTTCCAGTGCCATGCTCATTTCGGAATGGTTGAAATGGTTCTCTTTTCGTGAGTAAACAGAGGAAGAAGATTATGACACAGGTGGTTAACTGGTTCCTAATGTACCTGTAAAACTCCTGCATAGAAAGCCCAGCAGAAGGACAGCAGTCCTGCCGATGTTGGCTGTCAGACATCTAATTAGGTGGGAGGGTGATTAGCAGGCTCTGCTGTAAGTGGGTTTATTTTAATAGATGTTTTTAGGACATCATTGGGCAGAACAGTATCTGATCAGCATGGGTTTAAAGAAATCTGAAGAGCAAAATGACAAGACTGGAATTAGAAACATGGAGACAGTTTCAAAACCTTTCCATATAGAACCAGGAGAATAAGGGGATTTCACATTGCCCTAAGAGCTTGAGATTACAACCACGGCATTGCTCTTTTGAAAGAGCTGTGGAAATAAACATCGTCAGGCAATGTTTTCCAGTTGAAAGCAACAACAATCCACTCTGGCTGTTTTCACTGAAGGGGAATTTATCTGCAGGATAACTGATGTTTACAGAATCGCCATGGGTCCCAGCGAAGGAATGGCCAGTGGCCAAGGCTGCACCAGAGGACTGAAAAATAGGAACCTTAACAAGTCAGGATGCTGTTTAGCAAATGCCTAGACACCGAATGTTTGTTCCATTCTTATGTTTCTCAAAGTTCAAAGTCCTGAGCTCACGTGTACCATTGACTAAGCGTTGGTTACAGTCTCACTCTGTGGCTCTGCATAGTGGAAGGACAAGGATTTTGGCCCCTTTAGTTCTGGCCCCTATTCATGACATTTTTTTTTTTAGTGATAGAGAGGTTAATTTCCTGAAAGGAAATTTGAGTGTTGGGAAGGAATAATGGCTTTTGAGTCACATACACAAGCACACATACATGTACACACACAGATACCCAGAGGTGAATTTCCAGTGTGGAAATGGTATGGAGGTGTTGGAAAAACCCAACCACAAAAGCTGATGTTTTTATGATGGGATTGTAAAATATTAAGATGTCAGGCCAAGGAGAAGTGAATAGAAAAGGTATATCTTTTTTTTAATGTAGGACACACATTAAGGATAAGCTGAAAGATAGAGGATCCTAAAAGGCAACAGCAAATTGATCATGGACAATAAATTCTAAAAACCTTTGTCATTTCTGGACCAATGCACATAAACAGTTTTGGGGGCCAGGTATGGTGGCTTATGCCTGTAATCACAGCACTTTGGGAGGTTGAGGCAGGAGGATTGCTTGAGTCTAGAGAACTGTGATGACACCACTGCACTCCAGCCTGGGCAACAGAGCAAGACCCTGCCTTTAAAAAACAAACAAAACAGGCCAGGCGAGGTGGCTCATGCCTGTAATCCCAGCACTTTGGGAGGCCGAGGTGGGCGGATCACGAGGTCAGGAGATCAAGACCACAGTGAAACCCCGTCTCTACTAAAAAAATACAAAAAAATTAGCCGGGCGCGGTGGCAGGCGCCTGTAGTCCCAGCTACTCGGGAGGCTGAGGCAGGAGAATGGCGTGAACCCGGGAGGTGGAGCTTGCAGTGAGCCGAGATTGCACCACTGCACTCCAGCCTGGGAGACAGAGCAAGACTCCATCTCAAAAAAAAAAAAAAAAAAACAGTATTTGGTGCATAGATTATGGAAATGGAGTGAGTAATGTGTCAGAACATCTGAACCTGTGACCTTGAGTCATTTCATCTCTCCCTGTGAACTCTAACACTGAGCTTCAGTTATATAAAGTGTTAATATTTGTAATATGTTATGGGTTGGTGCTTTAGTTGGGGAAAGTTTCCAGGGAGAGTGGATCTAGTGTGTCAAAGTTCATTTTAATCTGTTTTGTAAAACAATGTAAAAAACATATAACCTAAAATTAACCATCTTAATTCCATCTTATCCATTTCTAACTGTACAATTCACTAGTGTTACATATATTCACATTGTTTTGAAGCAGATCTTAAAAAAATTTTCATCTTGTAAATTTCAAACTCTGTATCCATTAAGTAACTGTCTTTTCTCCCCTACCCCTAATCCCTAGGAGCCACTATTCTACTTTTCATTTCTTTTTTTTTTTTTTTTTTTGAGACAAAGTCTCACTCTGTCACCCAGGCTGGAGTGCAGTGGCGCAATCTTGGCTCACTGCAACCCCTGTCTCCTGGGTTCAAGCAATTCTCGTGCCTCAGCCTCCTGAGTAGCTAGGATCACAGGCATCTGCCACCACACTGAGCTACTTTCTATATTTTTAGTAGAGATGAGGTTTCACCATGTTGGTCAGGCTGGTCTCAAACTCCTGACTTCAGGTGATCCACCCGCCTTGGCCTCCCAAAGTGCTAGGAATACAGGCATGAGCCACTGCACCCGGCCTCTACTTTTCATTTCTATGAATTTGACTACTTTAGATACCTCATGTAAGTAGAATCATACAGTGTTTGTGTTTGTGTAACTGGCTTATTTCACTTAGCATAATGTCGCCAAGTTCCATCTATGTTCTAACATGTTTCAGAATTTTCTTCCTTTGTAAGGCTAAATATTATATGTATGTAGGCATATATATATATACACACACACACATATATATATGTTTGTGTACACATATATGTATATGTATGATAACATTTTGTCCATTCATCAGTGAGTAGTTGAGTTGCTATTGTTGGCTATTGTTGGCTATTGTTGCTATAAACGTGGGCATGCAAATATCCCTTTGAGACTCTGTTTGGACATACACCTAAGAGTGGGATTACTGGATCAAATGGCAATTCTATTTTTAATTTTTTAAGGAACCTCCATACCATTTTCCATAGTGGTTGTACCGTTTTGTAGTCTCACCAACATTATGCAAGTGTTCCAGTTTCTCCACATCCTCTCCAATTTATTTTATTATTAGTAGTAGTATTTTTGAGACAGAGTCTTACTGTGTCTCCCAGGCTGGAGTGCGGTAGCACAATCTTAGCTCACTGCAACCTCTTCCTCCTGGGTTCAAGCGATTCACCTGCCTCAGCCTCCCAAGTAGCTAGGACTGCAGGTGCACGCCACCATGCCCGGCTAATTTTTGTATGTTTAGTAGAGACCAGGTTTTACCATGTTTGTCAGGCTGGTCTTGAACTCCTGACCTCAGGTGATCTGCCCACCTAAGCCTCCCAAAGTGCTGGGATTACAGGCATGAGTCACCACACCTGGTCATCTCCAATTTATTTTTACCTTTTAAACAAAACCTAAAAATCACAGGTCATGCATAGAATTAATGAGGGTCTAAGGTAAGTGAGGACCTCTAGCACAGCTGTTTCATATCATTTCCTAGGAATTCCAGATGTTTCAAAACCCCTGCTACAAAGGGAAGGGACAGAGAAAGCACAAAACGGACTTGAGGAAGGTGAGCAGGAAATCATCTAACTGTGAGGTCTTAGCACTCATCTGACAGATGAAGTAGGGTGAGTACAGTATGAAAGCTTGACTAGGCCAAATTTACCTGGTTTTCTTCATCAGGAATTCTCCCAGTTGACATCTGGTTTATATCAATCATGAAAAAAGCTAATATGTTGGGGTACTTACAAAAAAATACTCATGTAATCCTCTCAAATGCCAAATAATGTGTTTACTCTCATTATCCCCATTCCGTCAGTTGAGAAAGCCAAGGCTTGTGACAAAACTGTTTACTCAAGATTACACTGTTTCTGAACTAGCCAGAACTCCTGGCTTTCTTCTAGAATTTAGGATCCTTGGCAATGTCAGCAATGTGATAAAATAACAAGTCTTTTTTTTATTTTACCAGCTTAGAAAGCCTGTTTTTCTGGTACTACATGTACCTAAAACTAAGTATAACCTTGTTTGAAACTCATGAGCAACTGCTTTTCTTAGTGGAAACTGTCAGATTGATGGCTTCCTCAGTTCCTCATCTTCCTTCATTGGCTATGCGAGTTTATTCCACACAGCACTTATAACTCTACCATGGAGGTCTCCAGCATTTCTGCTGTCAGCCTTGGGGTTTATTTTTGTATATCTACTTCTTTTAGGACCTGCCTGAGATCACCAGATCTCATTTAATAAAGATGGTCTGTTTAGCCCTTATAATTCCTTTAGACTGCTGTCAACATGGATTGGAACTAATGTCTTTAAAAAAAGAAAAAAAAGTTTTCTACCCAGAACATGTAACAGCAACCTTTTCCCCTTATCTGCACCACAGAGGCCTTTCTATTCTCCCTACACACACACACACACACACACACACACACACACACACGCACACGTGCGCGCGCGCACACACACACACACATGCACACATGCCCCACTAACTTCCTACATGCTGACGGATTTTCCCAATTTGCTGTTCATTAAGTTACATCAACTGTGGAAATAAAATATGTCACATGATCAAATGTTATTAGATAAAAACGAATTTGCCACCTGCTGCTTCCACCCACCCCTCTGGGAGAGAAAAGGAATTGAATTTGCTGAAAAATTCTCCTAATTTGTATTTTTTTTCTTTTAAGAAGCTCCATATGTCAGGGAGAGAGCCACAGCTGTAGTAAGTAGTTGAAAGTCCATCTCTGTTATTAATGAAAAACTTCTGTGCAAATAAAAAGCTTCCATTTTATAAGATAAACTTCCTGTTTACTTGCAAACTCATGTTTTAATATCAGAACTGATGATGTATTCAACCTCATGCTGCTGGCCCGAAGAGCTGGAGGGATAATTATCCATTTTTGAAGGCTATGAAGTATTGAATAAAAATGTTTAGTTTGTCATTTGAGCTGAACTCCACTCTTTCTCCTATTTTTTTCCACTTGCATTTTTTTCCTGTGAATCTTCTACAAAAGAAAAAAGAAATTACCTTTCCTCATGCACTGAAATGATCTGCAGTAACCTTCTAATAATTTTTGCATGCAACATGTGGCAACATCATGTTTTAATTTGAAAGCTGTTTAGAGATGTTTATAATTTTCGGTGTGTAAAATTATACCGCATTGATTTATTTCATCATTAACTTATTTATTTCATAATTATTGCATGTAATATATGCCAGGCATTGTGCTAGGTGCAGATAATACATGAATTATGAGAAGTACATAGCCCCTGCCCTCAGAGAGCTTATAGGCTAATAAGGAAAAAAGAATAAAAAATAAATATAGTTAAATGTATGTGTTGTTATAAAATCTGAGCTAAACTAAATGTTTTAGATCAAAACAAATGTTTCTCATTCCTTTTGTTGGCTTCATCCATTATTATTTTTGAAGGTATTTATTGAAGGTGACCAAAAGCCCTATGCTTGGGTGATGATAGGGGAATGGCAATTGATAAAAGTTTTCAAGGCTGGCCACGGTGGCTCACGCCTGTATTCCCAGCACTTTGGGAGGCTGAGGCGGGTGGATCACCTGAGGTCAGGAGTTCGAGACCAGCCTGGCCAACATGGTGAAACCCTGTCTCTACTAAAAAAAAAAAATACAAAAAACTAGCTGGGCGTGGTGGCGGGCACATGTAACCCCAGCTACTCGGGAGGCTGAGGCAGGAGAATAGCTTGAACCTGGGAGGCGGAGGTGGCAGTGACTTGAGATCATGCCATTGCACTCCAGTCTGGGCAAAAAAAGCAAAACTCTATCTCAAAAAAAAAAAAAAAAGGGCTTTCCAAATGCCTCTTTTTTTTCTGTGATTTTATTGAGTGAGTTTTAGACACTATAAAAAATACAGTTAAAATTTTTCATTTGAAATGTGCAGTTCTTAGATAACCTATTTTGGTAAATGGAGTTTAATTTATCTGGAGACATGTAGAAGTTAGAGGGCTGGAGACTTGACTTCTTTATTTGGCCAGTAATACTACACACTATGAACTCTGGCAGGGTTGAACTATCCTCATTTATATTTACATCTTGCCTAAAGAAGACTTCATGAAAAATTGTGAAATAAGTAGAATGAATGTATAAATGAATGAATAAATGGGTGGATAAATCATGGGTCTTGATAAAGTCCCAACATATATGTATGTACAACTTTGTTATTCAAATTTAAAGCTTTGAACTGTGAAAAAAGTTTGGTAAGTGCCTACCCAGAAGAGTGAAATGTGCTAGGTGTTCTGTGGAGCATAAAAATTACACAGTCGCTGAGCTTTCCAGTTAATATGCTGTGATGGAAGGCATTGTCCAGAGACTATTTGAAGTAGGTAAATAACCACATCTGTTTAAACTAAGTCAAACTCCAGGTGACTTAGAATAAAAGGTTGTTTACGAATAAGACAAGTGGATTGCAGTTGCAATCCTATTTGAACCGTTGTTTAACTCTAGGGTCACCAAAGAGTGTTGGTGACTTGTTGACACGTGTTCCCATTTGATTTGGCTTCAAGGGAAATCTCGGTCCATTTCATTCAATTTCACATCTGCAGATCAGCCTAGTAGCAAACTCATGTAGGTTATAAAATGCCAGGAACCTTTGCTCTGAGACATGGAGAAGGCTTTGTGTGAAGCATATTTAGGGTCACGTGCAAATGTAGTCTGGCATAGAATGTTACATTTGGAGTGAATTGGTCAGAATTAAGGCAATTTTGATGCTTACCCAATTGAGAACGCTGTGGTAGAAGAAGGAATGGTTTACCTCCTGCTCCCCAGCCCTGGACCCTCACACGAAATGAAAGAACAGTACATTTCTTAAGTGATTTAGGCATGGGAGTAGATTGTCAAAACTACAGCCTGTTAATTCTCCTGTATGTCTTTATCAAACTAAAAATGGATTGGTTTAGTTGAAGCCCTAAATTAAGACAAAAATCTTCTTTGATGCTGATTCCTTTTGGTCTTTTTTAATCTTTATTCTGTGTAATTGTCAAAGAGGATCATTATACTCAGTTTAAAGAAGATCCCTGGCAGGGTGCCGTGGTTCATGCCTGTAATCTCAGTGACTTGGAAGGCCAAAGTGGGAGGATCACTTGAGCCCAGGAATTCGAGGTTATAGTGAGCTATGGTGATGCCACTGCACTTCAGCCAGGGCAACAGAGCAAGGTCTTTTCTCAAAAAAAAAAAAAGAATTCCCATTGAAACTTCTGATTACTTTGTTGTCTTGACATAGGTCAAGAGAACAGGAAACTCAAATCTGTCCATTCATTCATATATTTGATACCTACTCAATACTCACTGTACAAGGGGTATTTTCATTGATTCTGATCACTCTATCAACTTTTTGCTAACTTGTTGTTCATCTAAAAATACTTTTTCTTCAGATTTCTAAGGGGCCACCGGTTATTAGCACAATTTACAGGTGCACTATAAAAACAGCTTCCTATCCCCTCCAGACCAATCATCAGCTTGATTAATTTCATCAAGTACTCCAGTGTGACAGTTCATCCTAATTAATAATATTCTGTTTCTTAGCACTCTTAGGACCTAGATATTTTTGTTATGTAAAGTAATACGGGAACCATGTTGCTTTACTGTTCCTGAAGGCCTGGGGGTTACTCAAGTAGGGGATAAATTCAGAAGATATGTTCCACTAAGAGTGAGTCAGAGAAGAAAATGTATCATAAATACTACTAGAGGAATTATCCTTGAATCAGGAACACATGTTGTTTGCTGCTCTTTTTGCTGGAGCTGTCATGGTTACTATAAAGTAGAATCGATGCTCTGAACTCTGCTTCATAGGATTATTTATTCAATTCCTATTGAGATGTGGTCTCAAGCTTTTACTTTTAGCATGATTTCCCAGTTAAAAAAAAAAAAATGTATGTATATAAATGTAAAACCACAAATGGTGCCAGTAACTGACATTCCACTTTGGTTCATAGAGGTACAAACAGGGCCAATGTTAGGGCTCTCTACATCGTAAGCCACGAGTGGATTTGTTAATTTCAAAACTTCTGGTAACTTAAGAATTGAGACGAGTCCCTTGTGTTTCTATTCAGCATTCTCCCCTAGTAGCCCACTGATTTATTTGACCAGTTTCTGTTCCTTTGTCTTCCTAAGATGTCATTTAGAAAAGTTTTCCCATCACTAATGCCTCTCAGGGCTGATTTTACATACTCATCGCTAGCGATCACATTTTAATTATATAGACCTTTGTTTTTTTTTCTCCTTTTTAATAAGGCTCCACTGAGGAAATTTTCCCCTTTCTAGGTATAATCAGGTTGTCAGATCAATTAAGGTAATTGATGGCAGTCTTATCACATTCCTTAATCAAGAGTGTAGCCATTTTATTAGAGGAAAACAATCCCTAGATTATTTAGAGATAGAAAAAAAGGTTCAATCTTTGTAAATGGTGAGTGGGGAGAGGGAGAGAAAGACAACCTGAAATGTCAGAGTTCCCAGTGAGAAAGGGAAATGGGAGGGAAATAGCCAAGGGTTTTCAGTCAACAAGGAAGAATAGTGCATAAAATTAATTGTGCATCAGAATCACTTTGAGTGATTATTTAAAATGCAGACTTCTGCTTGCCATCCCGGTAACTTTACTATGTTTGTGGTAGAACCCAGAAGTCTGTATTTTTACAAAAACCCCAGATAATTTACCCTTAGGTTGTTCCATTGCCTGCTGCACTTTGAGAAATAGTAGTGTAATTGAGAAATAGTAGTGTAAAGTCATCAGAAGAGCAGGGTGTCCTAATATCAAGCTAGGTCTAGGGAAGTGCTTTTTTTTTTTTTTTTTTTTTTTATTTGAGACGTAGTCTCACTCTGTCACCCAGGCTGGAGTACAGTGGCGCGATCTCGGCTCACTGCAAGCTCCGCCTCCCGGGTTCACGCTATTCTGCTGCCTCAGCCTCCCGAGTAGCTGGGACTACCGCCCGACCAATTTATTTGTACTTTTAGTAGAGACAGGGTTTTACCGTGTTAGCAAGGATGGTCTTGATCTCCTGACCTGGTGATCTGCCTGCCTTGGCCTCCCAAAGTGCTGGGATTACAGGTGTGAGCCACTGTGCCCGGCTAATTTTTTTGTATGTTTAGTAGAGACGGGGTTTCACCTGTGTCAGCCAGGTTGCTCTTGATCTCCTGACCTTGTGATCTGCCCACCTCGGCCTCCCAAAGTGCTGGGATTACAGGCATGAGCCACCGTGCCTGGCCGGGAAGTGCTTTTTATACCTTAATAGACACACAAATTACCTGGGGCTCTCTTTTGTTATGGATGGTGTATGGTGTGAGAGTCTATACTTCTAATGAGCTCCCAGGTGACGCCATTGTTGCTGGTCAGTGGAGCACATTTGGGGTGGTAAGGCCCTACAATTGCTGTCTGTTTTTCTTGGTTCCTTGGTGCTGTGCTGAAAAGAGAGTTGGCAGGGGCATTGGCTAGGTTGTATGTCCATTACGGCACTAAGTGTCTTGAGGCAAGGAGATTGAGCTTTCTGCCAAGCTTTTGGCTGCCTGGGGAACCAGAGAAGAGGATGCTTAACCTAGTATCTCAAAAAGTAACAACTTGCCTTTCCCCGTATTTCTGTGAACCTGTAGAAAATTGTTTCTAATTTCTGAATACTTTTGAGTAAAGACAAGTATTCTTTCTACAAAAAATTTTACCTCCTATTGAAAAAAAGCGTTTATTGGAATGACCTTGATGTTTTTCACATCTTTATTCCCAGTAGTTTTTTGTGTCACATAAACCTTTCTAAAACCGCACCTTGTGATTTTAAATACTTTCAAATTTTACAGATGCTTTCACATCTGTGGTTAATTAGTTTATCCAGCGTAAACTCCGTTCCATTCCTGCAGTGGCTGGCACAATGTTTGGAGCAAGGTCTAGGACATAGATTCTCCTACTCTTACCAGCTTACAATCTGAGGATATAAGATACCATTTCATGCTTTGCACTGTTGGTTATATTTATCTTTTGACATGCAAATAGGATATTCATTCCAGTTGGAGAGTAGGTTATTTCCATTTGAGATGGTTATCGAAGTGACACTTAAATTGGTCACGGAATAGAAACCTGTGAAGCCAACAAGGCACGTTATTACTACCCTCATTTTATGTAATGTAACCAAGGCTAATTGATTTCCCACTAGTAAAACCAGGATAGAAAACTTTCATTCAAGAAATATTTATTGGTCATCTATGGTTTCCAGGTACTTAGCTAAATACTGACCCTACTTTTATGGTAAATAGGGCCGTCTTGGTTCTTTTGCTTATTTTGATGATAGTCTTGATATTTTCTTCTTTTCCAGTGCTGTTTCTATCATGAAAAAAATGTTAAAGGCACGAACCTCCTTAATGTACAGGCACCAGCACCAAATACCTTCCAATTGTTGAGCAGCCTCAGTCAGTTTGATCTTATAAGGAGACTATGAAGTTAGAAGGCCTGAGACTTAACTTCTGTATTGGGCCAATAGTATTTTACTTTTTTTTCTTTTCCATTTATTCTATAAACTATTACCTCAAATCAGCTTCTGAAGAATGGAAGAATAGTTTGTGTTCCATATTTTTCTATAAAAACCCAAAGAACGTTCTCAGATTCTATTTCACTTATCCGTATGACACCATGGATTGCAGAGAGGAGCCAGTACTGTCGCCATTTATAGTTGGCAAGACTAAGGCCCAAGGAGTTGGGAATTTGGAATTTGCTTCATGTTACATAATAAGTCAATGATAGAGGGAAGAGTAACCTGTTCAGGTGAGCATGCAGTTTGCAGCTTTGTCTACGTAGTCACTCCATCTTCAGTTAGAGTGTATCTGTATGCAACAGAAAGAATACAGAATACTGTGTATATCAATAAGTTGCCCACAGGTTAGAAAACAATGTATTTGTAATGAAAAAATAATAGTCATGTAAACATTACAGAATGTAGCTTAAGAAAGCAAATTTCCAAAGTCTTCAATACTAGATCCTTTTAAGAGTGATTCTGTAACTGTCAGTGCAGGAGTATGTTTTAAGCTAATTATTTGTCTTACTGCTAATAATTACCACTTATTGAAAGGCTATTTTCTAAGCACTTTATATATGCTTTTTTATTAGGAGGTTATATTTATTTATTTATTTTTGAGATGGAGTCTTGCTCCATCGTGTAGGCTGGAGTAGAGTGGCGTGATCTCCGCTCACTGCAACCTCTGCCTCCTGGGTTCAAGTGATTCTCCTGCCTCAGCCTCCTGAGGTTATATTTGAACTTATAGTCTCTATACCAAAGTAATAACATTTTTCATTTTCTGATAACTCTCTAATCCATCTAAAATTACTGAATGTCAGGCATGATTTTGCCATCTTGATTTCTATTTTTTAACCCAAAATACTGTAAAGATGTGAATTATTGCTAAGTTCAAATAGTGATATTGTTTCAAAATAATATTCATTAACATATTTTAAATGTCATTTTCATTTTAATGTATCAACAGTTGCTTAGTTTTAACAATTTGTTGAATGTTATTACATGTATTGAAAAAGCACAATTATGGCCAGTTGTTAAACAATATATTAATATTAATTAGTGATAATACATTAATACTGTCTCATGTGACTGATGTGTGCTTTCACTGGTACTCTGTTGGTGTTTATGAATCTGTTGGTAAGACTTGTTGTAATTGATATTTCTACTCTGTTTCAGAAGCCATCAACTCTCATTTATGAAGACCATTATATTTTCAAGGTCACAGTCTCTAGGTCCCTGGTCTTCTTTTTCTAAACATTCTCTGCTTAGTGCCTGGCATAGTCCTGGGCACATGATAGCTTAATAAATAACTGCTGGTTGCTGAAGACAACTACTCTAGCCTTTCCTTTGCTCAGTTATTTGTATCGTCTAATACATTTGAACTTCCATGTTACACTTTCACAGTAGAAACTTCCACTTAAATCTGTCTGAGCTTTATGGCATTATAGGGTCTGGATTCTAGAAAGAGAATGGATCTGCTGCATAGCTTTTCTGTATGTGTGAATGTTGGTACATTTAGTTTACTTCTAATGAATGATACCTGCAGAGTAGGTATTCAGGATCTTTAATAACATCCATCCTTCTTCCTTCTTTCCTGACCAGCCTGGTAAGGTTGAGTTGCAATGAGCTGAACAGATCGATAGTAATCACAGGGTACTTGGAAAAGACAGCCTCCTCTATAATCTTGGGACAGCTTAGTTAGTGTTGTCACTCAACCCAAGATAACAGAGAGTGTGTGTGTGTGTGATGTTTGATTCTAAGAATTACTAAGAATTACTAATTTCTGGAAGAAATCCAGGAAAATAATGTAGAAAATAATCCACCATGGTGTATTAGTCCATTTTTATGTTGCTGATAAACACATACTTGAGACTGGGTAATCAATACAGAGAAAGAGGGTTTTGGGTTTTGTTGTTGTTGTTGTTGTTGTTTTGAAACAGAGTCTCACTCTTGTCACCCAGGCTGTAGTGCAGTGGTGTGATCTTGGCTCACAGCAGCCTCCACCTCCTGGGTTCAAGTGCTTCTCCTGCCTCAGCCTCCTGAGTAGCTGGGATTACAGGTGCCTGCTACCATGCCAGGCTAATTTTTGTACTTTTAGTAGAAATGGGGTTTCACCATGTTGGCCAGGCTGGTCTGGAACTCCTGACCTCAGGTGATCCGCTCACCTTGGCCTCCCAAAGTGCTGGGATTACAGGAGTGAGCCACTGCACCTGGCCAAGAAAGAGGTTTAATGGACTCACAGTTGCACATGGCTAGAGGGGCCTCACAATCATGGGGGAAGGTGAAAGGCACGTCTTATGTGGTGACAGGCAAAAAGGGAATGAGAGCCAAGCAAAAGGCATTTCCCCTTATAAAGCCATCAGTTCTCGTGAGACTTATTCACTACCATGAGAGCAGTATGGGGGAAACCATTCCCGTGATTTAATTATCTTCCACCTGGTCCCTCCCATAAGACATGGGAATTATAGGAGCTACAATTCAAGATGAGATTTGGGGGGGGACACAGCCAAACAATATCACATGGCTACCATTACCTTTTCTTACACTATATTAGAAGATACGCATGTAAATCATACATTGAGCATCCTTGCTTCCCCTATTCTGAGGCTGCCTGTTCCTTCACTGTCCTCCAGATAGCCCTGTTAGTTGTTCACGTTTCCTGCAACAATGAAAGAAGAGTTCTTGTAAGACCTGCCAAATCTCTTTCCTTTGCTGCTGACCTCATGGGCAAAAATCATTTTTAGATGTTTGGCCATGAATTCTTTTCTTCAGACTAAATTATGAAGCATTCAATAATTGAGATCCAAAAAGGAGAGAAACCAGAACATCCAGTTCTATTTGATCTGAGGCTGACTAGAGGAAATTGAAAACTAATTTTTTCTTTCCCCTTTCTTCAAGTTCCCCCCCCCCAATTTTCTCCTTAAAAACTTTATTATATTTCTAAAAAAAATCATACATACAGTTGAAAATTAGAAAATACAGAGAAGCAAGAAGAAAAAATTATATGATTATTGTAGCACTTAGCCTCTATTTATCTGTCTAAATTGGCTATTTACAATATCCTTCTTGTTTTGTAAAGCCTTCCACAGAAATTCTAAACAACATAGATTTTCTACTATCCAAAATCACACACTGTCTTCAGTATAACAAGGGATCCATGATTTTATCAGTCTTTATCCTTGATGATTACATGTTAATTTCTAATTGCTCAGGTGCTTTTGTATCCCAGTGAAACTCAAGCTTCAGTAAAAGTTTAGGCCCTGCCCTGACTTCTTTCCTAGTAATAGATGTTCACATACTTATACCATTGAATTGATTTTACTCAAAATCCAGTAAGACAGTGTTTTATTTTGTTTTTTCATTGCCACTATGAGATAGATCACTTTTTAGTATGAAAAAAAATTCTAACTATTGGATAAACATTCAAGTCTTCTTTTAAAAACTTCTCAATTATGATTTTTTTTGGGCAGGGTGGCAGTTTTCCTAATTGACAACCGCTGGTGATATTCAGCATTGAAAGTGTTCACGCAGCAGACAAGTGGAGGAGAATT
Organism: Homo sapiens; assembly: GCF_000001405.40. Taxonomy (NCBI): domain Eukaryota; kingdom Metazoa; phylum Chordata; class Mammalia; order Primates; family Hominidae; genus Homo; species Homo sapiens. Next base: position 106,884,644 of record NC_000010.11, on the reverse strand, counting down.
TAATTTGTCTGGTATGGGCTTTAACTGACAAATGTTAGAAATTGACCTTTTCAATGGAAATTTACTTGGAAGTCCTAAGTGAAGCTCTGCTTTAAGCTAAATTTGTCACCAAGACATGATTAAATTCTCTTAAATGTAGATCAATTGCACATATTATTAATGGGAATTGAAATCTCCCTAAATGGTGTCCATAAATTTAAAAGAAAAAAAAAATAGAATGTGAAGGTTAAGGTGCCTCATTTGCTGAGTGGGAAAGCTTTCCCAGAATATAAGACAAAAGACAATCTTTGATGCTTCCAGAGAAAGGTGGTTATAGCTTAGATAATCTTACGTTATCTCAGCACTCTATTTGAGAGGAAGTTGTTTTTTCCACAATAGGCTGTGGCTAGACTATTCAAAATCTTGTAAAAAGGAATTTAATGCTTAAATTTTCATATCAGTGGAATCCAAGAGCCTTAGTTCTCACAGAACATTGCGGGAGTGCCATGAATATAGTTACAATGAGAGAAAGAAAGAAGGAGAGAGGAAAAGAGGAAATAAGAGAAGACAGAGTAAGTTTTTACAGCTTTCCCAGATGCTAAGTAGTTTACAGAATTAGGGAGAGGAAGCAAGGTTGTAGATATATATTAAGGCTTGAGAAATGACTTATGTTCTCAGCAAAAAAAATAACAATCTATTGGCTCAGAACTCTAGCTATGGGTGTATTATGAATTTTGAGCAAGACTGTACCGGACTGCAGATGCCAACATATAAAAATAGTGAACAAGCCAGGTTCTTCCTGCTGTGACACTGTATGAAAGGTCAACTTACCTGTGCAAGATCAGAAACATCATCGTTTTCTTTTCCCTGGTGAGTCAGAGAAGCTTAAGTCAAAGAAATGAGTAGAGCTGGCAATAGATATACAACCAAGACCATTGGTTAATAGATTTGAAGGCCGGGCGTGGTGGCTCACGCCTGTAATCCTACCACTCTGGGAGGCTGAGGCGGGTGGATCACGAGGTCAGGAGATCGAGACCATCCTGGCTAACATGGTGAAACCCCGTCTCTACTAAAAATACAACAATAAAATTAGCCAGGTGGCAGGCACCTGTAGTCTCAGCTATGCGGGAGGCTGAGGCGGGAGAATAGCGTGAACTCAGGAGGCGGAGCTTGCAGTGAGCCGAGATCGTGCCACTGCACTCCAGCCTGGGTGATAGAGCAAGACTCCGTCTCAAAAAAAAAAAAAAATACATTTGCTAATTATATTTTTAAATGATGTTGCACTTTAGCTCCTATGGCCCCCATTCAGTCTTTGAGCATGGCGTAGAATCTGCAAGATCGAAGGGTAAAAGAAAAAATCTATGAAGATTTTATTAACATTCCTGACAACATATGCTAAACTTATAAACCTCACCCGTCATTCAGAAGCACTTTGAAGGCCTATAACATGCTTATGTTGGTCATACGTGTATCTCAGGTCGGCTACAAGTGGGTCTTCTAAAATCAAATCAAATTGAAAACCATCTGACTCTGAAATGCCAGTGGCTTTCTACAAATGGTGAGGAAAACATACTGGATGGATATCTCCAAAGATGCTGGGACACCTTCTGTAGAACCTCTTCTAGGTCTTTCAACAATCATTTCTGCAATCATACGGCTTTTGTAGTCGAAATGTTATATAATGTGTATGTGGGGATGGTCATTCAGTGTGATCAGAATGGAACCTGATTCTATGAAAGTTTTGCTGGGGTTTTGTGTTTGTTTTTGAAATGGAGTCATTCAGTGTTCCACCTCAACAATCATCAGGAGGTTGTCAAGTGCAGAGCCCCAAATCCAAGCCTGTGCTGCGTCTCCATCCAATGTAATTCATGGTTAATCTCATTCTTATTAAAATTCTCTAGTGAATCCCTTTGTAAGGAAAACCACTGTTTTGGTTTTGTTTTTGTGTTTTTGTCCCCGCCTCCACACAAATAGATTGTGTGTGTATGTGTGTGTGTGAGTGTGAGTGTGCGTGTGTAATCTCAGGTTAAAAAGCTAAAAAGTCAGCAACTAGGAATTTTAGCCTAAAGTATCTAGACTAGGGTCAACAACAGCCAAATTCTGCCTACCACCTGATTATAAATAAAGTTTTATTGGAACACAGCTGCACCTATCTGTTTACATATTGTCCATGCTCTAATGGGAGAGTTGAAAAATTGCAAATGAGACTCTATGACCCACAAAGCCAAGAATATGTAGTGCCCGAACCTTTACAGAAAAAAGTTTGCCAAATGTTGACCTAGACCAAGCTTGCCCAACTCACAGTCCAGAATGGCTTTGAATGCATCCCAACACAAATCTATAAACTTTCTTAAAACATTATGAGACTTTTTTGGTGATTTTTTTTTTTTAAGCTCATCAGCTATCATTAATGTTAGTGTATTTTATGTGTGGCCCAAGACAATTCTTCTTCGTCCAATATGGCCTAGGGAAGTCAAAAGATTGGATACCTCTGGTAGACCATATTCCCAATAGTATGCTCAGATTCACAGCATAATGGTGGAACCAGGGGAATTGCAGTTCATTCTCCAGGTATCTTGGGTGAAGCTGGGAATGACAAATAATAACTCAGAAGCAACTGTACTAAATCCAGACACAGAGAACTTAGGTATTTATTGCCTCCGTGGAGCATCTGAAAGAGGTAGTAACTTAGATTTCACTTTAGCCAAGCTTGCCCTCAGAGATCCTAGGGAGCAACCAACCAACTTCTATTCATTTCTGTGCCCACAGTATTTTGCAGGGCCTATGGCATACAATAGAATGTTCAGTACATGTTGGTTGAATGAATACAAGCATATCAAAGGGGGATTGTTACCATAATTATTACCAATTCACAGGGGATAAATAGGATATCGGGTAAGAAATCTATTCTAAAAATGGTGGCTTAGTAAGGTGGCAACAAATTTGAATCTTCTTAGCTCTTGCTGTTAAGCCCGTTGGTCTCTAGTGACATTAGCTGTCTCATTTTAATTTCTTCTCTACTTCATGAGTACATGTTGTAGATAGATAATAGGTTCCAGTTTTATTAGGTGGGATTTGAAGAAGGCATTTCTGGTATAAATGATGTTACTGGAACAAATGACTAAGAGATGTTAATGAATTTCCTTTTCTGGCCTTTAAAAAATAATGGGATGCAAGCTTTTTTCTCTGAAAAGGTTAAAGACCAGGAGTGGGATTAGTCAATTTGGAATATATTTGTCACCTTTGGAGCTTTTGTTTCTAACAGAGAGCAGACAAAAGAATAGGTATTTATTAAATAGCTACAGTTTGCCAAAATGACGATAGTTATTTTAATCTTCAACACTTACTTAAGGATTAGGCACTGCTGTTCCTATTTTGCAGAGGAAGACACTAAAACTTAAAAAGATGGAGAAAATTCCTGTAGTGACTTTGTGAGTGAATCAGTAAGGATGTTAATGAAGGTCTAGCTGTCCCTAAAGCCCAAAGTCATTTTACTGGACCGCATAACCTCTCTGTTCTAAAGTCATTGCTCTTTGTCATGTCCTTTGAGGAGATTTATTCTGCTTCTTTTTTTTTTTTTTTTTTTTTTGAGACAGAGTCTTGCTCTGTTGCCCAGGCTGGAGTGTAGTGACGTGATCTCAGCTCACTGAAAGCTCCACCTCCTGGGTTCACGCCATTCTCCCAAGTAGCTGGGACTACAGGCGCCTGCCACCACACCCAGCTAATTTTTTTTGTATTTTTAGTAGAGATGGGGTTTCACCATGTTAGCCAGGATGGTCTCCATCTCCTGACCTTGTGATCCGCCCGCCTCGGCCTCCCAAAGTGCTGGGATTACAGGCGTGAGCCACCGTGCCCGGCTTATTCTGCTTTCGAAATGGCCTACTGCTTGTTTCTTAGGGTAGTAGCTGAGTTTGCACAAAGAGTTATACTGATACTCTTCTTCCATTTCTCTTCTACTTCATTGTTTGTTAGGTTATTTTTAGCCTATTTGTTTATCCTCTGGAGTTTCAAACACTCTTCATATAATTCCCTTACCTAAACCTTTTCTCAAAGTAGATTGTACTAATTCTAGGAAGCTTATTAGACTATAGATTTCTGAGCACTTCCAAGACCTGTTGGTTTAGAAGCTTTGGGAAAGAAACCCATGAATCTGAATCTTTAACAGACTGTATCCTTCTCCCCACTTCATAAATGCCAGACAGACTCTCCTTTAGAAAATTGGCCCTTTAATGCCCTTCAGTGACATATTTAGGAACTCTTCAACTGAAAAATTTTGTTTTCCTAAATATGTTCATAGGTATTTTTTCTTTTAACACAAAAAAGATGATTTTATAGTTTTTTAGCACCAAAGCTAGTCTTTATTTCATAGTATCTTTAAATGTAATAAGACTGAAGTGCAACAATTCTTTTTGTACCTTTGACTATCAGGAAGGACAGAGCATGCTTATTCAACAAGTCAAATGGAACTCTCATACCTAAAGACTTCATTTGGAACTATTATTGAAGCCTGATCAATACCTGTCCCAGGTTCCAAATAATGATACTGTGAACACTTTGCGTTCCAGGCACCTTAGCCACCAACCACCTTGTGCTGTCGTTATTAGCTTTAGCAGAACTAATATCTCACATGAAACTACATTAGCTTTCTATTGCTTCCTAACAAATTACCATAAATTTAGCATCTTAAAAGTGTATCCATATATTACCTCACACAATTCTGTAGATCAGAAGTCCAGATGAGCTCAGCTTGCTCACTGCTTAGGGTTTCACAAGGCTGATGTTAAGGTATCAGCTGGCTGGACTCCCATCTGGGGGCTCTGGGGAGGCATTCTCTTCTGTGCTGATTCAGGTTATTGGCACATCCAGGTCCTAAGGCTGTAGGTCTGAGTTCACTGTGCCTTTGCTGGCTGACAGCTAAGGCTTGTTCTCTGCTCCTTCACACCACCCACAGCTCTCCTCACTTGGCCCTCTCCATCTTCAGCAATGGCAGGGGCTGTCCTTCTCACACTTTAAATCTCTCTTTTTCTTCTGCCTTTAGGAGCACATGAGATTATATCAGGTCGGCCTGGATAATCCAGGATAATCTCCTGATTTTAAGGACAACTGATCAGTAACCACACTTACATCTACAAAGTCCCTTTTGTCATGTCATCTAACCTATTCATTAGGGAAGAACATCTTTAGGAGAGGAGGAGGGAAAATTCTGCCTACTTACACTCACCTACACATGTGGTTAAAAATAACTAAATAATCCCCTAACTGTAATACAATGTAGAGATAAAAAGAGTGTAATATATAATAACTGAATGGATTAAAAATGTATTTTAGTATGTGAGTGTTTAGACATTACACTGCCAAAAGTAATAAAGTTGTCAGAAGAGCTGTGAAGACTGATACAAGTGAGTAGGGTTGGCAAGTTCCGTGAGCAGTGTGGTCATCAGTTATGTGACTTTCTTAAACGGCATGCTCACCATTGCTCACTCTTGGTAAGTTATCAATGAATTTTTTTTTTTTTTTTGATGGAGTCTCACTCTGTCGCCCAGGCTGGAGTGCAGTGGTGCCATCTTGGCTCACTGCAAGCTCTGCCTCCCGGGTTCACGCCATTCTCCTGCCTCAGCCCCCCGAGTAGCTGGGACTACAGGCGCCCACCACCATGTCCGGCTACTTTTTTTTTGTATTTTTAGTAGAGACGGTGTTTCACCGTGTTAGCCAGGATGGTCTCAATCTCCTGACCTCATGATTCGCCAGCCTCAGCTTCCCAAAGTGCTGGGATTACAGGTACGAGTCATTGCGCCCAGGGAAATTTTTTAAAAAAGAATACAGTATTTCCTCACTTACATGGGAGTCACATTCTGTAAACATTAGTATATGTAAAAAATGCAAAAAACCTAGAAATTTTTATATGTAAAATTACATATAAATTTTACACAAAATTACACAAAAACCCAGAGGGACATATAAAAATTTTGTGTGATGACATCAACTTCCTGTCTTAGTCCATTCAGGCTGCTATAAAATATATATATATATATATATATATATATACTAGGTAGTTTATAAAAAACAAATTTTTTTCTCAGTTTTGGAGGCTGGGAAGTTTAAGATCAAGGCACTGGCAGATTTGGTGTCTGGCAAAGGCTCTTTATGGGGTTCATAGATGATATCCTCACATGGCAGAAAGGGGCAAGGCAGCCCCTTAATAAGGGTGTTAATCCCAGTAATGAGGTCTCTGCCCTTATAACCTAATCACCGCCCCAAGGTCTCCAGCTCCTAATACCATTGTATTGGTAATTAGGTTTCAACATATGAATTTTAGGGTGAACACAAACATTCAGAACATAGCATATTCCCAGGCCCCCTGCAGTATGTATATCCCGAATTATTGTGACAAGTTTATAACCTCCCACAAGGAGTCCCCCAGAAGACAGTGGTACCCCAGCTGAGAAACAGTGGCAAGGTGAGGGAATTTTGTAGTATCTGGACTTAAAAAAAAAAAAAAAGCCCTGTCTGCTCTTGGTCCGCTCATAAAAATTTACTACCTTGCCAGAAACAGAGACCTGAAGTCATGTATGGTATGACCTGGCCATTTATACCATGGGGACATTCATAGACTAGGAGTAGGAGTAGAGAAACCAGCAATATTCAATTCACTCTTGGATAGTATGTTAGAGAGATAGTATCGGGTAGAGATTATGACTAAGGACTTTGGAGTCAGACAAACTGACATTTGGAACCCTCCTTACTACTCTGAGAGTTGTTTCCACCCTCTGAAAAGTGGGACACTATGTCTGTAAGAATACCCTGCCAGGTATTATGGAAGAATCTGCCTGCTTTTTTGTGGCATGTCTCCTCCCATTGCCTCTCTTCTCTGCACCACAGAACCAGAATACGGTTCTGCATTTCAAAGGTGATTCATCTGTAGGAGTAATTCCTCACTGAAGCTGTACACTGAGTGTGGCTTCCCCGAGGGACTGGATTCTGTCAGGACCGGCATATTCCCAGATTCTAATCTAGAATTCGAATCCCACAAATCCTAGATACGTAGGTCAAATATTTATTTTATTTCCCACCTGTCACCAAACATTACCCATGTTTTTGCTGGGCCTATATTCAGTTTTTTGTTTTGTTCTGTTTTGAGATGGACTCGGTCTGTCACCCTGATTGGAGTGCAGTGACACAATCATAACTCACTGAGAAACTGGAACTACAGGCATTGCACCACCATGCACAACTAATTTTTTTTTTTGTAGAAACAGGGTCTTTCTATGTTGTGCAGGCTGGTCTGAAACTCCTAGCCTCAAGCAATCCTCCCTGCTCGACCTCCCAAACTGCTAGGAATACAGGCATGAGCTAGTGTGCCCATTCCCACTTTATTCTTTGAATAGAGTTCTACTTGTTCAAAAGTAGACTGATGCTAGCATTTTTCTCTTACAGCCCATTAACCAGCCTGAGTTTGATCCCTGAATTTTTGAGAAGATTTTGTATTGTTCATAATTTGTAGAAAAATCAAGCTGTGGCAAAAGAAAAGTTCTCCCTAAAGATTTTCAGACATTAAAGCACAAAAGAGTTGAAATGTTTTCAGAGGTATAAAAATAACCAGTGATTCTCATTAGCTTCATAATTATCAGAATCATTAGGTAAATGTCTAATTAGTAAAGACTTTATGCTAGGCACTTTACAAAGGAAACAGTACAGGCACAGTCTTTGTCCTCCAGAAGCTTACTCTGAAAAAACCTCTTAATGACATGAAAATGCCCCCTCTTCAGTTATCAGAAGAGAAGGACTGATTAAAGTGGCTATTCATGTTGGTAGTATTTGCAAGAGACACGAGAAGTTATATTGTGACATGGGAAAGAAGTTTAGAGCAGAGCTAACAACATAAATGATATAATAAAGAGCTGAAGACTGAACGAATTAAGTAATGAGTCCTGGAGACTTCTTTCCCAAGCAATCTCTGAACAGGATTTTAGGAGATCATCACTCATTTTGAGAAAATTAGGCTCATGGACTCTGATGCCAGACCACTTGGGCATCCTGTCCGTCATTCCACTGCCACCCACTGTGTAGATTTGACATACAATCCACATTACTTACCATTTTTCTTCTGGGAAGCAGCCAGAGAGGGCATTCCCTAGAGCAACCAGACTGGCATTAATCTCCAGCAGTGTGCTTTCATTTCACTTCCTGTAAAAATCCATCTCTAGATCCTGTGCTTGACCTAAGGTTAGGTATCAGAGGAACAAAATACTGATTCTCATTTCACATCGCAATTGTTGCTATAAATAGTGAATTTTATAACCTGGTAGATGCAAGGGATGCAGAGTGATGGATGAGCTTCTGCTGATTAAAAAAAAAGTTCATAACTTCTAACTACAGTTCAAGTTGAAGCAAACAATAATAAAGCACAAATAATGCACTGCTGAATTATTCATGTTGATTATAAAAACCGCGCCCTCAATGTCAGAGAAGCTGCATTCCTTACAGTGTATCTTTAACCAGAATGCTTCAGCAATTGCCTGGTTCTAAGTGAAAAGGAAGGTTCAGGCACTGAATCAGAATTATGCTGAAGAAGAGCTTAAATTGAAGAAATATTAAAAGTCATAACTAGAAAATATAAATAATAAATAGAAATTATTTTGATTTATAAATCAAAATAATTATAAATGACTATATTTTGAGGCAAATGATAACTGATCATAGCCTATACTCCTAACTGAAAAAATAAAGCCCAGAAATGACTCCTAGCATAAGTCCCTAGTCCAAGCCATCAGTGTCACTTAACTGGCCTCCCTACTTTTTCTACTTCTGTCACTCTGTATTTTATTCAGCAGCCAAAATTATCCCTCAAAAATGTTGTCAGAAATAATACCATCAAAAAGTGGGCAAATGACATGAACAGACATTTCTCAAAAGAAGATATACAAATAGCTAATAAACATGAAAAAATGCTCAATATCACCAGGGAAATGCAAATTACAGCCATGGTAAGATAACACCTTACTCCTGCAACAATGGCCATTATTAAAAAGTCAAAAAACAATAGATGTTAGTATGAATATGGTGAAAGGGGAACGCTTATACACTGCTGGTGGGAATGTAAATTTGTACAACCTCTATGGAAAACAGTATGGAGATTCCTTAAAGAACTGAGAGTAAATCTACCATTCAATCCAGCAATCCCACTACTGAGTATCTACCCAAGGGAAAATAAGTCATTATATGAACAAGATACCTGAACATGTATGTTTATTGCAGCTCAATTCACAATTGCAAAGACATGGAACCAACATAAGTGCCCACTGACCAACGAATGGATAAAGAAAACGTGGTATATATACATCCTGGGATACTATTCAGCCATAAAAAGGAAGGAAACAATATCTTTTGTGGCAACTTGAATAGAGCTTGAAGCCATTATTCTAAGTGAAGTAACTCAGGAATGGAAAATCAAATACCGTTTGTTCTCACTTAGAAGTGGGAGCTGAGCTATGAGTAAGCAAAGACATACAGAGTGATAAAATGGACTCTGGAGACTCAGGAGGAGGAGAGTGGAAGGGGGATGTGGGATAAAAAACTACGTATTGGGTACGATGTACACTACCCAGGTGATGGGTGCACTAAAATCTCAGAATTCACCGCTATATAATTCATCCATGCAACCAAAAATCACTTTTACCCCAAAAGCTATTTAAATAAAATAATACATTAAAAAATAAAAACAAAGCAAAACAAGCAGAAAAAACACAAAAATGTTGTCAGTTCATGATATGTCTTTGCTGAAATCCCTCATATGATTTCTTACTTTACACATAATAAAATCCAAATGTCTTATCCTGTACTCCAATAAAGGCCATACGTGATCTAGCAACTGCCTGCCTCTTTCTAGTCATCACCGTCTGAACTATAAGCATATGACTGTCTTGTGGTTCCTCTAATACATCTTAAAGGCATTTGCACTTGTAGTTTGTTCTGTTTCCAGTGCACAGCCATGTGCCTCCCAGCTTATGTCATCTGCTAGGAGAGGTTTTCCAAGGTCATCAAATGTAAAGTACTGTCACTTTTTACTGCAACACAGTTTTGTTTTCATCTGAGTACATATGTAAACAAGAAAATGTCAACAGTCAGATTGGTTGGATTGATTGTCTCTTATGCTAAAATGCAGGCTCTTGAAGAGTAGGATCCTTGCTTGTTTTATTGAGTATTGTATCCAAAGTAACCAAAACAGTGTCTGTCATATATTGTCCTTAGTTCACTTGGTTTCTTGAGTGATAAGCTCAGTTGTACACACACTTTATTATGAATGTCATAATAATTTGTTTTCTGCATATAATTATGCCACTTTAATGGACTAGATCATTGTTTTCTTTGACTTGTAAGTGACTTCTAAAGCTTCCCTGATCTAGTTCATTCTCCTCACTTAGGATAAAAAACCGAAATCATCCCAGAATGCTGATAATATATAAGATTTAAAAAACCATTTCAGGCACAATGTTGACTGCTATTGTGGGGTCCAGACAGAGTTTTCTGTGGTTATGCAAATCTCCTGGCTCTTAGATGCAGTGAGCTCATTGTATATTAGTAAATATTTATAAAGTACTCTATATTGACTAAATGTTTCACAATCAGGTTGATTAGTAGTAATTCCTCCCAGCAACCTTGTGAGGTCAATCAGCATTTTTAAAGCACAGCCCAGAGAGGTTGGGCAGCTTGCCCAAGGTCACTCAGCAGGTCATTGGCAAAACCTGCATTGGCGACTTCAGAGCCCATTACTGTGACAAGCCCTGGCACTGACTCTTTTTGGAAGGGTGACCCCTGATCGCTTTTCTTGTAAGGTAGGCGTATAAACACTAAATGTTCTGAAGTGAGAGAATTACAAAGGCCTCGAGGTGAAGGAGTTATTGGTGTAATTAGAAATTGGAGCCAGCTATTGAAAATTGAAAATGCTGCCTAATTGAGGTGAATTGGAGGATATATTATTTTTTGAGAGAATTAGAGAAATATAGTTTGAAAAATAGGCATCTAAAAAGCAGGAACGTATGTAGAAAATTAAAGTAGGTGACTTTGGCAGGGGTAATAAATAAGTCATAGGGCCAAAATGGTTTAGGAAGAGTTTATGTAGGCCATGGTATCAGAAAGTCTGTTCTCTAACATTATATGCCACCAATTCACCTTCCTCAAACAGTGTTTTCTGAAGTTTTGTGAAAATGATACCTGGTTTCAAGTATGGAGTATTTCAGTCCTTGAAGCCCAACATGCAAATTACATAGGCCCCACTATTATTAACATGCCCTGCTAAATATCCTCTAGGAATATAAATATCAAGGAAATTATCTTTTCTTTTTTTTTTTTTTTGAGACCGAGTTTTGCTCTTGTTGCCCAGGCTGGAGTGCAGTGGTGCAATCTTGGCTCACAACAACCTCTGCCTCCCGGGTTCAAACAATTCTCCTGCCTCAGCCTTCCTGAGTACCTGAGTAGCTGGGATTACCCATTTATTTCTGGTTTCTCACTCTGTTGCCCAGGCTGGAGTGCAGTGGTGCAATCTCGGCTCATTGCAACCTCTGCCTCCTGGGTTCAAGTGATTCTCCTGCCTCAGCCTCCCAAGTAGCTGGGACTACAGGTGCTTGCCACCACGCCTGGCTAATTTTTTGTATTTTTAGTAGAGATGGGGTTTCACCATATTGGCCAGGCTGGTCTCGAACTCCTGACCTTGTGATCCGCCCACCTCGAACTCCCAAAGTGCTGGGATTACACGTGTGAGCCACCACACCTGGCCAAGGAAATTATGTTAATTTTAAGAAACATGATGCATCTTTACTTTCCATTATTTTCTTTTTTCTTTATGTTTGTTTCTTCCCTTGAGATTTAAGATAAATAGATTCAAGATAATGATAAATTTCTGTCCTATCTAATTTTGTCTTTTGGTACCTCAGATTATATCTCCTGTGTTCCCTGGAAGCAAATTATTATGACTAACCATTGCAACCACAGTAGTAACTGCTTATATTGGTAAAGCTTATTACATGCTGAGAACTTTCTAGGGAGTATCTCGTTTAACTTTTCCAACATTCTTAGGAGAATAGGCATGCCTATCCCTATTTTGCATTTGGGAGCTAAGCTTCCAAGTGTAACTCCAGAGCCATTATTCTATTAAAACCTTAGTAAAGTCATGTTCTCCCCTTTCTCAGAACCCTCCACTGACTTCACATGGTCTGCAAGGCTTATTGTGGTTTAGGCACAGTTATCGTGGTGAATGATCATCTTTGCTACAGCTCTCTTCCTCAGCTACAGACTTTGCCTCAAATATGCTCACCACCTGGTCATAAGTCAGATATCCTGAGCTTGGTCTGACTTGGTGTCCTTGCACTTGATCTTCTCTCTGCCTCTTATATACTTCCTCAACACATGCACCTGGCCCAATTATGTCATTCAGATTTATTCTCAAATGCGTTTCAAGGAGGCCTTCTTTGGCTATGCTATATAAAGTAGTATGCTCCATTTTAACTATCTATTTTCCATAACTGATTCCTTTTTCTTCATGGTATGTACCATCCCTTTAAAAATTACTTATATGTTTGTTTATTGTTCATACTCTATTTCCACTAGAATTTAAGCTCCATGAGGACATCAATTTTGTATTTTATTTTCTTTATTTGTTTCATTGACAGTGGCCAGAACAAGTCATGGAACATGGTAGACTCTCCATAAATAATTGTTGAATAAATAAATGAACTATCACACTACATTGCTACACCAAGTTTTTTTTAACTTTAATTTTAGGTTGGGGGGATACATGTGAAGCTTTGTTGCATAGGTAAACTTATGTCATGGGGGTTTGTTGTACAGATTATTTCATCACCCAGATATTAAGCCAAGTAGGCAATTGTTGTTTCTTCTGTTCCTCTCCCTCATCCCCCACTCCACCTTCAATTACACCCCAGAATCTATTATTCCCTTGTTGGTGTTCATGAGTGCTCATCATTTAGCTCCCACTTATGAATGAGAACATGGGGTATTTGGTTTTCTGTTCTTGTGTTAGTTTCCTAAGAATGATAGCCTCCATCTCTATTCATGTTCCCCTAAAAGACATGATCTTGTCCTTTTTGATGGCTGTATAGCATTTAATGGTGTATGTGTACCACATTTTCTTTATCCAGTCTGTAGTTGGTGGGCATTTAGGTTGATTCCATGTCTTTGCTATCGTGAATTGTGCTGTAATGAACATTCACATGCATGTGTCTTTATGGTAGAATGATTTGTATTCCTCCAGTAATGGGATTCCCAGTAATGGGATTGCTGGGTGGAATGGTAGTTCTGGTTTTAGCTCCTTGAGGATGAGGGAAATGCTAGTTCTGTTTTTAGCTCTTTGAGGAATCGCCATACTGCTTTCCACAACGGTTGAACTAGTTTACACTCCCACCAATAGTGTATAAGTGTTCCCTTGTCTTTGCAACATTGCCAGCATCTGTTATTTGTTGACTTTTTAGTAATAGCCATTCTAACTGGTGTGAGATGTTATCTCATTGTGGTTTTGATTATATTTCTCTAATGATCAATGATATTGATCTTTTTTCATATGCCTGTTGGCTGCATGTATGTCTTCTTTTGAGAAGTGTCCATTCATGTCCTTTGCCCACTTTTTAATGGGGTTGTTTTTCTCTTATATACACTTGTTTAAGTTTCTTATAGATAATGGATATTAGACCTTTGTCAGATGCATAGTTTGCAAATATTTTCTCCCATTCTGTAGGTTATCTGTTTATTCTGTTGATAGTTTTGTTCTTTCTTTTCTTTTTTGCTGTGAAGAAGCTCTTAAGTTTGATTAGATTCAATTTGTCAATGTTTGCTTTGGTTGCAATAGGTTTTGGTGTCTTTGTCATGCAATCTTTGCCTGTTCCTATGTCTAGGATGGTATTGCCTAGGTTGTCTTCCAAGATTTCTATAGTTTCGAGTTGTTCATTTAAGTCTTTAATCCATCTCGAGTTGATTTTTATATACAGTCTAAGGAAGGGGTCCAGCTTCAATCTTCTGCATATGGTTAGCCAGTTATTCCAGCACCATTTATTGAATACAAAGTCTTTTCCCTATTGTTTGTTTTAGTCAACTTTGTGGAAGATCAGATGGTCATAGGTGTGTGGCTTTATTTCTGGGTTCTCTATTCTGTTCCATTGGTCTATGTGCCTGTTTTTGTACCAGTACCACACTCTTTTGGTTACTGTAGCCCTGTGGTATAGTTTATAGCCAGGAAATGTGGTGCCTCCAGCTTTGTTCTATTTGCTTAAGATTGCCTGGGCTATTTGAGCCCCTTTTTTGATTCCATATGAATTTTAAAATAGTTTTTTCTATGAAGAGTATCTTTGGTAGTTTGATAAGAATAACATTGAATCTGTAGGTTGCTTTGGCCAGCATGGACATTTCAAAGATGTTGATTCTTCCTATCCATGAGCATGGGATGTTTTTCCATTTGTTTGTGTCTTTTCTGATTTCTTTGAGTAGTATTTTGTAATTTTCATTCTAGAAATATTTCACCACCTTGGTTAGCCGTATTTCTAGGTATTTTATCCTTTTTGTGGCAGTTGTGAATTGGATTGTGTTCCTGATTTGGCTTTCTGCTTGGTTGTTGTTAGTGTATAGGAATGCTAGTGATTTTTGTATATTGATTTTGTATCCTGAAACTTTGCTGAAGTTGTTTATCAGCTGAAGGAGCTTTGGGGCCAAAATTATGGGGTTTTCTACGTATAGAATCATGTCATCTTCAAACAGCGACAGTTTGACTCCCTCTTTTCCTATTTGGATGCCCTCTGTTTCTTTCCCTTGCCTGATTTCTCTGGCTAGGACATCCAATAACATGTTTAATAAGAACAGTGAGAGAGGGCATCCTTGTCTTGTGCTGGTTTACAAGGGGAATGTTTTCAGCTGTTGCCCATTCAGTATGATGTTGGCTGTGGGTTTTTCATATATAGCTCCTATTATTTTGAGGTATGTTCCTTCAATACCTAGTTTATTGAGAGTTTTTAACATAGAAGACGTTGAATTTTACCAAAAGTCTTTTCTGCATCTATTGAGATAATCCTGTGGTTTTTGTCTTTAGTTCTATTTATGTGATGAATCACATTTATTGATTTGCCTGTGTTGAACCAAGCTTGTATCCTGGATGTGAAGCCTACTTGATCATGGTGGATTAACTTTTGCTGTGCTGCTGGATTCAGTTTGCAAGTATTTTGCTTAGGATTTTTCCATTGATATTCATCGAAGATATTGGCCTAAAATTTTCTCTTTTTTTGTTGTGTGTCTGCGAGGTTTTGGTATCAGGATGATGTTAGTCTCATGGAATGAGTTGAGAAGCAGTCCCTTCTCTTCAGTTTTCTGGAGATGTTTCAGTAAGAATGGTACCAGCTCTTACTTGTATATCTGGTAGAATTTGGCTGTGAATCCATCTGTTCCTGGGCTTTTATTGGTTGGTAGACTGTTTATTGCTGATTCAATATCAGAGCTTGTTATTGTTCTGTTCAGGGAATCAATTTCTTTCTGGTTCATTCTTAGGAGGGTGTATGTGTCCACAAATTTGTCCATCTCTTCTAGGATTTCTAGTTTGTATACATAGAGGTGTTCATAGTAGTTTCTGATGGTTATTTTTATTTCTGTGGGGTCGGTGGTAGCACCTCCCTCATCATTTCTCATTTTGTATATTTGGATCTTCTCTCCTTTCATCTTTATTAGTCGAGCTAGTGGCATGTCTGTCTTACTAATGTTTTCAAAAAACAAACTCCTGGACTCATTGATCTTTTGAATAGTTTTTCATGTCGTGATTTTCTTTAGTTCAGCTCTGATTTTGGTTATTTCTTGCCTTCTGCTAGCTTTATGGTTGATTTGTTCTTGCTTCTCTTTCAGTTGTGATGTTAGATTGTTAATTTGAGATCTTTCTAAGTTTTTGATGTGGGCATTTAATGCAGAAATTAATGTCTTTCTTAACACTACCCTAGCTGTATCACAAATATCCTGGTATATTGTATCTTTGTTCTCATTAGTTTCAAAGAACATCTTCATTTCTGCCTTAATTTCATTATTTACCCAAAAGTGATTCAGGAGCATGTTGCATAATTTCCATGTAATTTCATGGTTTTGAGCAATTTTTTTAGTCTTCTACATTTATTGCACTGTGGCCTGAGAGTGTGTTTGGTATGAATTTGGTTCTTTTCCATTTGCCAGGGATTGTTTTATGTCCAGTTATGTGGTCGATTTTAGAGTTATGCACCATATGACGATGAGAAGAATGTATATTCTGTTGTTTTTGGGTGGAGAGTTCTGTAGAGGTCTATCAGATTGATTTGGTACAATATTGAGTTCAGGTTCTGAATATCCTTGTTAATTTTCTCCCTCAATGATCTAATACTGTCAGTGGGGTGTTGAAGTCTCCCGCTATTATTATGTGGGAGTCTGTGTTTCTTTGTAGATCTCTAAGAACTTGCTTTATAAATCTGGGTACTCCTGTGTTGGGTGTGTATATATTTGGGATAGTTAGGTCTTCTTGTTGAATTGAACCCTTTACTATGATGTAATGCCCTTCTTTGTCTTTTTTGATCTTTGTTGGTTTAAAATCTATTTTGTCTGAAATTAGGATAGCAATATCTGCTTTTTTCTGTTTCCTATTTGATTTTCCTCCATTTCTTTATTTTGAGCCTATAGGTGTCATTACATGTGAGATGGGTCTCTTGAAGACAGCATTTCATGGGATCTTGCTTTTTCATCCAGCTTGACACTCTGTGCCTTTAAAGTGGGGCATTTAGCCAGTTTACATTCAAGGTTGGTATTGATATGTGTGGATTTGATCCTGTCATTGTGTTGTTAGCTGGTTATTATGCTGGTTTGTTTTTGTGGTTGCTTTATACTGTTACTGGTCTGTGTATTTAAGTGTGTTTTTCTATTAGCTGGTAGTGGTATTTCCTTTCTATACTTAGTGTTCCATTGCTCACTCAACATTTGCTTATTTGAAAAGGAACTTATTTCTCCTTTACTTAGGAAGTTAGTTGGGCCAGATATGAAATCTGTGGTGAGGAATTTTTTTTTCTTTAAGAATGTTGAATATGGCCGGGTGCGGTGGCTCACGCCTGTAATCCCAGCACTTTGGGAGGCCAAGGCGGGCGGATCACGAGGTCAGGAGATTGAGACCATCCTGGCTAACACGGTGAAACCCATCTCTACTAAAAATACCAGAAATTAGCCGGGCGTGGTGGTGGGTGCCTGTAATCCCAGCTACTTGGGAGGCTGAGGCAGGAAAATGGCATGAACCTGGGAGGCAGAACTTGCAGTGAGCCGAGACTGCACCACTGCACTCCAGCGTGGGCGACAGAACGAGACTCCGTTTCAAAAAAAAAAAAAAATTTAATATAAGCTTCCAATCTGTCCTAGCTTATAAGGTTTTAGCTGAGAGGTCTACTGTTAGCCTCATGGGATTCCCTTTGTAGGTGACCTACCTTTTTTCTCTGGCTGCCTTTAACATTCTTTTTTTCCATTTTGACCTTGGAAAATCTGATGATTATGTGTTTTGTGGATGACCTTCTGGTGTAGAATCTTGCAGAGATTCTCTGTATTTCCTGAATTTGACTTTTGGCCTCTCTAGCAAAGTTGGGGAAGTTTTCATGGACAATACAAAAACCAGCCAGCTCAGCCTGGTTAAGAACTCTTGTTGGAGGAGTACTGGTGTGGTGACTTGTAGGACATATGACACTCTGGCCACTTGAGTTACGAGAGGCTTTGCATTGGTTTTTTCTCATCTCTGCATGTGGGTGTTCCTTTAAGTGCAGTGTAGATTAAGTACAGTCAATAGATGTCTTTTCTAAATGTTCTCACAGGGTCGAGGTTTTCTGCAGCGTTTTTATTTGAAGCTGACTTCTTTTAGCAAGTGGGGTTTTTAGCAAGATATTTTTGGTGCTGAGGCTTTGAGGTATGATCCAGTAGGTGGTGCTTAGGTGTATTTGTCAGTTGGTAGATCCTTGCTCGGTTGTGTGGCTTCCCCATGTTTCCTCTCCTTTGCAGCCTTGTTCCCTCTCAGTGCTCTGAAAGTGTGGGCTTTTCTCCCCCTTGAGTTCTGGCTGCAGATCGCAGCTTGGCACTCTTGGGCTGCCCACTGCAGCTCTGGGGAAATCTCAGGGTTTATGTTCCTTCCCTAACTTGGAGATAGCAGAGGAAGAGACCTTAGTAGTGGTGTGGCTAAAGGTCTTTTGCATGTCTCCTGGGGACTCTACCCCAGAGAGATGCAGGTCAGCAGTCGCTCAGTGTAATCAGCTCAGGATAGCGGGTCTGTGCGATGGGCCCAACCTGCAGGTTCCCTGTCTGGTAATGAGTGGGGTTGGAGGGGATCCATGGGAGATGGAGTGACCTCCTCTTCTTGGGTTGACTGCAGCTTGTTGGTGGTGTGGATAAGGCACTTAGGGTCTTTGCTCTTTTGTTTGTTGGAGGGTAGCAAGGGCAGTTCCACTGCAGAGTCAGTGGCATAGAGGCTTTCAGTTACCCCTGGGGGCTCTGTCCAGGAAGTTACAGAGCTGCTATTGGCTCAATAGCCCTAGTCGGGGGTGGCCAGTGAGGAGATATGGGAACAGGCATCCACATAGTCTGGCGACTTTTTTTTTTTTTTTTGAGACGGAATCTCATTCTGTCACCCAGGTTGGAGTGCAGTGGCGTGATCTCAGCTCACTGCAACTTCCGCCTCCCAGGTTCAAGTGATTCTCCTGCCTCAGCCTCCTGAGTAGCTGGGATTACAGGTGCATGCCACCACGCCTGGCCAATTTTTGTATTTTCAGTAGAGATGGAGTTTCACCACGTTGGCCAGGCTGGTCTTGAACTCCTGACCTCAGGTGATCTGCCTGCCTGGGCCTCCCAAACAGTCTGGCCACTTTTTATTTATTTATTTTTATTTTTATTTTATTTTATTTTATTTATTTTTTTGAGATGGAGTCTTGCTCTCTCGCCCAGGCTGGAGTGAAATGGCACAATCTTGGCTCACTGCAACCTCCGCCTCCCAGGTTCAAGCGTTCTCCTGCCTCAGTCTCCTGAGTAGCTGGGATTACAGGTGCCCGCTGCCACGCCTGGCTAATTTTTTGTATTTTTAGTAGAGATGGGGTTTCACCATGTTCCCCAGGCAGGTCTTGAACTCCTGAGCTCAGGCAATCCACCCACCTAGGCCTCCCAAAGTGCTAGGATTACAGGCATGAGCCACCATGCCTGGCCCAGTTTGGCCACTTTTTAATAGGGCTGCTGTGTGGTATGTTGGGGGTCCGCTCCAGTTCCTAGTCAACTTGGGTTTTCCAGTACCTGGAGGGATCAACAGCGAAGGCTGCAAAACCACAAACATGGCTGCCTGCCCCTCCCTCTGGGAGCTCTGTCCCAGGAAGGTATGGACCCATTGCCAGCTCAAATGCACCTGTAGGAGGTAGCTGGAGATCCGGGTTGGGAGGCCCCACACAGTGAAGAGGAACTGGATCAGGGACCCGCTTAAAAAGCAGTCTGGCCATGTTTTTGTATAGCAGCTGTCATCACATTTTTGTATAGCAGCTGTGCTGTGCCAGGGGTCTGATTCAGCCCCTGGTCACCTATGTCTCTCCAAAGCCCAAAGGGCAGGACAGCTAAGTCACCAAAACAGCAAAGTTGGTGGCCCACCCCTCCCTCTGGGAGCTGTCTCAGGGAGGTTTGAAACCTCTGTTGGCCAGTGAACACCACTGAGGGTGGCTGGAGACCCTGGTTTGGGAGGCCCCACCCAGTGAGGAGGAACAGGATCAGGGACCTTCTTTAAAAAGCAGTCTAGTCACGTTTTCATAGAGCAGTTGTGCTGTTCTGGAGATCCACTTCAGCCCCTGGTTACCTTGGTCTTTCCAAAGCCCGAAGGCTGAAAAAGCTAAGTCTGCCACACAGCCAATATGGCAACCCCTACCCCACCCCCCAACCCTAGGAGCTCCAGCTCAGTGAGGTGCAATTGTTGCTACCAGTGGCTGGCTGGAGTTCCGCATCAGCAGGTCTTATCCTGATGTGTTGTGGGAGTAGGGCCTGAAGATGAATGCTACTCATTCCCCTGGATTCAGCCTTTTCCTGAGGGTGTATATGAGGGTCTAACCTCCTGCTTTGCCAGAGTTTCAGCTGCTTTTGCCGGGAAGCTCAGAAAGCCCGAGTATCTAAGGTTCCCACGTCTCTGCATGTGCTCGAGTGGCTGCTCTGCTAAGCCCCCACTTAGCTCTGTGTGTTAGACTAAAGGCCATGGTGGAGTGGGTTCACATGGGGATCTTCTGACTCGAGGGTTGCAAAGATCCACGGGAGAAGCGTGGGTTCCCAGAGTCACACACTCACCCGCTGCTTCCCTGGGCGGGGGAGGTTACCCTGGCTTTGTGTTGCTCCCTGGTGGACCGTCATTCTGCCTTGCTTTTCTCTGTTCTCCGTGGACTGAGTTGTTCTCTTGATTAGTCCCAATGTGAGCACCTGGTTGTTTCAGTTGAATATGTATTTACTCACTACTTTCATTTTTCTCCATGACAGCCAAGCACACTACCTGTTTCTAGTGAGCCAACTTTAGATTTTTTTCTATACTAAGTTTCTAATAATTGAATTAACTTCACACAGGCTACATACTGTGCGGGTTTTGAAGAATCAAAGTCTTGGGCTTTGGGTGAACATTTTCCAGCATCTGTTACTGGCTGTTCAGGTCTAGCCTTTGCCACAGAAAGAACCCAAGCCAAGAAGAATCTGAGTGTTTTCGTCTACACAGTGTTCATCTCAAAGCATTCAAGAATCCAGGGAAGGGACTCTGGAAAGATTGTGAGATGGGACTGGCAGCTTTTCCTGTATTACTTTGCTTTTTTTTTTTTTTAAGGAAAATCTGAAGGCAATGGGAATCTGGCAATTCTCTTGGGACTTGTGGGCAAATGTCAGTGTGTCTAGTGTGATGGTGCATATTAGAGCGCCACCCTCTGTCAGCTCTACCATCCAGATTTTGTGAAACAGATATTGCCTGTGAGTTGGTTGGGAATCACTACATGCAGACTGGAGGAATAGAGATCAGTGACTGAAGGGGATCTTGGCAAAAAAAAAAAAAAATCATCTCTATTTCATGAGGGATGCTGGAATGCATTCTCTGTAAGCACTTTTTTTTTTTTTTTTGAAATGGAGTCATGCTCTGTTGCCCAAGCTGGAGTACAGTGGTACGATCTCAGCTTACTGCAACCTCTGCCTCTTGGGTTCAAGTGATTCTCTTGCCTCAGTGTCCTGAGTAGCTGAGATGACAGGTGTCTACCACCACACCCAGATAATTTTTGTACTTTTACTACAGACAGGGTTTCACCATGTTGGCCAGGCTGGTCTTGAACTCCTGACCTCAAGTTATCTGCCCCCTCTTGGCATCCCAAAGTGCTGGGATTATAGGTGTGAGTCACCGTGCCCAGCCCTCTGTAAGCATTTCATATAATATTTTTATTTTTAATGTTCTCTTAGACCTTGCCTCTTGCCCAAATGTAACTACAGTTTTCAGCTGGGTATGATTCTGAAGTGTAGCAGGACACAGATTTTTACATTTGTAGCCCTCTTTGTTTGTTTCTGTTTTGTTTGTTTGTTTGGGGGGAAATCAACTTCTAAAGAAATATTATCAGATTTTTTCTTACAGTATTAGCTAATTCTAAAATGGATAGACTTTACAAAATTTTTTTAATCGACGAGTTGAAGGTGCCTTTGCATATTTGACAATGTATAATTCTAAGAAATATCTTACCATGAGAATCAGAAAACCTGGATTCTTTTCATGACTTTGGTCTCAACTAAATGCTTGACTTACTTTAATCTAAGTCTCAGCTACTTCATCTGCAGAATCAGAATGCTGAAACTTTTTTTTTTTTTTTTTTTTTTTTTTTTGTAGAGACAGGGTTTCACCGTGTTAGCCAGGATGGTCTTGATCTCCTGACCTCATGATCCGCCTGTCTCGGCCTCCCAAAGTGCTGGGATTACAGGCGCGAGCCACCGCGCCCAGCCAAACTTTTTATTATATGAAAACTATTTTATTGATCCTATGAAATTGTATGAAAGTGTGAAACAGTTAATAAGGAAGGTAAACTGTGTGTGTTGGGTCGGGGGTGAAATGGAGAACAGGTGTTTTAATGAGGACTAACTTGGGCGTAAACTCTTCTGCCACTTAAAAAAAACATTGAAGAGAGATGAGATTATTTCTAAATGTCATTGAAGCTCTAATTTTCTAGGATTTTTAGGTTTCCTCAAAGTAATGGGTAGGGACAAAATAAATGGTGATATTAAAAGACATTGTAATGATATGCACAAATAGGCAAGCATATGTTTTCTGGATAGCATCAATTATTTCACCCTTCAAGAAATTAAGTAGAAAACAGACAGGATGTAATACACAAAGAAGATGTGCGTTCACCCTGACACTCTGACCCTGAATGTCTCCAGTGATTTGGGGATGATATTTATCCATAAGTTTAACTTTTCACGTGTGTAATAGGTTTCACTATAGATGTTCAGTTCCCTAAAACTCCCTGATACTGGAATTCTTAAATGTTAGAGTCAAAGCTAGAGATCAGCTGGTCCAGTTGTCTCCAATTACAGATGAGGAATTGATTTACTCATTTTTTTACCTCATTCAACCTTTGGAAAACTAAAGGTAACAAAAGCTCAGTTAAACATGTATCTTATGAGACTGAAAATCTCATCATCTATGGTGAAGAAAAGAAAGAAACCTAACAAGCTGACATTATACTATGACACCTAGAGGACAGCTTACACTTTTTTTTGAGATGGAGTCTCGCCCTGTCACCAGGCTGGAGTGCAGTGGCACAATCTTGGCTCACTGCAGCCTCTGCCTCCCAGGTTCAAGTGATTCTCCTGCCTCAGCCTCCCGAGTAGCTGGGACTACAGGTGCATGCCACCACGCCTGGCTAATTTTTGTATTTTAGTAGAGATGGGGTTGCACCATGTTGGCCAGGATGGTGTTGATCTCTTGACCTCGTGATCCACCTGCCTTGGCATCCCAAAGTGCTTGGATTACAGGTGTGAGGGACTGCGCCCGGCCAATTGAGGGTATTTGAACCATTTTAAATTTAAGGGATCAAGTAAATTCCATTGTCACTGCTATATGTTTCGTAGCTTGTCCTTCTAGAATACATTTTTCATAATTTGCATATGTATGTTTTGATGGAAAAGCTAGGAGAGCCAAGTAACATTGACTTCATTTGGTAAGTATTTTATTTATTTTCGCATATTCTTTTTTTTTTTTTTTTTTAAGGCGGAGTCTCACTCTGTCCCCCAGGCTGGAGTGCAGTGGTGCGATCTTGGCTCACTGAAACTTCTGCCTCCTGGGTTCAAGCAGTTCTCTTGCCTCAGCCTCCCAAGTAGCTGGTACTACAGGCACATGCCACCATGCCTGGCTAATTTTTTTTGTATTTTAGTAGAGACAAGGTTTCACCTTGTTGCCCAGGCTGGTTGCGAACTCCTGAGCTCAGGCAATCTGCCTGCCTCGGCCTCCCAAAGTGCTGGGATTACAGGCATGAGCCACTGCACCTGGCCTATTTTTGCATATTCTTAAGTCGGGACAATAACACTGCGTCTTCAGCCAACTGAGTACCGTGTGAGAAGAGAGTGAAACACATTGGCAGAATTGGAGCTCCAATTCATTTTCTAACAAGGGCTCTAAGATAAAGGACGTGTGTATGTATGCCATTTCATTTCAAGTACAGTGCATTCACAACTGGGGGGAAGTCTGCAGTAATCCCTGTTACCTTTAATACAGTTGAACTAGTTTACTAGAAGCTTGGATTAAGGATCCTCATTCTAATAAAAAATTGAATTTAGGATGACAACTCGCCAATATTACAAACAGCAGTGGTTCGTTGTTTGGAAGGCAGGTGATGTAAGTTCTGGGAGCTCCATTAGGAAAAATCTATTCTTTTTCAGACACACTGCCATCATTCTACGAATAGTACCCTATTTAAATGGACAATTCACCATATCTCTGTATTAAGCATGCTGACTTTGGAGCCTAACTGCCTGAGTTTGAATCTAGGCCATGTTCATCACTCCTATGTGGCATTGGGCAAGCTGATCATCTTCCTTAAGTCTTGGTCTCCTCATCTGTAAAATGTGGATCATACCAGTACTTAACTCGTGCGATGTTAGAGAACTCAGTGAGGTAATCCTTATGAAGTGCTTAGCCCAGTGTGTGGTATCTTAAGCATTCAATAAATGTTCACTGTTATTCATAAACCGCATAATTCAGGAGTGTAGGGTAATGCAGCCTATGAAGATTTGACCCCAGTGTGATGAAGGATGCTCTACCTGTCAGACTAGAAGTACCTGGAGATTGGGGTTGTATCAAAAGATAGAACATGTCACAAAGCTAAAAAGATAAGTTGCTCTCCTCCCAAATTTATCTTTACCCTTATAACTGACAAATGGATATTTTATTTTCCATAGCTGTATTTATAGACATTTAAACAAACTGATATATAATACATTTTGCATATGCATTTGTATGAGTTCTTCCTTAGTGAGTCACTAATCTCTCTTATATTTATGTCTCATAATTATTCCTACCCAACACAAACTCAGCTGGAAGCCCTGAAGTTTTCTTGCTCCCAAACCCTCCAAAAGGAAATGCAAAACCCAAATGTGAAATTTTTCAAACTGAATTTTCTGGTGATAAAGGAGAACTTTACAGGATAGTGTGTTCGGTTCAACCTAGCAACACTGAGCACCTTCTGGATTGTAAGAAGCAGCTAAATGGTGGAGAGAGATACAGAAGAGTAAGCATAAATGCATTTTGCTCCTAGTAGATGGCCATCTGGTAAGCGAGATCAAACGCATGTAAATGTAATACATGGCAGCATATAAAGGCCAATAAGGAGAGATTCAAATAAATCACATACAGTATAAAGGAGAGAGGCATTCCATTCAGCAGAGGGATGTGAAAAGGTTCAATGAAAGAAGGGATATTGGCCGGTAGTGACTCATGCCTGTAATCCCAGCACTTTGGGAGGCCAAAGTGGGCAGATCACTTGAGGCCAGGAGTTCAAGACCAGCCTGGCCAACATGGTAAAACCCGTCTCTACTAAAAATACAAAAATTACCTGGGCATGGTGGTGCGCACCTGTAGTCCCAGCCACTGGGGAGGCTGAGGCAGGAGAATCGCTTGAGCCCGGGAGGCGGAGCTTGCAGTGAGCCAACATCGCGCCGCCACACTCCAGCCTGGTGACAAAGTGAGACCCAGTCTCAAAAAAAAAGAAAGGATATTTGATTCCAGCCTTGAAGTGTATGAATGAATTGTGATCGGCTGAAAGAAGAGTGAAAGGATAAATTATTGTCTATCCCTGCCTTTAGAAAATGCAGTCTATTAGCACAGACAACTGTGAGCATTGACAACAACGATACAATGCCAGGGAATCTGGGTTGTCATGGAAGAAAGAACAAAGGCTGACTGCTAGTTGATTGGCATGGTCAGGAGTGGCATCCCTGGGAAGAAAACTGTGGAGTAGAATGTTAAAAGATGAGAAGGAATACGTGCCCTATGCCCTCCTCACCAGTACCAGCTTGTCTGCTTAGCAGTGGATATTGCCTTTGCAAAGACATGGAGGTATGAGAGAGGCCGCATCTGTGAGGGGGAGCTGCTAGTAAATTTACCTGGACTACTGCAACAAGTTCTAGCCACAGCAGAAATAGTGATGGCCTGCCCTAGGAATGGCAGTAAGAACTAGAATGGATGGTACATATTGGATACATTGGGCACAGACAACTGTGTGTTTGTATAAGAAGGATGTCATGGACATCATCTAGTGAAGGATAGTACTCCAATTTGCTCCTAAAAAGATGAACAGGAGACCTCTGCTTAAATTACTTTGCCCTTTCTTATGCAAAATAGAGATCCAGGTATCAGGGCCAATGTAAGTTACTTTTATACTCAAAAATAAACCAGCAGACATGTCAGTGGTAAGGGTAACCTACAGCAGAAAAGTCACTGTCTGCACACAACCCCAATCAAATGCACCCAAATTTTTCTTTCCTTTTTTTTTTTTTTTTTTTGAGACAGAGGCTTGCTCTGTCTCCCAGGCTGGAGTGCAGTGGTGCAATCTCGGCTCATTGCCAGCTCCGCCTCCTGGGTTCACACCATTCTCCTACCTCAGCTGGGACTACAGGTGCCTGCCACCACACCCAGCTAATTTTTTTGTATTTTTAGTAGAGACGGGGTTTCCCCTTGTCAGCCAGGATGGTCTCAATCTCCTGACCTCGTGATCCGCCTGCCTCGGCTTCCCCAAGTGCTGGGATTACAGACGTGAGCCACTGCGCCCAGCCAAATGCACCCAAATTTCTTATCTCACCGGATCTGTATGACTAGAAACATCAAGAACACAGAATAAAGATATAATTAGGAGAAGAAAAATGGAACAGACTGCTAGATAGATGAGAACTTCTATCCCTTATTAACATAAAAGTAACATATTTAAAGAATAAAAGCTTTTGATGTGATATTAAAAATTCTGTGATACATGACAGAATGGAAATATTTTTATGTCAATTTTACATGACTTCCCCTTAACCTACTGTTTAATCCCCTTAGCTAATTCTGCAAGTTACGCTGAAAGGTTCAGGGAATCCAGGAAAGAGAGGGAAGCTCATTCAGCTCAGAATGCACCATAATGTCTCGGCAGCACATTTGAATTATATGTTTAGGCTGACAGGCAAACGTATTTCGGGGCAGATTCCTTAGAAAGCAGGAGACAATTTCCTTCAGCTCCACGTCATCGTTTGATGTAGATTGCCTATTATATTCTTGAGGTATTATGAAAAATGGATTTGAAGATATTTTCTTGACAGTGGGTAGACTAGTGGAATCCAGTGACTGTATTTAAAATGTGCAGGGGTTTGTTATAACATGGTAATAGAAATATCAGTTGCACTGACAGGTTAAAAAAAATCTGTCAATGAATGATAATGAAGTTATTTAAATGTCGACTCACTCGCAAACATTTTCCAAACCCTAAATTATTCTCACTGCTTTAACCTCATGCATCCTAAGTTATTAAGGAGCAGAGTCTGTGATGCACCCAATGCGCCCTTGGCTTTCGGAGCTATTTTTATGCCACCAAATGCACTAGGAGCAATGGAAGTGGCTGCTCTTAATGATTTTAAGAAAGAAACAAAACACAGACGCTGCAGCTGCTTGATTTAGAGGTGAACACTGTTCCGCTTTCAGGACATCTTGTTGGCAGTGATTTGAGTAATGCCCTGATGCTTCCTGTGCCCAAGCTTCCCTCTATAGCCTGAGTCTTTGCTTTGTGACCTTGGCAGTATGGCTCTGTGTTTCTGAAATAAGGCATCTTCCGTCTGTGGGGTTTTGGGTAGGGAAGGAGATGGGCAGGATATCTGTATGCTTTCTAAAGCCTTACCGAAGGAGCAGCTTGGCTCATCCCTGGTTCAGTACGTGCCCATTAGGCATTCATTCACCCTTCATGTGGAGAAGCCACCTGATTGTGCCAGCACTGTCCTGGGGACTGGGGATCTGGGGGTGAACAAAGATATGTTCACTGCTTTCAGGGCACTTAGAGTAATCAGGAGATGGGTGCCAGGCAGAGATTTTCTGATCAGAAGGAAGAGAGGTGAACTCCTGGTTTCTGGTCCAGCATGTAAGAAGTTCACAGTTTGTCCATTTTCCTAGCAAGTTAAAAGCTAAAGAAACTGAACAATTAACAACTCTGTTCAGATCATCCTACAAGTGAAGTCACAGGACAAATGCTGTCCCCCGAATTGGAAAGACCAACAGTCAGACACAGCAAATCACAATTTACCTGAGCAGAAACTCAACAAGCAGAAACTTCCACAGGAACCAGTGCTAAGTTACAAAAACTTAAACAGTAGTTGATGGTTTGCAGGAGGCTCAGTGTGGACATGTCTGAGAGTTAAGAACTTCGTGGGGACCTAATCAGAGAGGCCCTCATACTTTTGTGAGTTTTACCTCCAGGAGCTTTACCAGCTCCCCACAGTGACAACTGGTGGGGGAACTTACCTTCGTACTTCCAGCAGGGAGAGGGCAAAAGTAACCATTTTGAAATACGCCAGAGCATTCTGTCTTAACAAGACCTGCCCTCAGGAGAAACTAGTTAACAGAGCCTCACCTGCTGGGGATCTGTCAGACCATAACTGACTAGGGGGAAGGGAAATAAGCAACTGCAACTTCCTCTAGCTATTATGTTCCACCTAAGCAGGGAAGAAATGTGAGAAGCACTGGTAAAGTTCACATTCCAGGGGCAAAGACTCCCAAAAAATCTGAGAGTTAATCATAGAACTAAAGAATGTTTTGCCTGGCTGGGCGGGGTGGCTCACGCCTGTAGTAATCCCAGCATTTTGGGAGGCCGAGGTGGGTGGATCACCTGAGGTCAGGAGTTCGAAATCAGCCTGGTCAATATGGTGAAACCTTGTGTCTACTAAAAATACAAAAATTAGCTGGACGCGGTGAGGCATGCCTGTAATCCCAGCTACTCAGGAGGCTGAGGCTGGAGAATAGCTTGAACCAGGGAGGCTGAGGTTGTAGTGAGCTGAGATTGCACCACGGCACTCCAGAATGGGTGACAGAGCGAGACTCTGTCTCAAAAAAAAAAAAAAAATGTTGTGTCTCCCTCTTCGCTTCCCCGTATTACCATCACACAACTAAAGGCCTATTGACTATGGTTCCTTTTACCTAGTACCTCATGTCAGCTGTTCAGGCATTCTAAGAGGCAAACAATCCAGTTTCTAAAGATTAAACAAGCATCACAACCAGAGTCATATATGATAGGAATATCAGAATTAGAAAAACCGATAATTTTTATAAATGTATGATCAACATGCTAAGGGCTTTAATAGAAAAAGCAGACAACATGGAAGAACAGATGGATAATGTCATCAGAGAGATGGAAATTCTAAGAAAAGATCAAGAAGAAATGCTAGAGATGAAAACCATGTAATAGAAATGAAGAATGCCTTTGATGAGCTCATTGGTAGACTGGACATGGCTGAGAAAAGAATCTCTGAAATTGATGATGCCTCAACAGAAACTTCCAAAACTTAAAAAAAGACCATCGAAGTGCAAATACAGAGCAAGAACTGTGGGGCAACTACAAAAGTGTAATATATGTATAGTGGGAATAACAGAAGGGAAAGAAAGAGAAAGAAACAAGCAATGTATGAAGCAATGATAACTGAGAATTTCTGCAAAATAATGTACCAAACCTCAGATCTAGAAAACTCAGAGAACACTAAGCAGGATAAATGTCAAAAAACAAAGCAACAACCACAAAAACCATCATAACCCCACATAGGTATATCATATTCAAAATTCAGATAATCAAAGATTTAAAAAAAACTTTTTTAAGGCAGAATGGGGAACACCTACCTGTAAAGAGGCACAGATGAAAAATACATCTGACTTCTCAGATCTATACAGGCAAGAAGAGAGTGGGATGAAATATTTAAAGTGCTGAGAGGAAAAAATAATGGAAAACATCAAGAATTCTGTACCCTGCAAAACTATCTTTCAAAAGTGAAGGAGAGATAAAGACTTTTCTCAGACGGACAAAAGTTGAGGAAGTTTGTTACTGGTAGACCTGCTTTGAAATAAATGTTAAAAGAAGTTCTTCAGAGAGAAGGAAAATGATACAGGATAGAAACTCAAGTCTATGTAAGGAAAAGAAGAGCATCAGAATGAATAAGTGAATGTACCACAAAAACCTTTATTCTTCTGAGTAGTAATCTCACAGATACCACTTTCTTCAAGATAATAGCAACAATGTATTCAATTACGTATGCTCATGTATATATATACACACACACATACACACTTAGGTATGCTTATGTACAGGTGAAATGAATGACATCAATAATACAAGAATTGGGAAGGAGAATTAGGAATAAGTTGTTATGACAGAGTGCCTGCACTCCCCATGAAGTAGTGTGTTGTTATTAGAAGTGAACTTCATTAGTGGTAAATATGTATTGCAAACTCTACAGCAAGTACTAAAAAGAGTGAAAAAGAAGAGGAAAACAAATAGGCTAAGAAAGGAGAGAAAATAAATTCGTATAAAATGCTCAATTAAAATCACAAAAGACAGAAAACATGTGAAAGATAATAGGAACAAAGAATAAAGGAAACAAAAAGAAAATGGTAAAAATGTGATAGGCAATAATCCAACTATATTAATAATCACTTTAAATGTCAGTGGCCTAAATATACCAATTAAGACAGAGATTGATGGAGTGGATGAGAAAAACAAGCCCTAACTATATGTTGTCTACAAGAAACCCACTTCAAAGACAAAGATACATTCAAATTAAAAGTAAATGGATGGAGAATGATATACCATGCTAACACTAATTAGAAGGTCTTTGGAGTCATTATATTAATTTTACACAGGGCAGATTTCAGAGCAAAGAAAATTATCAGGGTAAAGAGGGGCATTACATAATGATAAAGGGGAGTCAATATGCCAAGAAGACATGAGTCCTTAATATGCACATGCCTAACATGAGTGTGTCCAAATACATGAGGCAAAAACTGATTAGAACTGCAAGTGTAAAGATGAAGTCATTATTATAATTGGAGACCTTAACATCGTCTTTCAAAAATGAACAGATCTAGTAGGCAAAAATTATAAGGACATATTTGAACTCAACAACACCATCAACCAACAGGGTAAAATTGATATCTCTAGACAATATCACCTAACACCAACAGATTACACATTCTTCTCAAGATCACATGGAAAATTTGCTAAGACAGACCACTTTCTGAACCATAAAACACACCTTAACAAACTGAAGCAAATAGAAATTATACAATGTCTGTTTTTCAACCACAATGAAATTAAACTGGAAATCAATAAAAGAAATAGCTGAAAATTTTCAAAATAAGCAGAGATTAAACAACATGCTTCTAAATATCACATCGATCAAAGAAAAAATCTCAAGAGAAACTATAATTTGAAGTAAAGGAAAATAAAATAAAATTAATTAAAGTTTGTAGGATGCAGTAAAAGCCATGCTTAGAGGGAAATTTACAATGTTGAAAGTGTATATTTAAAAAGAAAAAATATGAAATCAATAATTTAAACCCCCACCTCAGAAAATTAGGGAAAAATGAGCAAATTAAATTGATAATAAGCAGAAGAAAAGAAATAATAAAAAATTAGAGCATAAATCAACAAGACTGAAAATAGATAATCAACAAAACCAAAACCTGTTTTTTTGGAAAAAAAAAAAAATCAAGAAAATGGATAAGCCTCTAGCCAGGCTAAGAAAAAAGAGAGGGAGCACAAAATACTAATGTCAGAAATGAAAGAGGAGAGAGCACTACAGATCCTATGGATACTAAAGAGACAATAAAGGACTATTATGTACACTTTTCTACCCACAAATTTAATAACATAGGTGAAGTGGACCAATTTCTTGAAAGACACAATCTGCCAAAACTCACATAAGAAAATGTAGAAATCTGAATAGGCTTGTAACTATTAAAGAAATTGAATCAATAATTAATAATCTTCCAAACAGAAAGCACCAGGCACAGTCAGTTCACTGGTGAATTTTCCCATACATTTCAGAAATAAATTATGCCAATTTACTACAAACTCTTGCAGAATACAGAAGCAGAGGGAATACTTCTCAGCTCATTTCATGATGCTGGTATTATTCCAATATCAAAAACCACCCAATGACATTAGGAGAAAAAAGCAAACTTACAGACAATTATCTCTCATGAACAAAGATGCAAAACCCCTCAATCCAATAATGTTTGAAAAGAATTGTGCATCATGACCAAGTGGGGTTTATCCAAGATATGTAAAGCTGGTTTAATATTCAAAAATCAATTAATGTAATTATCACATCAACAGGCTAAATAAAATCACATAATATACCAATAGATGAGGGAAAATAACAAAACTTAATACCAATTCATGGTAAAAACTCTCAGCAACCTAAGGATAGCGGGAAATTTCTTTTTCTTTTCTTTCTTTTTTTTTTTTTTTTTTTTGAGACAGGGTCTCGCTCTGTCACCCAGGCTGGAGTGCAGTGGTGTGATTTCAGCTCACTACAAACTCCACCTCCCAGGTTCAAGTGATTCTCCTGCCTCAGCCTCTTGAGTAGCTGGGACTACAGGCGTGCAACACCATGCCCAGCTAATTTTTGTATTTTTAGTAGAGACAGGGTTTCACCATGTTGGCCAGGATGGTCTTGATCTCTTGACCTTGTGATGCGACTGCCTCAGCCTTCGAAAGTGCTGGGATTACAGGTGTGAGCCACCGCACCCAGCCGAGGAAACTTTCTTAAATTGACAAGAAACATCTACAAAATACCTTCAGCTAGCATCTTACTTAGTGGTGAGAAACTCGAAAGTTTTCCCACTAAGATCAGAACAAGGCAAGAATATCTCCTCACCACTGTTTTTTAGCTGGAAGTCCTAGCTAATACCATAAGACAAGAAAAGGTAATAAAAGTTATACAGATTGAAAAGGAAGAAATAAAACTATCTTTGTTGCAGAGACAGAAGCATCTATGTATAAAATCTTAGAGAATCAACAACAATGAAAAAACTAATAAGTAATTGTAGCAAGATTGTACAATATAAGGTTAATATACAAAAGTAATATACACTAGTAACAAACAAGCAGAATTTGAAATTAAAAACGCATTACCATTTACATTAGCATACCAAAAAAGAAAATAGACATAAATTTAACAACATACGCACACAAGATCTGTATGAGGAGAACTATGAAGCTCTGATAAAGGATGTTAAAAAACTAAGTAAATGAAAAGATATTCCATATCCATGGACAGAAAGACTCAATATTGCCAAGATGTCAGTTCTTCTCAACTTGATCTATAGATTCAACACAATCTCAATTAAAATGTAGCAAGTTATTTTGTGGATGTTGACAAATAATTCTAAAGTTTATATGGAGATGTAGGAGACCCAGAATAGTCAACTGAGTAGTAAGGGAAGGAAACAAAATTGGAGCACTCACTGCCTGACTTCAAGACTTACAATAAACTTGTAGTAATCAGGACAGTTTGTTATTGTGTGAAGGAACAGATACATAGATCAATGGAACAGAGTAGAGAGCCCAGACATAGAACAATATAAATATAGTCAGCTGATCTTTCACAAAAGACCAAAGCCCATGCAATGAGGAAAAGTCTTTTCAACAAATGGTGCTGAAACAACTGGACACCCACAGGCAAAAATAAATACAAATAAAAGGAAGTTTGAACACAGACCTTACAGCCCTCACAAAAATTAACTCAAAATGTATCATAGACCTAAATGTAAAATGCAGAACTATAAAACTCCTGAAGATAACTAGGAGAAAACCTAAATGACCTTGGATATGGTGATGACTTTTTACATACAAGACCAAAGTCACAATCTATGAAAAAAATGGGTAATCCAGACTTCATTAAATTTTAAAACTCTGAGAATGATAATACCAATAGAATGAGAAGACAAGCCACAGACTGGGAAAAAATTATAAAAGACCTATCTGATGAAGGCCTGTCATATACAATATACAAAGAAATTCAGTAGGTTTCAAGCTAGCTGGTGCAGGTGGCTAGGATTAAGGTAGTGGCAGTGGAGATATGGTAGAACACTGGGACCTGTTGTTGGATTGCATGTGAGAGATGAGGGACAGGAACAAAAATGACTCCAAGTTTCTGTGTTTTTTTGCAATTGGCTAGAAGATAGTGATGTTTTACTGATAGGTAGACTCCTAGGCCTAGAATAGGGCCGTAGGGCGTGTGTGTGGTGGGTGGCAGGGGAGATGAGGGCAGGGTGGAAATGACTCCTTTTTGGACTTGATAGATTTGAAATCTATTCCCATGAGGCATCCAAATGAAGGTGTCAAAAATGAGTTAGACATAGGTAATTGGAGCTCTGAGGAATATTGTGAGCTTGAGATACATACACATTTGTAAAGGAGACCTTACCAAATAGAGGCTCTTGGGTGTCTTGGGAATGCCTTTCTCTCTCCTAGAAAGGAAAGGCATCAGGGAGGAGCCAAGATGGCCGAATAGGAACAGCTCCGGTCTACAGCTCCCAGCGTGAGCAACGCAGAAGACGGGTGATTTCTGCATTTCCATCTGAGGTACCGGGTTCATCTCACTAGGGAGTGCCAGACAGTGGGCGCAGGCCAGTGAGTGCGCGCACCGTGTGCGAGCCGAAGCAGGGCGAGGCATTGCCTCACCTGGGAAGTGCAAGGGGTCAGGGAGTTCCCTTTCCGAGTCAAAGAAAGGGGTGACGGACGCACCTGGAAAATCGGGTCACTCCCACCCGAATATTGCGCTTTTCAGACCGGCTTAAAACACGGCGCACCACGAGACTATATCCCACACCTGGCTCGGAGGGTCCTCCACCCACGGAGTCTCGCTGATTGCTAGCACAGCAGTCTGAGATCAAACTGCAAGGCGGCAGCGAGGCTGGGGGAGGGGCGCCCGCCATTGCCCAGGCTTGCTTAGGTAAACAAAGCAGCCGGGAAGCTCGAACTGGGTGGAGCCCACCACAGCTCAAGGAGGCCTGCCTGCCTCTGTACACTCCACCTCTGGGGGCAGGGCACAGACAAACCAAAAGACAGCAGTAAACTCTGCAGACTTAAAAGTCTCTGTCTGACAGCTTTGAAGACAGCAGTGGTTCTTCCAGCACGCAGCTGGAGATCTGAGAACGGGCAGACTGCCTCCTCAAGTGGGTCCCTGACCCCTGACCCCCGAGCAGCCTAACTGGGAGGCACCCACCAGCAGGGGCACACTGACACCTCACAGGGCAGGGTATTCTAACAGACCTGCAGCTGAGGGTCCTGTCTGTTAGAAGGAAAACTAACAAACAGAAAGGACATCCACACCGAAAACCCATCTGTACATCACCATCATCAAAGACCAAAAGTAGATAAAACCACAAAGATGGGGAAAAAACAGAACAGAAAAACTGGAAACTCTAAAACGCAGAGCGCCTATCCTCCTCCAAAGGAACACAGTTCCTCACCAGCAACGGAACAAAGCTGGATGGAGAATGATTTTGACGAGCTGAGAGAGGAAGGCTTCAGACGATCAAATTACTCTGAGCTACGGGAGGACATTCAAACCAAAGGCAAAGAAGTTGAAAACTTTGAAAAAAATTTAGAAGAATGTATAACTAGAATAACCAATACAGAGAAGTGCTTAAAGGAGCTGATGGAGCTGAAAACCAAGGCTCAAGAACTACCTGAAGAATGCAGAAGCCTCAGGAGCCGATGCGATCAACTGGAAGAAAGGGTATCAGCAATGGAAGATGAAATGAATGAAGTGAAGCGAGAAGGGAAGTTTAGAGAAAAAAGAATAAAAAGAAATGAGCAAAGCCTCCAAGAAATATGGGACTATGTGAAAAGACCAAATCTACATCTGATTGGTGTACCTGAAAGTGATGCAGAGAATGGTACCAAGTTGGAAAACACTCTGCAGGATATTATCCAGGAGAACTTCCCCAATCTAGCAAGGCAGGCCAACGTTCAGATTCAGGAAATACAGAGAACGCCACAAAGATACTCCTCGAGAAGAGCAACTCCAAGACACATAATTGTCAGATTCACCAAAGTTGAAATGAAGGAAAAAATGTTAAGGGCAGTCAGAGAGAAAGGTCGGGTTACCCTCAAAGGGAAGCCCATCAGACTAACAGCGGATCTCTCGGCAGAAACCCTACAAGCCAGAAGAGAGTGGGGGCCAATATTCAACATACTTAAAGAAAAGAATTTTCAACCCAGAATTTCATATCCAGCCAAACTAAGCTTCATAAGTGAAGGAGAAATAAAATACTTTACAGACAAGCAAATGCTGAGAGATTTTGTCACCACCAGGCCTGCCCTAAAAGAGCTCCTGAAGGAAGCACTAAACATGGAAAGGAACAACTGGTACCAGCCGCTGCAAAATCATGCCAAAATGTAAAGACCATCGAGACTAGGAAGAAACTGCATCAACTAACGAGCAAAATCACCAGCTAACATCATAATGACAGGATCAAATTCACACATAACAATATTAACTTTAAATGTAAATGGACTAAATGCTCCAATTAAAAGACACAGACTGGCAAGTTGGATAAAGAGTCAAGACCCATCAGTGTGCTGTATTCAGGAAACCCATCTCACGTGCAGAGACACACATAGGCTCAAAATAAAAGGATGGAGGAAGATCTACCAAGCAAATGGAAAACAAAAAAAGGCAGGGCTTGCAATCCTAGTCTCTGATAAAACAGACTTTAAACCAACAAAGATCAAAAGAGACAAAGAAGGCCATTACATAATGGTAAAGGGATCAATTCAACAAGAGGAGCTAACTATCCTAAATATATATGCACCCAATACAGGAGCACCCAGATTCATAAAGCAAGTCCTGAGTGACCTACAAAGAGACTTAGACTCCCACACAATAATAATGGGAGACTTTAACACCCCACTGTCAACATTAGACAGATCAACGAGACAGAAAGTCAACAAGGATACCCAGGAATTGAACTCAGCTCTGCACCAAGCGGACCTAATAGACATCTACAGAACTCTCCACCCCAAATCAACAGAATATACATTTTTTTCAGCACCACACCACACCTATTCCAAAATTGACCACATAGTTGGAAGTAAAGCTCTCCTCAGCAAATGTAAAAGAACAGAAATTATAATAAACTATCTCTCAGACCACAGTGCAAGCAAACTAGAATTCAGGATTAAGAATCTCACTGAAAGCCACTCAACTACATGGAAACTGAACAACCTGCTCCTGAATGACTACTGGGTACATAACGAAATGAAGACAGAAGTAAAGATGTTCTTTGAAACCAACGAGAACAAAGACACAACATACCAGAATCTCTGGGATGCATTCAAAGCAGTGTGTAGAGGGAAATTTATAGCACTAAATGCCCACAAGAGAAAGCAGGAAAGATCCAAAATTGACACCCTAACATCACAATTAAAAGAACTAGAAAAGCAAGAGCAAACACATTCAAAAGCTAGCAGAAGGCAAGAAATAACTAAAATCAGAGCAGAACTGAAGGAAATAGAGACACAAAAAACCCTTCAAAAAATCAATGAATCCAGGAGCTGGTTTTTTGAAAGGATCAACAAAATTGATAGACCGCTAGCAAGACTAATAAAGAAAAAAAGAGAGAAGAATCAAATAGACACAATAAAAAATGATAAAGGGGATATCACCACCGATCCCACAGAAATACAAACTACCATCAGAGAATACTACAAACACCTCTACGCAAATAAACTAGAAAATCTAGAAGAAATGGATAAATTCCTCGACACATACACTCTCCCAAGACTAAACCAGGAAGAAGTTGAATCTCTGAATAGACCAATAACAGGAGCTGAAATTGTGGCAATAATCAATAGTTTACCAACCAAAAAGAGTCCAGGACCAGATGGATTCACAGCCAAATTCTACCAGAGGTACAAGGAGGAACTGGTACCATTCCTTCTGAAACTATTCCAATCAATAGAAAAAGAGGGAATCCTCCCTAACTCATTTTATGAGGCCAGCATCATTCTGATACCAAAGCCGGGCAGAGACACAACCAAAAAAGATAATTTTAGACCAATATCCTTGATGAACATTGATGCAAAAATCCTCAATAAAATACTGGCAAACCGAATCCAGCAGCACATCAAAAAGCTTATCCACCATGATCAAGTGGGCTTCATCCCTGGGATGCAAGGCTGGTTCAATATACGCAAATCAATAAATGTAATCCAGCATATAAACAGAGCCAAAGACAAAAACCACATGATTATCTCAATAGATGCAGAAAAAGCCTTTGACAAAATTCAACAACCCTTCATGCTAAAAACTCTCAATAAATTAGGTATTGATGGGACGTATTTCAAAATAATAAGAGCTATCTATGACAAACCCACAGCCAATATCATACTGAATGGGCAAAAACTGGAAGCATTCCCTTTGAAAACTGGCACAAGACAGGAATGCCCTCTCTCACCGCTCCTATTCAACATAGTGTTGGAAGTTCTGGCCAGGGCAATCAGGCAGGAGAAGGAAATAAAGGGTATTCAATTAGGAAAAGAGGAAGTCAAATTGTCCCTGTTTGCAGACGACATGATTGTTTATCTAGAAAACCCCATCGTCTCAGCCCAAAATCTCCTTAAGCTGATAAGCAACTTCAGCAAAGTCTCAGGATACAAAATCAATGTACAAAAATCACAAGCATTCCTATACACCAACAACAGACAAACAGAGAGCCAAATCATGAGTGAACTCCCATTCACAATTGCTTCAAAGAGAATAAAATACCTAGGAATCCAACTTACAAGGGATGTGAAGGACCTCTTCAAGGAGAACTACAAACCACTGCTCAAGGAAATAAAAGAGGATACAAACAAATGGAAGAACATTCCATGCTCATGGGTAGGAAGAATCAATATCGTGAAAATGGCCATACTGCCCAAGGTAATTTACAGATTCAATGCCATCCCCATCAAGCTACCAATGACTTTCTTCACAGAATTGGAAAAAACTACTTTAAAGTTCATATGGAACCAAAAAAGAGCCCGCATCGCCAAGTCAATCCTAAGCCAAAAGAACAAAGCTGGAGGCATCACACTACCTGACTGCAAACTATGCTACAAGGCTACAGTAACTAAAACAGCATGGTACTGGTACCAAAACAGAGATATAGATCAATGGAACAGAACAGAGCCCTCAGAAATAACGCCACATACCTACAACTATCTGATCTTTGACAAACCTGAGAAAAACAAGCAATGGGGAAAGGATTCCCTATTTAATAAATGGTGCTGGGAAAACTGGCTAGCCATATGTAGAAAGCTGAAACTGGATCCCTTCCTTACACCTTATACAAAAATCAATTCAAGATGGATTAAAGATTTAAATGTTAGACCTAAAACCATAAAAACCCTAGAAGAAAACCTAGGCATTACCATTCAGGACATAGGCGTGGGCAAGGACTTCATGTCCAAAACACCAAAAGCAATGGCAACCAAAGCCAAAATTGACAAATGGGATCTAATTAAACTAAAGAGCTTCTGCACAGCAAAAGAAACTACCATCAGAGTGAACAGGCAACCTACAACATGGGAGAAAATTTTCACAACCTACTCATCTGACAAAGGGCTAATATCCAGAATCTACAATGAACTCAAACAAATTTACAAGAAAAAAACAAACAACCCCATCAAAAAGTGGGCGAGGGACATGAACAGACACTTCTCAAAAGAAGACATTTATGCAGCCAAAAAACACATGAAAAAATGCTCATCATCACTGGCCATCAGAGAAATGCAAATCAAAACCACTATGAGATATCATCTCACACCAGTTAGAATGGCAATCATTAAAAAGTCAGGAAACAACAGGTGCTGGAGAGGATGTGGACAAATAGGAACACTTTTACACTGTTGGTGGGACTGTAAACTAGTTCAACCATTGTGGAAGTCAGTGTGGCGATTCCTCAGGGATCTAGAACTAGAAATACCATTTGACCCAGCCATCCCATTACTGGGTATATACCCAAAGGACTATAAATCATGCTGCTATAAAGACATATGCACACGTATGTTTATTGCGGCATTATTCACAATAGCAAAGACTTGGAACCAACCCAAATGTCCAACAATGATAGACTGGATTAAGAAAATGTGGCAAATATACACCATGGAATACTATGCAGCCATAAAAAATGATGAGTTCATGTCCTTTGTAGGGCCATGGATGAAATTGGAAACCATCATTCTCAG
This sequence comes from Homo sapiens, assembly GCF_000001405.40. NCBI lineage: Eukaryota > Metazoa > Chordata > Mammalia > Primates > Hominidae > Homo > Homo sapiens. Next base: position 106,844,859 of record NC_000010.11, on the reverse strand, counting down.
TAAACTATCGCAAGAACAAAAAACCAAACACCGCATATTCTCACTCATAGGTGGGAATTGAACAATGAGATCACATGGACACAGGAAGGGGAATATCACACTCTGGGGACTGTGGTGGGGAGGGGGGAGGGGGGAGGGATAGCATTGGGAGATATACCTAATGCTAGATGACGAGTTAGTGGGTGCAGCGCACCAGCATGGCACATGTATACATATGTAACTAACCTGCACAATGTGCACATGTACCCTAAAACTTAAAGTATAATTTAAAAAAAATAATAATTAAAAAAAAAAAGAAATTCAGTAAATGGTGTTGGAGAAACTGGACATTCACCTGCAAAAGAATGAAATTGTATCCTTATTTTATATCATACATGAAAATCAATTAAAAATTGAGTAAAAACTTAAACATAAGTCCTGAAACCATGAAACTCCTAGAAGAAAACATAGAAGAAAATCTCCTCAATATTGGTCTTAGAAATGATTTTATTTTAATTTGACACCAAAAGCACAGACACCAAAAGCAAAATGTGGGAATATATTAATCAAAAAAGTTTCTGCATAGCAAAGAAACAATCATCACAATATATAAGAAACTTATACAAGTAAATAGCAAAATTAAACAAAAAACCTGATTAAAAATGGGCAAAGAACACGAATAGGCATTTTTCCAAAGATGGCATATAAAAAGCCAATAGTATATGAAAAGATGTTCAACATCACTAATATCAGGGAAATGCAAGTTAAAACCACAATGAAATATCACCTTACAACTATTAGGATGTTTTTTATCAAAATATCAAAAGATAACAAGTGATGTGGAGCAAAGGGAACCCTTGTACACTTGTGGTGGGAGTGTAAATATGCAGCCACTATGGAAAACAATGTGGTGGCTCCTAAAAGTTTAAATATGCTCCATATAGATCCAGCAGTTTTATTCCTGGGTGCATATCCAAAGGAAATAAAATCACTATCTTGAGATAGCTGGTGCTTCTGTGTTCATTGCAACATTATTCACAATAGCCAAGATACGGAAACAACCTAAGTGTCTGAGAAATCAATGGATAAAGAAAATGTATTATATATACAGTAGAATATGATTCAACCTTAGAAAAAGGAAATCTTGTCTGGGTGCAGTGGCTCACGCCTGTAATCCCAGCACTTTGGGGGGCCAAGGTGGGCAGATCACGAGGTCAGGAGATGGAGACCATCCTGGCTAACACGGTGAAATCCCGTCTCTACTAAAAATACAAAAACAGAATAAGCTGGGCGTGGTGGCAGATGCCTGTAGTCCCAGCTACTTGGGAGGCTGAGGTGGGAGAATGGCGTGAACCTGGGGGGCGGAGCTTGCAGTGAGCCGAGATCGCGCCACTGCACTCTCCAGCCTGAGCAACAGAGCGAGACTCCATCACAAAAAAAAAAAAAAAAAAGGAAATCCTGCCTTTTACCGCAACATGAATTAACTTGGAAAACATTATGCTAAGTGAGATAAGCCAGACATAGGAAGACAAATGATGCATGATCTCACTTACATGTGGAATCTATAAAAGAGCCAGACTCATAGTAACAGAGAGTAGAGTGGTGGTTACTAGTGGCTGGGGGTTGGGAGAAAGTGGAAATATGAGTCAAAGCATAAAAACTTTTCACTATTGGATGAATAAGTTCAGGATACTTCATTTACAACATAGTAACTCTAGTTAATGCAAAGCATATTTGAAATATGCTCCTAGAGAACTCAAGTGTTCTCACTGCATAAACACACAGACAGTTAATGTTTGAGGTAATGGACATATAATTAAGTAGATTGTGGTAATTATTTCAAAATGTATACCTATATGAAAACATTATATTGTATACCTTAAATACAATTACATTTGTCAATCGTATCAGTAAATTGGGGAAATACATACACACACATGCACATAACTATTAAAACTCAACAGTAAGGGCCAGGCACAGTGGCTCATGCCTGTAATCTCAGCACTTTGGGAGGCTGAGGTGGGTGGATCACCTGAGATCAGGAGTTCAAGACCAGCCTGGCCTACATGGTGAAACCCCATCTCTACTAAAAATACAAAATTAGCCGGGCATGGTGACACATGCCTGCAATCCCAGCTACTCAGGAAGCAGAGGCAGAATTGCTTGAAACTGGGAGGCGGAGGTTGTAGTGAGCTGAGATCACGCCATTGCACTCCAGCCTGGGAAACAACAGCGAAACTCCATCTCAAAAACACAAAACAGAGAAAACTCAACATTAAGAAATTTATATTTAAAGCCATTTTTTAAAAATGACAAAGAGCCTGAACAGACATCTCATGAAAGAATAGGCCAGACACAATGGCTCACGCCTGTAATTCCAGCACTTTGGGAGGCTGAGGTGGGCAGATCACCTGAGGTCAGAAGTTCGAGACCAGCCTGGCCAACATGGCGAAACCCTGTCTCTACTAAAAATACAAAAATTAGCCGGGCCTGGTGGTGCACAAGGGTAGTCCCAGCTACTCGGGAGCCTGAGGCAGGAGAATCACTTGAACCTGGGAAATGGCGGTTGCAGTGAGCCAAGGTCATGCCATTGCACTCCACCTGGGTGACAAGGTGAGACTGTGTCTCAAAAAACAAAAATAAATAAAATAATAAAATAATAACATATACAGATGTCCAGTAAGCATATAAAATATGTTAAACCTCGTATGTCTTTAGGGAATTACAAATAAAAAAAATGATACGCTGCTATACACCTATTAAAATGGGCAAAATCTAAAACACTGAGAACACCAAATGCCCACAAGGATGTGAAACAACAGGAACTCTGATTCACTGCTGGTCAGAATGCAAAATGATACAGTCACTTTGGGAGACAGTTTGGCAATTTCTTACAAAACAAATATACTCAATATACAATCCAGCAATCACATACCTTGATATTTACCCAAAGGAGTTGAAAACATGTTTACACAAAATTCTGCACATGGATGTTTATAGAAGTTTTATTTATAATTGTCGAAACTTGGAAGCAACTGAGATTTACTGAGATCAGTAGGTGACTGGAAACTATGGTGCACCCAGACAAAGGGACATTATTCAACACTTAGAAAAAAAGCTATCAAGCCATGAAAAGGCATGCAGGAAGCTGAGATGTATATCACTAAGTGAAAGAAGCCAATCTGAACAGGCTAGATGCTGTATGATTTCAACTATAGGCATACCTCAGATACTGTGGATTTGATTCCAGACAACTGCAATAAACCAAATATCACAATAAAGCAAGTGAATGAATTTTTGCTTTCTCAGTGCATATAAAAGTTATGTTTATACTATACTACAGTCTATTAAGTGTGTAATAGCATTATGTCTAGAAAAACAATGTGTGTGTGTGTGTGTGTGTATTTTATTGAAATGGAGTCTCACTCTGTCGCCCAGGCTGGAGTGCAGTGCTGTGATCTTGGCTCATTTCAACCTCCACCTCCTGAGTTCAAGCAATTCTCCCACCTCAGCCTCCCGAGTAGCTGGGATTACAGGCGCATGCCACCACACCAGGCTAGTTTTTGTATTTTTAGTAAAGATGGGGTTTCACCATGTTGCCCAGGCTGGTCTCAAACTCCTGACCTCAAGTGATCTGCCCTCCTCAGCCTTCCAAAGTGCTGGCATTACAGGCGTGAGCCACTGCACCTGGCCACCAATGTACATATTTTAATCAAAAATATTTTATGGCTGGGCAGGGTGGCTCATGCCTGTAATCCCAACACTTTTGGAGGCCGAGGCAGGCGGATCATGAGGTCAGGAGATCTAGACCATCTTGGCCAACATGGTGAAACCCCGTCTCTATTAAAATGCAAAAAATTAGCGGGGTATGGTGGCGTGCACCTGTAGTCCCAGCTACTCGGGAGGCTGAGGTAGGGGAATCACTTGAACCTGGGAGGTGGAGGTTGCAGTGAGCCAAGATCATGCCATTGCACTCCAGCCTGGCGACAGAGCAAGACTCCATCCAAAAAAAAAAAATATATATATATATATATATATAATATAACTAAAAAATGTGAATTATTATCTGAGCCTTCAGTGAATTATAATCTTTTTGCTGGTGGAGGGTCTTGCCTTGATATTTGCTGAAGATTAAGGTGGCTCTGGCAATTTCTTAAAATAAAATAACAATAAAGTTTCCTACATGAATTGACTCTTCCTTTCATGAAAAATTTCTCTGTAGCATGCAATACTGTTTTGATATCATTTTACACATGGTAGGGCTTCTTTGAAAATTGGAGTTCATTCTCTCACATCCTGCCATTACTTTATCTACTAAGTTTATTTAATATTCTAAATTCTTTGCTGTCATTTCAACAATGTTTACACCACATTCACCGGAATATATTCCATTTCAGGAAACCACATTCTTTGCTTATCCATAAGAAGCAACTCCTCATTGGTTCAAGTGTGATCATGAGATTACAGCAATTCACTCACATCTTCAAGCTCCACTTCTAATTCTTTTGTTATGGTCACCACATGTACAGTTACTTTCTCCACTTAAGTCTCAAACCCCTCAAAGTCATCCATGAGTATTGGAATTAAGTTCTTCCAACTTCCTATGAATGTTGGTATTTTCATCTCCTCCCATGAATTATGAATGTTCTTAATGGCTTCTAGAATGGTGAATCCCTTCCAAAAGGTTTTCAATTTATTTTGCCCCCAGATCTTTCAGAGGAATCACTATCTATGGAAGCTGTAGCCTTACAAAGTGTATTTCTTAAATAATACTACTTAAAAATTAAAATTACTCCTTGATCCATGGAGTACAGAATAGATGTTGTGTTAGCAGGCATGAAAACAACATCCATTTCCTTGTACATCTCCATCAGAGTTCATGGATGACTAGGTACATTATCAGTGAGCAGTAATATTTTGAAAGGAATCTTTTTATCTGAGCAATAGGTCTCAATAATGGGCTTAAAATATCCAATAAGCCATGCTGTAAACAGATGTGCTATCATTCAGACTTCATTGCTGCATGTATAGAGCACAAGGAGAATAGATTTAGGATAATTCTTATGGACTCCAGGATTTTCAGAAAGATAAAAGAGCATTGACTTCAACTGAAAGTCACCAATTGCATTAGCCCCCAACAAGAAAGTCAGCTTGTCCCTCAAAGCTCTGAAGCCAGCATTGGCTACTTCTCTCTAGCTTTGAAATTCTAATGGAATCGTCTTTTGATTGGATGTTGTTTCCTCTACATTGAACATCTGCTGTTTACTGTAGCCACCTTCATCAATGATCTTAGCTAGATTTTCTGTATAACCTGATGCAGTGTCTGTATCAGCACTTGCTGCTTCACTTTGCACTTACCCGTTATAGAGAAGGCTTTTTTCCTCATGAACCAAATTCTGCTAGCTTGAAACTTTTCTTCCACAGCGTCTTCACCTCTTGGCCTTCATAGAGTTGAGGAAAATTACGGCCTTGCTCTGGGTTATGTTTTGGCTTAAGGAAATGTTGTAGCTGGTTTGATCTTCTAGCCAGACCACTAAAACTTTCTCCATATCAGCAATAAACCTGTTTGACTTTCTTATTCTTGTGTGCAGTGGAGTAACACTTTTAATTTTCTTCAACAACTTTTTCTTTGCAGTCACAGCTTGACTGTTTGACACAAGAGGCCCAGCTTTTGCCCTGTCTTGCCTTTTGACATGCCTTCCTCACCAAGTTTAATCATTTGTAGCTTTTTATTTAATGCAGCTCCCCCTTTCACTTGAACACTTAGAAGACATTGTAGAGTTATTCATTGGCCTAATTTCAATATCATTTATCTCAGGCAAGAGGGAGGCCTGAGGGGTGGGAGGAAAGAAAAGGAGGGAGAAAGGGATAGGGAATAGCTGGTTGTTGGAGCAGTCAAAACATACATAATATTTATTGATTAAATTTGCCATCTTACATGGGCATGGTTCAGGGCACCCCAAAATGATTATAATAGAAACATCAAAGATCACTGATCACGGATCTCCATAACAGATACGATAATAATGGAAAAGTTTGAAATATTGCAAGAACGACCAAAATGTGGCACAGAGACATGAAGTGAGCACATGCTGTTGGAAAAATGGCACCAATAGACTTGCTCCCTGCAGGATGCCACAAAATTCCAATTTGTAAAAAATGTAATGTTTGCAAAGTAAAATAAAGTGCAATAAAACAAGGTATGCCTATATATGACATTCTAGAAAGGGCAAAACTATGGAGAGGGTAAATGGATCAGTGGTTAGTATGGGTTAGGGGAATAGGAAGAATCAATAGGAAGAGGACCAAGCATTTTTGACCGAGTGAAACTATTCTCTATGATGTCAAGTGGTGGATACATGTCATTATGCATTTGTCAGAACCCATGGAATGTATAACACCAAGAATGTACCCTAATGTAAACTGTGGACTTTGGGTAATCATTATCCTTCGTTATAGGTTCTTTGATTGTAACAAATGTAACACTCTGAAGGAGGATATTGATAATGGGGAAAGCTATGCATGTGTAGGGATGGGCTATATGAGAACTACTTATTTTCCACTCTGTTTTGCTGTGGACCTGAAACTGCTCTAAAAATCAAGGTTATTAATTTAAAAAAAGTAGAGGGCATAGAACCGAGTCACCACCCTAGTGTCCCTTCTTTCCACACGGCTGATTTTATCTTCTAACAGCAGGGGCTATTGTAGCCAAAAGTCCTTGCCAAACCATATGAGCTTCTCAATTTTTATTTCATGGAAGTCCACTGGGTAACACAAGAAAAGCAAGCCTCCATCAGGCTAGCAAGTAGTCAAAAGCAAATAGTGCCTACTGTGCCCAGGGCGCTGTTCTGAGTGCTAGGAAGACATCTGTGAACAAAACAGACATCAGCCCTGTTCCCATGGAGAAAGACACAATAAAAATAAGTAAAAATCTATCAGATGGGGATAAATATTGTGAACAGAAAATAAAAGCACCTAGGAAGGGCAGAGTGTGCTGAGGGGTGGGTGAGGGAGGCTGTCACTTCATACAACATGAGCATTGTTCAGAAAGCAATAAGACAGTTGTCTATTAGGTATCTGGAAAAAAACCTTTCCAAGTGAAGGGACAAGACTGGAATGTGAGTGGAGTTGGGAGGAGGCAGAGAAAAGAGAGGGATTGGGTATCAGGCAGCTCACAATTATATTGCAATCCTATTAGGTGACAATTGGAATGCAAATTATACATGAAATTCTGTGGAGTACTGAGAGATTTATTTGTTGTAGAAACCAGGGCACTGACCGCCTACTAGATAGTGATGTTATTGGGGGTCTCAGTTACCCCAAAGGGGGCTTTTTCCTGTTTGGTGTTGCAAAAGCCAATACACAAAACTGAAAGTGAGTGTCAAGCAGTACTGTCTTTATTCAATCATCATGGAATTGGAGAAGTGGGAACATAGCTCATAAATTAATTTCCCAGCTCCTGAGAACCAGGCAGTTACAAATACAGGGTATCTTTAACATAGGGGGTTGGGTTGAAGAGCAAGGGGAGGAATATTTATGCTTTTCTTTTGAAGGGAGTGAGACTTTCCTGGAATCAAGGAGCTGCCTCTTTTCTATTTTTTCTTGGTCTGCTCCAGTCATTGTCATGGTGACTGTCAACTGTCATGATACTGGTGGGAGTGTCATTCAGCATGGAAATTGGATTATAATGAAGCTAGAAGTTCTTCAGAGGTTGAGTAAGCTGCAGTTTTGGATTTTGCTAACTTCAGCTGGTTTATTTCTAAGAAGGAACTCCTGACCACAGACATCCTGTTTGCTAAAAATAAGCAGAGTTAAAGCTGAATAGGAATCTAGTTTTGACGTATTGGCATTGCACTGGGCAACATAAGTGGGCTAGGAGTCCAACTAATACATGTAGGCACTGCAGTGGGTAACAGTGAGTGACTAATTCCAGTTGTGTTTTGCTTCAAGAACTTGCTTTTTCTATTAGACTGAGATATCTTGCTAATCTTAATGAGGCATCATCAAGTCATTAACTGGTTGAGCCCAATCACTTTGTCCATATTTTCAGCCTTCACAGGAGTCAGGCTGGATCAGATAAAGGATATACCTTCTTTTCCTCATAGATCCTTGTGAGAGTTTCTGCTTATACTTTTTTTTTTTTTATTTAATCAATTTTCCCTGGCAGGTCTGCCTTTTAATAGGTATAAAGAAAAGCCAGGCTTTGGTCTACACCATATACAACCTCAAAGAGTTTTAGTTAATGTTTCTTTTACCAAAAAATGCTCAACTAGGTTTTCTGAATACATCTCCTTAACTGCAGATTTCTCCCGGTGGCTTTTGACAGAGGCATGGCAGTATGGAGTTAAGGATGCTGGCCAGTGCGCACTCAGCACCTCCCAAGATCTTTTTTTTTTTTTTTTTTTTGAGACCGAGTCTCGCTCTATCGCCCAGGCTGGAGTGCAGTGGCGCAATCTCGGCTCACTGCAAAGCTCCGCCTCCTGGGTTCACGCCATTCTCCTGCCTCAGCCTCCCGAGTAGCTGGGACTACAGGCGCCCACCACCATGCCCGGCTAATTTTTTGTATTTTTAGTAGAGACGGGGTTTCACCGTGTTAGCCAGGATGATCTCGATCTCCTGACCTCGTGATCTGCCCGCCTCGGCCTCCCAAAGTTCTGGGATTACAGGCGTGAGCCACTGCGCCCGGCGCACCTCCCAAGTTCTGTAGTCTTAAGCAGGCTAGTTACACTTTTTAGTCTTCCTTATTTGTAACATGTGATATTAATATCAGTGTCCATCTCATAGGATTCTACATGTGAAGAGCTCAGATAACATTGTATGTACTCAAAGAGCATTCGTTGTTATGATGTTGTCTGTTAGGATTTTTTTTTTTTTTTAGACGCAGTCTCGCTCCTGTTGCCCAGGCTAGAGTGCAATGGCGCGATCTCAGCTGACTGCAACCTCCGCCTTCCGAGTTCAAGCGATTCTCCTGCCTCAGCCTCCTGAGTAGCTGGGATTACAGGCATGAGCCACCACATCCGGCTGATTTTGTATTTTTAGTAGAGATGGGGCTTCTATATGTTGGTCAGGTTGGTCTCAAACTCCCGACCTCAGTTGATCCACCCACCTCGGCCTCCCAAAGTTCTGGGATTACAGACATGAGCCATCACACCCGGCTTCTGTTAGGATTTTTAAGCATAATGGTCTATTCAGAAATGGAATTGTGACATAATTATTATAGAAGCAGAGTGTGGAATCTTTATTGCTTATATTCCAGTTCTTACCATTAACTCTGTGATCCAAGTACCACCTAAAACTACTAGCACATATCCTTCAAGATATGATAGACTAAATTATGCTACATTTTTAAAATGTTGTAATTGCTTTATGAATATCTTTTCTTCTAAGCAACCTAACTCAAAATTATTTTCAGTGGTTGGGGTTTTCATTGAGGGTTCACGTTGTAGGTTTTAGTAAGTATTGAGCAAAGAACACCAAAAACAATCAAGAAAAAAATGTTAGAAAATGAGTAACAAAAGCTATCATTTATAGTTTGCTTCTGTGCCAATCATTGTGCTTATGGGTTAATTTAGATTACAATGATTCTGTGTTTATTTAGCATCCCATTTGATGGCATAAGATTATAGTGAAGGAAATCCAGTCACACACTGCATTTCTGCAACTCTTATGGAAACTAGCTGTATCCTATACTGATCCTTTTTTCAAGCGTGATAGGAGATTTTGCCACCTCAAAAAGATAATAACCTCTTGGAAGGCGGGTGGGATGCCTCAGATGGTGGTTTCTGAACTCCACAGAGCGACTTATTTCAGCTCTGTGTATACAGTAAATACTTAAATAGAGACATACTTTCAAATGTTCTAAAAGCTACTAAGATATATTTGTAAAAACGTAGTGTAAGGATTAAAGATCAAAAGCAGAAGAAAGTAAGCCTTGATTTAATCACTTGCAGATTTATTTTCATGGAATGCTTATTTTGTTAAGCTTTTAGCTTCTTCTGGCACAGTATAGGTGTTGACAGAAGCTCTCTTTTTCATTTATAGATAAGTCAACCTGTAAACAAAGCCTGAAAATAAAAATGCTTGCTTTGAAATGATTTTTTAAAAATGGTACAAGTGAAGAATTCAAGGCTGCATATGTCGCATCTTAATTATGACTATTTAAGATACACATTTTAAGATCCTTTCCTTTTTTTGTTTTTTGTTTTTCTATTACAACAGTAGTCACTTTATGGTTAGTCCAGGCTGGCATTTCTGTTTGCAATTTTCATTTAAGATAATTTTATAGTTCCTCTTTCTTACGAAATTAAGATCCATACCTTTCTTTTTTTTTCTTTGTCTTTGATCTTATGCTTCCCCAAGTGTGTTGCTCAGAACACTAATCTCATTAGATATCCCTCAAGAATGGATCCTATCATCAAATATGTTTGGAAAATGTCGCATGAAATATGCTTTTAAGAGGTTCAATGTATATTAGAATAATATAGTTTGTGAAAAGTTATGAAGTAAAGGAACATTAAATGTTGCCTAATCACATATTTCTCAATATTTTTTGTTCTTGGAAAATGTCCTCTCCCATACCTAGGGATGATAGTTAAAATATTTAACCAGCATATCGGCTCACAAGCCAGTCTGCTGCCTAACCTCTTTGTTGGGCAAAAAGCATCCTCTGCTCTTTTAGAGCTCATGTCCATAGGAGACTACAGCTCCCATAAATGTGCGACTAGAACTGGAAGCATCTCTTAGCTGTGAATCAGGACTTACAGAGGGGCACTAGAAATTGCCTTCCATGACCGGGCGTGGTGGCTCATGCCTGTAATCCCAGTACTTTGGGAGGCCGAGGTGGGTGAATCACAAGGTCAGGAGATCGAGACCATCCTGGCTAACACGGTGAAACCCCATCTCTACTAAAAATACAAAACATTAGCTGGGCATGGTGGCGGGCGCCTGTAGTCCCAGCTACTCGGGATGCTGAGGCAGGAGAATGGCGTGAACCCAGGAGGCGGAGCTTGCAGTGAGCCGAGATTGCGCCACTGCACTCCAGCCTGGGTGACAGAGCGAGACTCCGTCTCAAAATAATAATAATAATAATAATAATAACAAAAGAAAGAAATTGCCTTCCATGATGCAGTGCCAACCCAAGGTCACTGTGTCCCCCACTGGGGAGCAGCCTGATTGGCAAAGGCATCGACAGATCAGCACAGGTGTGTTGGTCTTGGTGCTGGAGCAAGTTTTTTGAGGATCTCTGCTGTGCCAGGCCTCAATCTTTTGATTGCTAGACTGTGAGGAAACTTGAGAGGCCCCTGAGTGAGAGACCATAGGTGATAAGCCTCGCAGGAACAACTACTCAGAGAACTTGGTGCAGTAACTATTTATCAACTGGTTTGAAAGTATTTACTATTTTTACTTCTGTACCACCATACCAATGTACGCCGGCTGATTGTTGGTTCTACCGATGAAACTTGTCAACACTCTATCTAATTCCAGTTCTTTGGGACACGCTTGGACAACCGCTGATCTGTACCACTTGGATGTGTGAAAATGCATCATTTTCTCTCTATCAATTGCTTATTACAAAGCCATGATGTTTAAATAGGCAATTCTGCTCTAGTGGAGAATTATCAAAATTTGGGTTAACTTTTGAGCTTTGTAAAATCAAGAAACAAGTGATGGCACCAAAAAATAATGATAGATACCTTGAGGGATCTGGATTGGTGGATGAATTATGTTACAATAAGATAAAAATGTCCAATAATATAGTGTAAGCTTTCTGAAAAAAATGTTGCTAATGTAAATCTGACTAAGTCACTCTATTGTCATCTTGTCACATTGGGATTAGAGTTTAATACTCACCCACTCACCCACCCACACAAACACACACACACATGCAAATAAGGATGATTGTATGTAGCATCCTTATAATATAATCCTCATTTGCCTTTCTATGGCTTGTTTTTTAAATGTGAAAATCTTCATCGAGTAGCTCAGGGATCAAGTTAATAGAAATTATAAGAAACTCTTCACACTCTCTATAGACTAGTTCCTACTTTTTTAGTCTCTTTTTTCATTATTCCACTAGGAAAATTGAACCATTTTCTTGTCTCTCATGTAGTCTTACCGATTTCCACCTATCATCAGGCTAAATTTATTAATATAGCAGTATTTACATGTTTCATTCTTCTCCCACCATCCCCGCCCCCAGGTAGATTTTGCATCTGGTTTTTTTGTTCTGGAACTTGTGAGTATTGTTCAGAATAATGAATAGAAAAAACTGTACAATAAAAGGAGATAGAATAAGGCTAGCAAGATGCGGGAGACACACAAGAAAGAGAATGTTGACTCAGGAGGTTAAGATAAGAATGGAAAAAAAGACAAAACACCAAGAGTGGACTAGGGGCCGGGTGCCTTGGCTCACACCTGTAATCCCAGAACTTCGAGAGTTTGAGGCGGGTGGATCACCTAAGGTCAGGAGTTCAAGGCCAGCCTGACCAACATGGTGAAACCCCATTTCTACTAAAAATACAAAAATTAGCTGGATGTGGTGATGTGTGCCTGTAATCCCAGCTACTCGGGAGGCTGAGGCAGGAGAATCGATCGAACCCAGAAGGCGGAAGTTGCGGTGAGCAGAGATCACCCAACTGCACTCCAGCCTGGGTGACAGAGTGAGACTCCGTCTCAAAAAAGAAAAAAAAAAAAAAAAAAGCGAAAACAAAGTGGACTGGGCTAGGAAAGAATTCTTCGATATTTCTTAGAGAATACCAGGGAATTCCCTCAAACAAGCTATGAATTTTGGAGAAAAAGATAGATTTGGAAGGAAGATGTTAAGAAGTTTTGTTGTGATTCATTAATAAGATATCCTGTGAAATAGCTCTGGAATGCTCCTCAAATATTCTTGACTATCAAGCTAATGTGTGTTTGATTATAGTAGTGCAGAGACTGGTCCTGAAATAAGCCAGGTATATATTTTTGTTACAAAGGTAACATCTAGTCTGTGATGCTCTTTCTAATTTTGTTTTCTAAACTTACCCATTTTCAAGGTTCATAGTTCTTTCAAGAAGTTTTGCGTAGTACTTTGTTCCTCAGCGATTAGGAATGGCATCTAAATCCTCTGAAGTGTTGACCGTTTTCTGTTTGCCATCTATGTATAAATTTTAGGAAGAAATATCTTGAATTTCCAGCCAGAATAAATCCTTAATTCCTAGCTCCAGGATCACTTTTATGCAGCTTTCTTGCTCCAGTGTTTGGTCCACTGTGTATACTGAATGGATGGTAGTGAGGTTGTTAACATGCAATTCTGCTTAGTCGTTATGGCCTATAGGAATTTGTAACTTTTACCAGTTTCAGAAATTAATTAAGATGATTACAATTTTTGTGTTTTTCGAATTAAATCAACTTTAATTTCTAAGCATTGTTAACTCATATCTCTATCTTTGCACTTAACATATTCTAAATATTTGTTTATATTTCTTTCTTTCAAATAAAATTGTGACATACTTGAGAGTAGAGGCTGTGTGCTATGTCCTTACACTTAGCAACACTGTCTGGTAAGTCTTAGGAGTGCTACAAATGTGAATGAATGAATGAATGAATTTTACAAACAATCTCCTAAGAAAAGAAAGCTGAGAGGAAATTTTATATCATTTTATGTCTATGTCCTTTTTATTTATTTATTTATTTTTTTTGAGATGGAGTCTTGCTCTGGACAAGACTCCGCCCAGGCTGGAGTGCAGTGGCACGATCTTGGCTCACTGCAACCTCCACCTCCCGGGTTTAATCAGTTCTCCTGCCTTGGCCTCCCGAGTAGCTGGGATTATAGACGACTGCCACCATGCTTGGCTAATTTTTGTATTTTTAGTAGAGACAGGGTTTCACTATGTTGGCCAGGCTGGTCTCAAACTCCTGACCTCGTGACCTGCCTGCCTCAGCCTCCCAAAGTGCTGAGATTACAGGTGTGAGCCAGTGTGCCTGGCCTTTTTTTGTTTTGTTTTGAAACAGAGTCTTGCTCTGTGGTCCAGGCTGGAGTGCAGTGGTGTGATCTCGGCTCACTACAGTCTCTGCCTCCTGGTTTCAAGTGATTCTTGTGCCTCAGCCTCCCAAGTAGCTCGGACTACAGGCATGTGCCATCAGGCCAGGCTAATTTTTGCATTTTTGATAGAGAAGGAGTGTCGCAACGTTGGCCAGGCTTGTCTCGAATTCCTGACCTCAAGTGATTCACCCGTCTTGGTTTCCTAAAGTGCTGGTATTACAGGCGTGAGCCACTGTGCCCAGCCCTATATTCTTTAAATTTTTTTAAAAAAAAAAAAAAGGAAAAAAAAAAAAAGCTGAGGTATAATGAAAGCAACATGGGGCCTAGGCGAAAATACCTGAATTCAATTTCTAGCTGTCCATTTATCAGGAAATTTTTTAAATTTCTTTGAATAAGTCACTGAAGTTCAGCCATTTTCATCAAAGACAGATAATAATCCCTATTGTACATAGTTGTCATGATGATATAATAAGATTAAAATTCTGAAATAGAGTAGACCTTCATAGAGAAGGTAATTAAAAGCAATTTATTTAATCCGAGTGAATAATTTATTGACCAATGGCTAAAGCTGAGAGGCTCTATAGGAAAAAACAGTGTCAGTGTCGAGAAGTCATGTCCTCCTGACTCAGGATTGCTTAACACTGGAAAAGGCTATGGAGTATGAAATTCATGAAATCTCACTGATTATTGAGACATTTTCTTGCTCTTAAATAATAAGAAAAGACTGACTGACCTTTGAAGGGACTGACCCACCATATATTCCCTGACTCATGAAAGAAAACACAATTTGTTGATAAATCAGGAGAACCTGCTTTTCTACTGGGCCAAACATAAAGTAAAAGTTTGGAAATGTCATATCTGACTAAAAACTCTTTAATTCTTTGGTCAAATCAAGGGACACCCTCATCTCTTAATCTTTTTAAATTAACCACATTCTTTATGCAATGTGCGTACATTAAGGAGCAGTAGAGAGATGGAGTTTTAATTTTTACCAATTCAATCTAAATGCAAATTTTAACCACTCACATGATGCTACTGTGTACATAATTAAGCATCATTATATACTACATGAATCATTGAGAAACCTCCTGAGAGCCATTCTACTGTGTAAAGCATGCATTATACTGACAAGCAGCCAAATGACATATACTTCTGTCCTCATTAATGCTCTTTTTGGATTATAGGTCAACCGATTATGGAACAACCTATGAGAAGCTGAATGATAAAGTTGGTTTGAAAACCATTTTGAGCTATCTCTATGTGTGTCCTACCAACAAGCGTAAGGTAAGAAATGTATATTCAGCATGCTACTCATTCATGATGTGACTTCTGTCTTGGTTGGCTAACCACTCTAGCTACCTAAAAATCCATTACAGTTAATCTGGGATTAGAAATGTAAAGATGGGTTGATGGATGTTAAGATTGTAAAATGTCTGACACATCATAATTTTCAGATCAGCAGCTGTGAATGTAAGAGGGTGAGGGATAGGTAGATCATTACCATTTCCAAAAGGCAGCTACAAAGAATGAGTCTTGTTGGGTGGATGCTGCTGACTCTCTAGTAAGAGTTCTGACCAGTCAATCAGAAGAGTCAGAATGAGTCTTGACAAGACAGCAGAAAAGATGGATTTTCATCTGATGTCCCAGTTTTTCCTTGACATGGAACAAATAGATTAACTAGAATTTAAGTGAATGCATTGTCCTGCAGCAGATAGGAAGTTTCATTTTTAAAGTTTGTTCAGTCTGCACACAAATGTCAGGATGAATGCAGTGCATTTAGCAGAATAGAGTAGCTTGGAAAGAGTGATAAGATTAGTCCCTTCTGAGCATGGATCTTAGCTTCAAGAAGCCTTGGAGATCATCATCTACAACACCGTTATTTTACAGATAAGAAAACTGAGATTCAGAGGAAAGAAATAGTTTGTGCCCATTGCAGAGTTATGGCCATAATTAGGACTAGAGTTAAGGCGTCTTGGTTAGCAGTCATACTTTTTCCACTATGTCATACATCTCCTATTATGAGAGCTTATCTACTCCTCAGGTATGTCATTTTTTAGGAAGAAAATATTGTTTTTAAATGAGGAAGACATTTATTTGTCCCTGAAGGGGAGTGGTACTACATCTATACCTTTATTTTCATAAACTTGCATTATCAAATTCCAAATTCTGACATACGATTGTTAAGTAGTACATAGGTTACATGAACTAATAGTATTAATCAGGAAATAGAAACGTGTCATTCATTAACATACCCTAAACCATAATGTGTTATGAAGGTAGCACTGATGTCTATGTTCTCATCTCAGATTTTTCATTAGCTACTGTTAGTGACCTTGGGTAGGGTCTGCATTTTGCCATCTGGAATATGGAAGGTGATGAAAATATCTCTTAAGCAATCACTCTCAATTCTGGCTGCTTGTCAAAAGTGGTCCCCAAACGTGCAAGCTCTAGCCCCACCACTGTTGCTCTGGATTAGGGCTCAGGTAACTATATCTTACTAAAGCTCCCCAGATGCTTCTGATAGGTATCTAGGATTAAGAACCACTAATATAAAGTGTAATGTTCATTCTGGCTGTAAGCATTTCAAGTTCTTCAGTAGAAACAGCATAACTTTTCAGTTGAGCATAGACTCTGGAGTAAGAAGAAGAGAGAAAACCCAGCTAAACCTATTACCAAGTATATAAGCATGGTGATTTACTTAATCTCTCCAAGCACAGTGGGATTCGGTTTAAAAGGGGGACAGTTACAGTACCTACCTACCTCGTGTGGGAAGTTGTAAGGATTATATGAAATTAGGCATTTCAGGTGCTTAGCACAGAATAGTAAAAGCTTAATTAATGTTTTCTCTTCATTCTTTTTTCTTGCTGAAGTGTCCAGCAGAACTTGATGATAGAAATTTTCTTCTAAGCTCTTCTGTACTTTAGACATTAACAATTTATGGCTTTTGAATGTTTGAAATATGGCTAGTGTTACTGAGTAATTGGATTTTAAATTTCATTTAATTTTAATTAATTTAAATTGATATAGCTGTGGGTGGCTGATGGCCACAGTACCACACAACCAATACTGTCAACCTCACAAATTTAGAACTACACCCAAACATTCCTATCTTCCCTTAATTGGCTGGCTACTTCATCAACAATTACACCTAAACAATTTTGATCTGCTGTATGCAGTCCCAAATTAAGGAACTGAACTTATATCTTTTATTTTTATGATGAAATTTAGTTGTTTGTTGGCTTTGTATCGATTTTTACAATCTCTCTTAATTTTTCTTCTAGTTCACATTTTTAGCAAATTTAATTTAACAGTCAACAAACTGTATGCTAGGCAATGTGCTATGCACTGTAGGATGTAAAGAGAAATAAGCCAGCAACTCATCCTCAGAGGTCCTATATTCTAGTACTAAATGTGGCATGACGTTTTGTAATTGAAAGATCCCTGAACTAAGATTCAGAAATCTAAGTCCCTGCCTTGAATCTACTTCCACCTAACAGGTGACTCTGGGTGAATCATTTACATTTTCTCCATTTGTAAACTAATATAGGAAAATGGAAGACATTTATGCCTGGAAGAGACCTCAGAGTAATCAATGATAGTCTCTGTTTCACTGATGCTGTTAGAGAGAAACATGAAAAAAAAAAAAAAAAAGATGCCAAATATCAAATCTGACTATAGGCTTTTCTGTAGCTGCAGAATATATGGTGATGATCCAGAAACTCCAGGATTGTTTCAGGAGCAGGACTTAAGGAGTGAGATGCTCAAGTCCAGATATAGCTGCTAAGACTGGAAGGGAAGCAGAGAGGTAATAATACAGCAAAGAGCCTAACCATCAAATCCACTCAAGTCAATATACCATGAATCAGGCTGCATAATTAGTCCATAGTTATCTGAAGGACGTTTAAAAGGGCATTTAGCCATGGGCATTTTACTGTTCTTAAGACTTGACACACCCTAGTTCTACAAAAAGAGAAGTCCCTGTGCATGACTATGAGGGAATGGCTTTCTCTGGGACTGTTACCCTTCAGAGCAGAGGTGGTCCTGAGCTGTTTAAATCACAATGTTATGAGTGAACCTAAAGGAAGGGATCTTTTCCTCTATAGATAAATGAGGCCTTCATGGTCACTTTCTGAGATGCTGATAGATTTAAGAAATATTGGAGGACGATGAACGTCTTAACAATGGTACACAAATCAATAAAGTTGACATCGCAGTATATTTGTGCATAGTTTTTCTACTTATAAGGTGAATTTATCACCATGAAATATGTACTCCGCCCACCCAAAGGACATATTTGAATCAAAGAGATAGTACTTGCACAACATTTTAAAGTGTGAATATATTTTCTCCAATCAATGAGAATTTATGTTAAAACAAAAAGAAAGAAATTTCAGGCTCTGTTAATTATGCAGAACAAAGGCAGTGCTCACATTTGCTCCAATTCTTCTAGGACTTAAGCTATCCTCCAGTGAAAAGGGCAGACTCCTTTAAAAAGTTGTATTAATTCTCTCAGGTCTCCGCGGTGCTATCTAGCAAGTCAAAATCTTTTGTACCAGATACTTCTCTCTGCTTTTCACGCTAGTGGGAGCAACTGGAATAAAACTGACAACATCAGGGTAACTCTCAGCATTCCCGGAAACCTGTTTTGCCTTCACATTCTTATAGCTATTTTTAGCCATTTGTGCGGACAAGAGCAGTTCTTCAATCATCATGTTGGAAACAGCAGGCTTCATGCCTTGCCTTTGCAGGCAGCTTGTTAGGGGTACTACCGGGGATCAGAGTCCAGAATAAAGCAGGATCTTATTTACAGTTTAAATTAATGATCATCCATCGACTGTTTCCCTGCAAGCCTGCTGTAAATTACAGCAGCTTTCCTTGGCTAGGTCTGTTACAGTAAAAACTGTAATCTCAACATATGTCAGTGTAAGAAATCTTGACTAAGAGATAGAAAGAGGGGTCCTAGGTATTAGCCTAGATTGTTCTTTCAAAGGAAACCTGCATCTGGCCGCTGATATATGAGGTTAGCCCAGAAGAAAAGGCTGAGTGGTCCCAGTGCCAGAGGAGAGGCAGGCTGGCTATCTGTCACGATGTCTCAGAGGGAGAGCAGTTCCCCCCACCCCAGTTCATGATAAATCCCAAGGCTTGTTTGTGTCAGCAGAGGTTTATTGGTCACATAAAGTCTGCTGTAAGAAAAGATGATTTAACCTGTACCGGAAAGGAACAGCTGGGATGCAGAAGGTGATGGGAAGAACTAATACAAATGTAGCAAAGAAAAAAAAAAAACTTGGCTGGGCGCAGTGGCTCACGCCTGTAATCCCAGCACTATGGGAGGCCGAGGCGGGTGGATCACGAGGTCAGGAGATTGAGACCATCCTGGCTAACATGGTGAAACCCCGTCTCTACTAAAAATACAAAATAATTAGCCAGGCGTGGTGGCGGGTGCCTGTAGTCCCAGCTACTCAGGAGGCTGAGGCAGGAGAATGGCGTGAACCTGGGAGACGGACGTTACAGTGAGCTGAGATCGCGCCACTGCACTCCAGCCTGGGTGACAGAGCGAGACTCAGTCTCAAAAAAAAAAAAAAAAAAAAGTTGAAATCTCAATTTCACTCTCAAATTCTCTGAGTTGATGTGTATTCTGCCTAAAAAGAAAACTTCTATATACTCTGTGTGTCTTTATCAGCCATACCTTTCCCATCACCCCCAACTAACCCAAGCTGTTCTCCCTTCACAAGGATCGTGTAACATCTTCAAGGATTAAAGAATATAAAACCCCTAGTGGAATTCACTGGGGAATAAAAGGAAAAAAAAGTGTTTTGTTTTGGTTTTTTACTTGGAAAAGCCAATTCTTTTAGTTGTTTTATCCTTGTGGTCTCAGCACACTATCTAGCAAAGAAAAAACTAGACAGTATTTGTTCTTTATGTTTTCTGCACCCCCTTCACACTCCAGTTTTTTCTCATTTCTGTGTTATCACCACTTAATTTACATCATTCCTGCTGAGAGACTCTTCTAAGACTTTCATTCTATAAAGAGGACCCTAGCTCCTCAGAATACATTGGTCATTCCTACGGGTCTCTTGGTACATACCAGCATTAAACACTGTGTTTTCTCCAGATGTTTAAGTTTTAATTACCCTATTATATGTGGCACTTTCTAAATAAGGGTTTGATTATTGACTTCTTGTCTCTTTATATCTGAGCATGCTTAATTCCTCTTGTCATTTGGTTGAGTAGTTTGTGTATCATGTATGTGACTTTTTTTTTTTTTTTTTGAGATGAAGTCTCACTCTATTGCCCAGGCTGGAGTGCAGTGGCACAATCTCGGCTCACTGCAACCTCCGCCTCCCGGGTTCAAAAAATTCTCTGCCTCAGCCTCCCGAGCAGCTGGGATTACAGGCGTCTACTACCACACCCAGCTAATTTTCATATTTTTAGTAGAGGTGGGGTTTTACCATCTTGGCCAGGCTGGTCTTGAACTCCTGACCTCATGATCCACCCGCCTCGGCCTCCCAAAGTGCTGGGATTACAGGTGTGGGCCACCACACCCAGCCTTTTTTTTTTTTTTTTGAGATAGAGTCTTGCTCTGTTGCCTAGGCTGGAGTACAGTGGCACAACCGCAACCTCCGCCTCCTGAGTTGAAGCAATCCTTCTGCCTCAGCCTCCTGAGTAGCTGGGACTAAAGGCATGCACCACCACACCCAACTAATTTTTGTACTTTTGGTAGAGATGGGATTTCACCATGTTAGCCAGGCTGGTTTCGAACTCCTGACCCCAGGTGATCCACCCGCCTCGGCCTCCCAAAGTGCTGGGATTACAAGCATGAGCCACCACGCCAGGCCCATGTATGTGACTTTTGAGGACAGCAAAGAGGAATGGTTGATAGGATCTGCCACCTTCTCTTAGGAAGAATCACGTATCATTGAATCTGAATCTAAAAGATTTTGGGGATATTAAAATTCTACTCTTTTCTTTAACAGATATGGAGACTGAGTCCCAGAGAGTTTAGTGACTTGTCTGAAGTTACATGCAGCTGGGGAATGATAAGCTAAGATCATTAGACCTTGAAAGTGAACCTTAAATGCCACCTCTTCCATAAAATTTAATCAATTTCCCTGAGGAGACTTGCTCACTCCCTCTTATCTCCAAGACATCCGTTTTCTTTTTTCTAGCACTTTACTCTCACTTCTGATTATAGTTGTTCTTGACCATGTCTAATACTCCCTTTAGAATGCGAGGACCTAGATGGCATAAAGTGCCTTAATCAGTTATGTATTCTTTAACGTGCCGAGCATAGGATTTTGGTATACAGTAGGTGTCCAATACATGACTGAATATTTGAATTGAACTTTGGTTCGCTTTTGGACTCCTAGGCTGAAACTTAAATGAAATGCTCTGTGAAATCAGCTTTGACTCCTTTCTTTTCTCTAACTATAAATTTAATTATTTCAAGTGAGTAAACAAGAACAGTAAAGAATCTCTGTAGGTTTTAGTCATTTCTAGGTCATAATGTATAATTTTGTCTGTTCTAACCAAGAAGAACATGATTAATATTTTAAATGCCAGGACTTTGCATAGCACTCACTTGACATTATCTAGGGAGGCCAAGAGGAGCTAGCGTATTGTATAATACATCAAAGGGGGTGCATGACATTCCCTTGGCGGACAAGCAACACTTGCTCATTCCACCTTAACTCTTTCATCTGTCACTTTGTACACAAGATCATCCATTTGCCTCTAATCTTTTTAACAAGGATGTATGTTTCATTCATAAAGAAATGGTCCAGGTGCGGTGGCTTACACCTGTAATCCCACCACTTTGAGAGGCCGAGGTGGGTGGATCACCTGA
Source organism: Homo sapiens (assembly GCF_000001405.40). NCBI lineage: Eukaryota > Metazoa > Chordata > Mammalia > Primates > Hominidae > Homo > Homo sapiens. The sequence continues at coordinate 106,823,014 of NC_000010.11, read as the reverse complement.
GGTCGGGAGTTTGAGACCAGCCTGGCCAATATGCTGAAACCCTGTCTCTACTAAAAATACAAAAAAATTAGCCGGGTGCGGTGGCAGGTGCCTGTAATCCCAGCTACTTGGGAGACTGAGGCGGGAGAATCACTTGAACCTGGGAGGTGGAGGTTGTGGTGAGCCGAGATCATACCACTGCACTCCAGCCTGGGCACAACAGAGCAATATTCAAAAAAAAAAAAAAAAAAAACCACACATGAATTCAGAGACATAGTGGAAGTGGCATTTTCCAAACTTCAATAAAAGTGACGTGTAGTAAGTAAATCCTTACTTCCCTACACTTAACCTGAGGAATGATGGCCAAAGGGAAAGGTCCTCTCCTTTGATCTTTTTTTGGGTACCGCTGAGTGTTTATACTGTTTCAGTCCATGAAGCATTGTTCTGTTTTCTTCCTGAACATTAAAAATATAAAATCCAAGAAAGCATGCTGCATCTCTCTTTTTACTTGGAGTGATTTTCCAACAGTAATCCCCTGGGTTTCAAATGAGCTACAGAATAATAAGTGCAGAATGCTCTCTTTGAAACAGGGTTGGAGTGCCAGGAGCAGTGCCCACTCCACAACCCCTTGTCACTCCAAGAAGTCCCTGCGGAAGCCTCTGGAACTCGTGGGCTCTTTGGAACATAGAGAAAAACAACACTGATCTAAGACACTCCTCTCTGTACACTGACCTATACCCGAAATTGCCATATATTCTATATTAGTTTATATAAATCAAAGCACCTATTATAACATTCATAAATTTAAAAATGCTAATAAAACTACACTCTTAAATTTTAATACAATATGTTACATTACACACTAAGTACCTAGTTGATTTTTCTGGGATATTATCTGTGTCTATCTAACACTGATGTAGTAAAAAATAAATTAATTAATGATAAATCAGGTTCAGGCAGTAAATTCTGATCAATGCATACATTCCAAAACTTACTTTTTCCTTCCTCCTATCTTTTCTTGTCCCCCATATCTGCTAATTTGCCTGGTTCTCAGAGGTGGTTTACTGCTTTACTTCATGTGGCATTAAGTACTTTTTTTTTTTTTTATTTTTTTGAGATGGAGTCTTGCTCTGTCACCCAGGCTGGAGTGCAGTGGCACGATCTCGGCTCACTGCAAGCTCTGCCTCCCAGGGTCACGCCATTCTCCTGCCTGAGACTCCCGAGTAGCTGGGACTACAGGCGCCCACCAACACGCCTGGCTAATTTTTTTGTATTTTTAGTAGAGACATGGTTTCACAGTCTTAGCCAGGATGGTCTTGATCTCCTGACCTCGGGATCCGCCCGCCTCGGCCTCCCAAAGTGCTGGGATTACAGGCATGAGCCACCATGCCCTGCCTAGTACAAAGTATTTTTTTGATAGAAAGAAGCTTCCTGCTTAATTAACATATTTGTTATTCTTCATTTGTAAGTGTTATGTCTATCACATATAAGAAGCATCTAATGCATTACATATTAATCATGAATTGGTGACTTTAAAAACTAAGTTATATCTGTATGATGATCAAGTTTATATGTTATTGACATTATAATTCAAAATTGTATTAGCTACATTTATGTATTTTTAAAAGATACAGGTATTTAGCTAGCTCAATAAATAGGTAGAAAGGTAATAGATAGGTCCACCTATAAATCTCTTCTAAGTTTAGATAATGCTTTTTTCATTAAAAAATAGACTCTATCTTTTGGTTTGATACCTTTTTAACAAATGAAATTAATCAAGGTAATGATAGCCTAAATTACTCTCTAAATATTATGAAGATTGATCTGGAAACTGCATGTTTTTTATATCACTGAGTGGTTCTTGGAAAATAGGTTGCCTCTGTGGCCAAGTGATCAGAAATTCTCAAATACAAAAGGAAACCTTTTGGAAGCTGACCATTCTTCAAGTAAGCATAATAGACTATCTGCGCAATCTTCTTTGAGAACAATTTGTTTTTAAAGTTATCTGTCTAATTATTTATTTATTTTTGTCTCATCATCTGTCCTTATTAGAGCTCATGTTCTCTGAGGTCTGGCTGGCCAAATATTAAGTGCCCATCCATTACCCTTTTATGAAGGTCAAATGCATTATTTCTGGTTGGTTCCAAGTTATGCTCTGCTGTGGAAAATGGTCAGAGGTCTTTTCAACATTCTGGTCTGTTTGCTTCCAGCACACTCCCTGTGGTTTCTCAGGGGTTTCCGTCATCTTGTGTTTGACATACTGTATCTAGAACATTTGTTTCTAGTGAATAGCCTGTGCTGCTCTTATATAAGATGGATGGAGATGAATGCTGTCCGCTACAGGAAATTTGCGATATTTACTAGGGTGGAGATGTTTCACTCCAATGTATCAGAACTGCCCCAAGCTTTCTCCTGGTGCTGTCATGAAAACAAAGTCAATGTGGATGAATCTTTAATAAAACCACTATTTCTCCCCTGGAGAAATTAAGAGTGCACCACCAGCCTCAGGGGCTAAATTGTTTCCATTCAAACATTTCTTTTGCTGACCTGACCTTTCCCTTGACCAGATCTTCTTTTGATGGTTTTGTCCCTTTGTTCCTCAAAGCATCACTTCCCTACTTTACTGGGTCCTTGACCTCTAATGTGCTCTTGTTTTACAACCTTTCAAGTCAAGTACTTAAATTAGGTTTTGCAGAACAAAAACTATAGCTTGTAGGTAACAGGTAGGCTTAGATGCTCATAGGTGAAAAGGCCTGCTGTATGGGATATATACAATATAACAGCTGGGAGAGAAAAATCTTTTCCTGGCTGCTTGGGGCAGTATGTGTGTTTGGGGAGTAGAATACTAAGTGTTGCCTTGATTGATGGCATCTGGCACCAGGAAATGAACATGCTTATAGTGGAGAAAATGACAATGTGGATGTATCCAAAAAACAAAAGATATGTAAAAAGAAAATATCTGGAATGCACAGCCTCTCACAGATAAGAGAAGAGGCATAGAAGGAAGGATACAGAGGTAAAGCCGAGAGAGAAGACGACAGAGATTACTGTGCAGAATTTAAAGTAACCAGAGTAATGGGAGAATGCTAATACAAAGAGCACAATGAAGACAGAGGGCAGAAGAAAAAGAAATAATAAAATTGTAAATATTTTCAGCAGTAGAAGTTTAGGAATCTCTGGAGATCTCTCAGAGAGAGGAGAGCTAATTTACCAGGAACTTATTAAGACTTTCAGAGGGAGTACAATTTACCCTTATCTTTCTGTTCTTCCTGAGTGGTTTCAAAGGGGTAAAAGATATTGATGGCTGTGGTTGAAATCGGTTTTGCCAGGAAGGAAAGCACAATTATGACTCAAGTGTGGGGGTGTGGTAGGCCTAGATCTAGGTTCTCCAGCTCCCCTGCAGCAGATTCAAATATCATCGCTGCTGCCCACACTTAATGGATTTTTGTCCTTTTAATGCTCTCTTAGCTACTCCCTCATACCACTGTGCAATGATCTCTTGTATTTATATGTATACCTTGTATTTTCTGCACTCGTCACGTATACCAACTCAGCACCTATTTCCTGTCACTGCGGAGATACACTTTGTTATTTGAAGGTGGTCATTATGAATTTTTGCTCAGGGGCATCATTAGTTGTGGAACAGTATTTAATATAATGGACCCTGGAGCCAGGCGACCTGGCCTTAAATTCCAGCTAAGCTACATAATAATTGTGTGCCCTTAGACAACATTTTATTTGTTGGTTTATTTGTTGTAAACCCCTGCATGACACAGTTTCCTCCTCTCCAAACTAAAATATAATGATTGTGTCAACATCCTAAAGTAGTTATGGGAAATAAAGAGTCAAAACCAGCAAAGAACAGTGTCTGAGACCTAGCAAGCATTCAACAAATGTTAGTCTCATTGTTACTCTTCTTAACTGTTCCAAATTATATGGCCATGCCTTATGCTGTCTTTTGTCAACTCAACCAGAAGGTATTAAATGCCTATTTTGTTCCAGATCTTTTTTAAGAACTGGGAAATAGAAATATAAGAGGTTGTTCTTACTCTTAATGATTGCACAGTCTGGTTGAGGAGATGAATGTATAAACAATCTCTTACAGCACAGTACTTATGTATCATGATAGCTATGTACATAGAACTCTATCTTTGGAGACTAGGAAGGTTTCACAGAGATGCAAATATTTGTCAAAGGAGAAGGGGAAAGGAAGATGAAAACAGTCTTTCGGTGTATGTACTATGAGAAACTAGTGTCCACAAGCGCACAATGCATATCTTGACGTAGTTTTCAGATTTAAATGATTAAGAGTGTCTATTTAGACTCGTAAAACATGTTAATTTCCACTGCTATCTTACTATGCTAATTAAACCCTAAAAAATTCCAGCTGGAGGTGGTGGCTCACACCTGTAATCCCGCCGAGGCAGGCGGATCACCAGGTCAAGAGATCGAGACTATCCTGGCCAACATGGTGAAACCCCGTTTCTATTAAAAATACAAAAATTTGCTGGGCCTGGTGGTGCGTGCCTGTAGTCCAAGCTACTCGGGAGGCTGAGGCAGGAGGATCACTTGAACCTGGGAGGTGGAGTTTGCAGTGAGCCAAGATCTCGCCACTGCACTCCAGCCTGGTGACAGAGCAAGAATCCATCTAAAAAAAAAAAAAAAATCCTCATGACCCATTTGAATTACAGTTTTTATGTAATAATGTAATTTATTTTCAGGTGCAATAAACTTTCTTCCTGTCTTGCTTGTAAAATCAGTAAATGGGCAGTGGTGACATTATTAATATTGAATTAATACAACTAAAATTCACATTATAGATTTGATATATTCAGCATGTATCTTAAGTACTACTGGCCAGTCAGAACTATTGATGAAATTTAGGGGTATAATATTAAGAAGAGATTAATTGACATGTTTTATTGAACACCTGGCTTGTGCCTTGTTCTCTGCAAGCATAAAGGTGAATATAAAAGAAACATGAACCTCGCTTTGCTCTTACGGAGTTTACCATCCCAGCTCAGGAATGCAATTAAATAATATAAGGTAGTAGAGTGGATTGTACAGACAACAAAGGCTTTAAGAGTTTAGAGAGGGCTGTAATCTCACATAGTCAGGGAAGCAGCATAAAAGGGCTTAAGCTGACCAATGAAGCAGATCAGCATAACACAAAGTCATGACATTCACAACAGAAAAATATCATTTAGTTGAACCAATATTTATTGACTGCCAGGCAGTAGAGATACAAACATGCATAACACAGGGCCCTGTCTGCAGAGAGCTCACAGATGGAAGGGAGAACTATGTAGTTGGAAATGAGCATCGAGTTTATACTGGTAAAGGTACTGTATCTTTCATTCTCTAGAATCTTAATAATGTGTTATTATGTTACATATTCTACTCTTTTGCCTCTTAAAGCTCATAAAATGTTCCTTTGATAGATCGTTTATGTAAATTCTTGATGTAGAGAATACAGTCTCTCTAAACTTATTGGACCCTGAGGAGGTGGTCTGGATCACAGGAGTGGGTGAATATTGGGAAAGATGAGGAAATGAGAAAAATGGAGTAAAACATAGCAATAAAAGAAGCAGCCAAGCATTTGTGGGGAAGCAGGAGGGGCCTGGTGTTCCAATGATTAGTACTTCATCTTTTTCTCTACTACTTTCTAAAAAGGGCCCAAATTCCCTTGAACAAGAATAACTACAACTTTAATTGTGGATGCTATCCCCATCAGCATCCAGATTTCACCGGGATGGATGTAGCTTTTCTTAGGAGCCAAACCCATCCAACTTGACTCAAATAATTAAAGTGTTTGGATTCCAGGCTGTCCAGGAAAACAGCTGAACTTGTGCTGGGGAAAGAGAGGTTGGATCTTATAGGAAGGCATGTATTTGATATTGAAGTAGTCTGTTTTCTTTTGAATCTCTGTGATGTGGTGTGTTTGTGTGTGTCCACCACTTTTGCTTTATTAGTGCATTATTTAACGAACTGATTTACGTATTTTCTCCACTCACTAATACTGTCTTTGTTCCTTGGGCCCAAGCCCTTTGTGCTTCCATTTGGAAGTACATTGCTGACATTTACAGACTCCCACAGAGGACTCAGTCAATTACTACCATAGATGCCCATTGTTCCAAGAGAGCTGACCTTTACCCCTAGGCACCAATTAAAATCCATTGTTTCTTACCCCTGCAGCGCCAGTGCTTGCTGTAATTCTGGCTCGATGCCCATTGCAACTGGTGGGATGCATTCATTTTAGTCTTCGTTTTATTATTATTATTTTTTTCAAACAAGAAGAGAGGGACCTGCAAAAGAAAATGTATGCTTTCTTTAAAAGAAGGGGCAGACCACCAGAATTACCAATCATTTTCAATTAAATGACCTTTTGTGTCAACATAAATAATGACCCTAAATAAATAAAATAATTAGGAAAAAATTGGGAAGTTGCCTGTAGGATTATCCCAGCTTCAAAAAACAGCAGAGCTCTCTAATTACTTCCTGATGATGATTTGTTGCTAAATTGCAGGGCCGTTCTGCCCTAGGCATAGCTGGGTATGCTCTATGGCAAGCTGACAGAGAGACCAAAGTCCCAGCATGTGGGACATCAGGCACTGAGCCCTCTACCTATCAAATTATATGAGTTACCAGCACACTGCTAGGCTGGTGGCCTCTCAGGTAAACGTAAGTTTCTTCCTATAATCAAATTTAGGTTTAGGGCATTTGGAGCCAGAACTAGTTTGTCTGAAATCACAGATGTTCATTGTAGCAAGATTGGTACTTCTGACTGACCAGTAGCCTTAAAGATGTGCTAATTTAGAGAAATAAAAATGAAAAGGTATTGAAAGGTTTATAATTCCCTTTGTAACTTTTTTCACTCTTCTATTTCCACTACCTTCTGTTGTGCTAAGGGTTTGATGCTGCTGACATTTTAATGGGATTCGAACCCAAATTCTACCAACCAAATTATTTTGGTAGAAATGGCCATAATACAAACACAGTGGCCCAAAAAGAATTCTGAGTTTACTCAGATTGAGACAAGAAGTCCCGATTTGCTAAAAAGTAAATAGAGCTTGAAATTTGCCTTTCCCCGTTTGATTTAAAATTCAAGATCTAAGCAAGTTAAAGCTTGACAGAAAGAACTGGCCTCTTCTTGTAGAAGTAGCCTCTTCCTCCCACTTCCTCCTTGCACTTTTAGTGCTAACAACCACATGCAGAAAATGCAATTAATTATTTGATCTGCAGAGGAAGTGGTTTCTGCAGTTATATTTCCCTTCTCCCCTCTATTTACTATTTGAAATTTTATAGACTTGTGAAGATTATACTTGTATGAGGGCTTAAAAATTCCCGAGAGCCATAGCATCTCACTTATCCTACCCCACAGGCCTTGGTGGTATAGACTGAGAGTATAATATGATGAGTAGGAGGCCATCTGGCTCCCTGGAGACCCAAGTCAGCATTCTCTTACCCAGGTACCAGTGGAAACTGATCAAGCTCATTTGATAAAGCCCAGAAGATTATCAAACCCAAACCATTTGGCTTCAATTATTATAAATACAAAGTTTTGCCCATGGTTCATTATGTTCCTCCCATACATACCTAACTTGGGGGAATTACAAAGAACACTGAAATAAATATGTGGGAGAGGGCCTTGTTGAAATTGGATACTGGATATTATGTATCTACAACTGCTTAGTTTGTTGCTATTTTATTTTCTTCCCTCTCTCCCTCCCTTTATTCCTTCCTTTTTTCTTTCCAAATATCATTTATTAGAAGGACAGAGGCCGGGTTAGGTGGCTCATGCCTGTAACCCTAGCACTTTGGGAGGCCAAGGTGGGTGGATCACGAGGTCAGGAGATCGAGACCAGCCTGACCAACATGGAGAAACCCCATCTTTACTAAAAATAGAAAAATTAGCTGGGTGTGGTGGCATGCACCTGTATCCCAGCTACTCGGGAGGCTGAGGCAGGAGAAGGGCGTGAAGCCAGGAGGTGGAGGTTGCAGGGAGCCGAAGTCATGCCACTGCACTCCAGCTTAGGCAACAGAGTGAGACTCCGTCTCAAAAACTAAAAAATAAATAAAAGGACAGAATATAAGACCACCTTTTTTTTTTTTTTTTTTTTTGAGATGGAGTCTCGCTCTGTCGCCCAGGCTGGAGAGCAGTGGCGCGATCTGGGCTCACTGCAAGCTCCGCCTCCCAGGTTTACGTCATTCTCCTGCCTCAGCCTTCCAAGTAGCTGGGACTACAGGCGCCCACCACCACGCCTGGCTAATTTTTTTGTATTTTTAGTAGAGACGCGGTTTCACCACGTTAGCCAGGATGGTCTCGATCTCCTGACCTCGTGATCCACCCGCCTTGGCCTCCCAAAGTGCTGGGATTACAGGTGTGAGCGACTGCGCCCGGCCAAGACCACCTTGTATATTTACAACATAGTATATTTTCAGAATGATTACAGAACTGTGAGTATGAATGTGTAATCATCTTATCCTTATAAAAATACCATGAGGTGGGTAGGAGAGGTTAAGGCATTGCTGCTTTATATGTGAAGCCTAGTTAGTGACTGGTTGCCTTTAACTAGAACCCCGATCTTTGCATTTCTGGTCTATGTTCTTCTATCATAGTTTACTGTTTTCCAAACCTTGCTCCAGTTTTCTTGTCTGGAAGGTTAGTTTTTACTAGTGTTCTTCAGGCTGATCCCTCTGTAGATCTTCAATAAATTTCGCGTTTTAAATACGAATTATATAATCTCAGATAAAATACAAAGCACAGAGAAAATGTAAAGGCAAACCATATGTCATATTTTTAAGTTGCCTTATGTAAAATAATTCAGCTTGTCATTTCTGGATAACAGCCTTGACAGATTTACAGGATAAGCTTGATGCTTTCAGAAGTCTGAAAAGGATTCTACATCGAGGATCCCAAGAAAACCTTGTTGTAAGTCCAGGTCTCAGTACTGGTTTCTAGGAAGGACTCAGTAAATACTTGCCAATAAGTCAATGAATAAATACATGCATGGATGAATGAATATAATAGATAAAAGGAAGTTGATGGATTTTCTCGTTGGTATTTCTTTTGTTTTTGTTTTGAGACAATGTCTCACTCTGTAGCCTCAGCTGGAGTGCAGTGGTGTGATCATAGCTCACTGCAGCCTTCAATTCCCGGGCTGGAGCAATCCTCCCACCCCAGCCTCCAATGTAAGTAGGGATGACAGGCACATGACACCGCCCACTGTCCCCTCTGCCAGCTAATTTAAAAACATTTTTTTTGTAGGTACATGGTCTCCCTATGTTGCCCAGGCTAGTCTCAAACTCCTGGGCCCAAGTGATCCTCCTGCCTCAGCCTCTCAAAGCTTTGGGATTGCAGGCGTGAGCCCACTCTGCCTGGCCCTTGGTATTTCTAAGATTAGAGTTGCCAACAATAATCAAGATAGATTTTCAATGGCAGGGAGATGTCATGCCATTTCTGTAACAAGACAATATTTCTTGTTCTAACTTTAAGATTTCCTGGTGGCCTACAGCTGCCTCTCTTTACTCACAACGTACATTCGTTTACTCTGGGTTTCTTTTCTCCATTGGAGGGAATGCATTTCAGAAATGCGCCTGTCAGGCCGGGCGCGGTGGTTCATGTCTGTAATCCCAGCTCTTTGGGAGGCCGAGGTAGGTAGGATCACGAAGTCAGAAGTTTGAGAACAGCCTGGCCAACATAGTGAAACCCCGTCTCTACTAAAAATACAAAAAATTAGCTGGGCTTGCGGGTGGGTGCCTGTAATTTCAGCTATTCAGGAGGCTGAGGCAGGAGAGTAGCTTGAACCTGGGAGGCAGGGGTTGCAGTGAGCCAAGATCTCACTATTGCACTCCAGCGAGGGCGACAGTGCAAGACTCCATCTCAAAAAAAAAAAAAAAAAAAAAAGAAAAGAGAAGAAAAAGAAACAAAGAAATGCGCCTGTCCTACTCACTTATCTGTGGCCAGTGTCATGAGGGACAATACAGTTCGCTGATGTTTGGTGCAAGGATCTGCTTAGATACCATTGCCCTAAATGATGATTCTTGGAGAAGCCACAGCTGAGAAATGGTCACTACATTATTGCATGTGCGTGCTGAGCAGAACTTGTTCTTTCCCTTGTACAGCTTTTTTCATGGGCTCTGATCAAATCTTGTGGCTCTATCGTTACCTTTAACCTTTGAGATATACTACCATTAAATCTGTAGGTACTTGCTTTTTCTGTAGGAACTACTAGTCTTTCTCAGCTCCCTAGAAAAGAGAGATCCTATTCTTCCATGAAATTTCCTCTGTAGTATAAATAGCTATTAATATATACATAATATACATACATGCATACATGTATGTTGCATTTACTCTATTAAACACTGAACACATGGATCCTAGTGAATAACTCTCCCCCCACTTTTTCAGTGACAGACACTTTTTCTATATCAGATTTATAAAAGAAACTAATAGAACTACCACAGGGAAAGATATAAAGACAAATATTAGAAAGAAAGCTGTTTACAACTAGACCTAAATTGGAACTAGAAATCTGCCTTTGCCTTTTGAGCTAAGTGGTATTTAAAGTAACCCACACTCACACGTTTTAAAGAAGAAATAGAACAGCAATGGCTCCAGCTTCTCAAATCAGTGATTATAATAAACTGTAAGCTCTAAGACATGCATATGTGAAATGTACTGAGAACATTCCCACGTATGGTGGTAGTAGATTCAGAAACAAAACAAAACTCCAGGCTGGGTGCAGTGGCTCACACCTGTAATCCCAGCACTTTGGGAGGCCGAGGCGGGCGGATCATGAGGTCAGGAGATCGAGACCATCCTGGCTAACACAGTGAAACCACGTCTCTACTAAAAATACAAAAAATTAGCAGGATGCAGTGGCGGGCGCCTGTAGTCCCAGCTACTCGGGAGGCTGAGGCAGGAGAATGGCATGAACCTGGGAGGCAGAGCTTGCAGTGAGCCAGGATCGGGCCACTGCACTCCAGCCTGGGCGACAGAGCTAGACTCCATCTCAAAACAAACAAACAAACAAACAAACAAACTCTGAAACCATCAAGGTAAGTATGATAAACTCCATTTTCAAGTTGAGGAAATGAAGATTCAGTGAGTGGATTGTCCAGGTCATGTAGCTGGTAACCATGCAAGGATGTGGCAACCTGGAGATTTTCTCGAGCTTTTTGGTTAACATTCACATTCTCTACATAGTAACTAAAGAGTATAATCTCCTTAGGGCCACAATTATTTCCCCAAGGGTGCCTGGGAGTTAATAGCAACTGCTCAATGAAGCAAGCAGTAACAGTAATTTCTGTTTCTTAGCCATTTATAGCAGAGTACTGCTGCTTGAATGTTTTGATATCTTTGCTTTTCCCAATATAAATGAAAATCCTAAAGATATGCCCAGTTGCCTTTCAAGGGATTAGTGGGATGAAGTGCCTAAATTACTACTGAGGTTCTTAAACGTCCGCATATATGAAAATCATCTAGAGAGCTTGTTAAACTGCAGATCTGGGGGCCTATTTCTCAGAAATTCTAGGTCGTTAGTTCTGAGAATCTGCATTTTAACAAGCATGTGCCACTTTTCCATCTCCCTGCAGTTCTGCTGCACGTAGACCAAGTACTACACTTTACTAAACAGAGGTGAGCTGTGCCAACAGGAAGGCATTATTTTTCAGTGAAACTCTTGGTTACATTTTCTCTTTATGAAAAGGCTCTTGGTGTTGGTGATGCAAGGATAAATATTGAAGTTATGTGTTTGAAACCAGCAGTCCTCTACTGGACAGTGGAAGTTTTGATTTGAAAACTTCTGGTGGCTCATGCCTGTAATCCCAGCACTTTGGAGGCCGAGGTGGGTGGATCATGAGGTCAGAAGATCAAGACCAGCCTGGCCGAGATGGTGAAACCCCGTCTCTACTAAAAATACAAAAATTAGCCGGATGTGGTGGTAGGCGCCTGTAATCCCAGCTACTTGGGAGGCTGAGGCAGAGAATTGCTTGAACCCAGGAGGCGGAGGTTGCAGTGAGCCAAGAATGCACCGCTGCACTCCAGCCTGGGCGACAGAGTGAGACTCCATCTCAAAAAAAAAAAAAAAGAAATTATACCCTTTTTCTCCATTTGTCCCTTTGACATAAAAACTAGCCTCATGATTTCTCTCCTAGAAAGACAGCTGTATTTTGCATTTGGCTGCTGGATGGGTGAAGGAGAGTACATAGACATGCTCAGAGCATCTTTGAAATTTAAGGAAATGGGTAGCCACAGCTTTTAGGAGTGCATTAGGAGAGCACAGTGAGCAGGTAGCACTTTCCCCTCTGCTCTTCCACTTAGGAATTGAAGTAGGGACTGGAATTCATAATTCTTAGTTACTTCATGGCATAGAATGCTTACTAGCAGTTGAACGTTCCAGAGCCCTGGGAGGCCACTATTATGGTGTATTCAAAGACATTTGTTAAGCCCAGGGAGGGGAGCTTCTTGGAATTTTGTTTTTCAAAAGTTCCACTCCATTATTCCAGAGTTCTAACTTTATTCCTTAGCACAGCAAGTGACTCTGTCTTGGTATGAAACACAGGCATCCCACATAGGCTTATTAGATACAAAGTGCTATTCAAAGAGCCCTTGAAAGAAGAACATTTTTTTAAAAAATTGCAGGTATTTTTTTAAAAAACAAATTTGGGAATAAATTCTAACATATATCATTGCCTGCAAGATGAGTGAAGAGGGGGTTATATTGCTTTAAATTTGGACTGATGTAGCTTTAAGGCAGCTTGGACTAGTGGGCTACTGCCTGTCACTGAACTTAAACATTTTTTTTTTTCCTGAGACGGAGTCTCACTGTGTCACCCAGGCTGGAATGCAGTGACATGATCTCAGCTCACTGCAACCTCTGCCTCCCAGGTTCAAGTGATTCTCCTGCCTCAGCCTCCCAGGTAGTTGGGACTACAGGCGCGTGCCACGACACTTGGCTAATTTTTGTATTTGTAGTAGAGACGGGCTTTTGCCATGTTGGCCAGGCTGGTCTTGAACCCCTGACCGCAGGTGATCCGCCCGCCTCTGCCTTCCGAAATGCTGGGATTACAGGCGTGGGCCACTGCTTTTGGCTAACTTAAACATTTTTCACCTCCCCACAAAAAGATGCTATTAATCATGGACATGTTCTATTCCATAATTGTAGTGCCTCCCTTCTGCCATCCACAAACAGTAGATGTGCCTTAAAGTGAAATAACAAAACACAAGGGAAGAAAAGGACTATTGTTTGAAAAGAGACAGACACAAATACACAGAAGAGGGTTCTTTCACTTTAATAGAGAGCCAGGTGCTCATATCAGCCTACAAACAGATTCTGGAGATTTTTTATATATATATATAGTGAAGGGGAGTCTGTGAAGGCTGTAGAACTAATGGAAGAATAAATGGTCCAGATACCACCAGATGTCACCTTTACTAGCCCCTTCCTTTGTACTCAGGAGCTCAGCCTTCCTCTGCCCAGTGCTGCCAAAGCTGGGCTGTCACTCATCTCCATTTTGCATTTTGGCCGTCATGTCTTTCAAGATCCTGCCGTGATGAGTGGAATTGTACAGGGCTAGCAGGGGGATCCTGGCATGATGAGAGAGCCTTCCTGGGAGCCCAGTACAGATTGGATCATGCCATCTTCTCAAAAGGGCAGCCTGGCAGCAGAGCATCTCAGCCAAGAGAAAAGTAAGCTCCTCCAACCCTGGCATCTTCTGTCCCTGTGCCAAGCCCAAGGTCAACTTCATTTCCAATGTCTAAGAACTTCGAGACTTTTAGTCTGGGAGGTTTTTTATTATTATTATTTATTTATTTATTTTTATTGTATACCTATTACTCCCCATTCTCGCCCCTCCCCCCACAACCACAAAAACAAAAACAAAACAAAACAAAAAGAAGAAGAACGAAAAAAGCCTTGTCTAGAAAAAAGAAAATCATCATGCAAAGACTGAATCTGAGTCTGATGACTTGGCTTGAATCCCATGTCTTGTTTACTTTACAACTGGCGGTAAAAGGGACAACTGCTTCCAGATTCCTGCAGGCTTATACATTGAAGTTATTATTTTGACTTGGTTTATTCAAACACATGCAAAGAAATTGCCACCTCTAGAGTGGAGGGAGTTTCAGATTGAGAACAAAGATCTCTAAATGGGATGAAAGTAGTGGAGTCCTCTGGTTTTGATTACCCCTCCAGCTAACAAAAGACATTCAGAAACTTTGCTTTACATATACTCTTTTCCGGTGACTCATGCCTGTAATCCCAACACCTTGGGAGGCCAAGGTGGGCGGATCATGAGGTCAGGAGGTGGAGAACATCCTGGCTAACACAGTGAAACCCCGTCTCTACTAAAAATACAAAAAATTAGCCAGGCGAGGTGGCGGGCACCTGTAGTCCCAGCTGCTAGGGAGGCTGAGGCAGGAGAATGGTGTGAACCCGGGAGGCGGAGCTTGCAGTGAGCCGAGATCACGCCACTGCACTCCAGACTGGGCGACAGAGCGACACTCCGCCTCACATAAATAAATAAATAAAATAAATAAACTCTTTTCTGTTGTGCACACAAAACCACACAGTTTTGGGTGCCACTCTTTATCTCCAAATATTGATAATAACACATATTCTGTTAGCTCATTGCATGGGAGTGAGGGCCAGGAGGTCACAAACACAAAGGGATGTGCATTTATTGAGCTGAATTTAATATTTAAAAACAGCACCGGGCCAGGTGCGGTGGCTTACGCCTGTAATTCCAGCACTTTGGGAGGCCAAGGCAGGTGGATCACCTGAGGTCGGGAGTTCAAGACCCTCCTGACCAACATGGAAAAACCCTGTCTCTACTAAAAATACAAAATTAGCTGGGCGTGGTGCTGCATGCCTTAATCCCAGCTACTCGGGAGGCCGAGGCAGGAGAATTGCTTGAACCCAAGAGCAGAGGTTGTGGTGATCCAAGGTCGCGCCATTGCGCTCCAGCCTGGGCAACAAGAGCGAAACTCCATCAAAAAAATAAAAATAAATAAAAATAGAGTCACTAATACCATGTAGAAGAAGAAACTCGGAAAAGGGTGCAATTGATCTCAATCTGAGAGGCTTTTGAAGGACTCATTGGAAGAGAAGAGATTTGAGCTGAATCTTGGCAAATGGGAAGATGTAAAGAATGCATTGACATTGCAAACTAATACAGCAATCATTGCAGACAACAAAGGAGGCTGTGGCAGTTGGGGCTCACTGTATGTATTCCTTAAATGACTTCACTCCAGAAACTGTTTTGACCCAAACATAGTTGGAGCTTAGCTGCTGCTGTATTCTTGGCAGAGATGCAGAAGACTGCATGGGAAGAGGCTTTTGTTATAAACTACCTGGTGGAATGCAATTACTTGCAATGGATTCTGGCCAGGGCAATTGCTGTTAATATTACTACCTTTTGCAGAAAGTTTCCAGGGAGTCTTCCTTAAATGACTGAGTAGTCAGGGCCTTTGTTTTACATCTCAGTGAAAAACCTGCAAAACCACAGCCAGAAATCACCAACCAAGAGAAATTACTTTTCTTGCATGGATCTACAAACATCTGAGCTCAAAAAGCAGGGGCAGGCAATAGGGACTTGGGGTTCTTAGAGGAGAGATGTAATTGGGAGTCCCAGTGCTTAGTGAATGAAACAATTTATTTTATCATGTCTTAAATGCCATTTAAACAGAAGTTTCAAGTTTCAAAAAAGACAGTTTACCATTCAGTGCTGCTATGTGGTCTCTGTCTACACACAAACATTAGGAGGAGAAAGTTCTTTATCTGCAGTCCTTGCACTCTCCGACTGAGATTCCCTCTCTCTCCTTCCTTCCTTCCTTCCTCCTTCCTTCCTTCCTTCTTCAAAGCAGATTGTTATGTTAGCAGAAAACCTTTGATAGTGTCATTGACCAACACTGCAGTACAAGCTAAGTATTTAGAGAAGTAATCTAAAGAGAAAGATAAAGGGAAAACTAATTGGGTTTCCCTGAATTTTATACTAAATTATGACGAGAAGTAGGATGGTGAACATATGTGCTTTTTTTCCCCATGCCTTTATTGATATTGTGTTCAGGACTATGGGAATTAAAATACACAATCTTAGCTCCACTTATAGCATGATAGTATGTGAGTAAGGCGGGATGTTGAAAAGAGCCAAGCAATTATGCATTTGTCATGAATAATAGGGAAGGTGGAGTTTTCTTTATTTGAAAGGCTTCCTCTCCTCCGGGTGCGGTGGCTCACGCCTGTAATCCCAGCACTCCAGGAGGCCAGGGTGGGCTGATCACGAGGTCAGGAGGTGGAGACCATCCTGGCTAACATGGTGAAACCCCGTCTCTACTAAAAATACGAAAAATTAGCTGGGCGAGGTGGCGGGCACCTGTACTCCCAGCTACTCGGGAGGCTGAGGCAGGAGAATGGCGTGAACCCGGGAGGCAGAGCTTGCAGTGACCGGAGATCATGCCACTGCACTCCAGCCTGGGCCACAGTGCAAGACTCCATCTCAAAAAAAAAAAAAAAAAAAAAAAAAAAAGGCTTCCTCTCTCATCAGAAGGGCTGTAGTCTCTCAGGATTTATATCCATGGGTAGGTAGACGCTACTCCATGATTATTTTATTTTATTTTATTTTATTTTATTTTATTTTATTTTATTTTTATTTTATTTTATTTTTGAGGAGGAGTCTCACTCTGTCACCCAGGCTGGAGTACAATGGCCTGATCTCGGCTCACTGCAACCTCTGCCTCCCGGGTTCAAGCCATTCTCCTGCCTCAGCCTCCTGAGTAGCTGGGACTATAGGTTCACACCACCACATCTGGCTAATTTTTGCATTTTTAGTAGAGACGGGGTTTCACCATGTTGGCCAGGATGATCTCGATCTCTTGACCTCGTGATCCACACACCTTGGCCTCCCAAAGTGCTGGGATTACAGGTGTGAGCCACCGTGCCCGGCCTACTCCATGATTTCTTTTTTTTTTTTTTGAGACGGAGTCTAGTTCTGTCGTCCAGGCTAGAGTGCAGTGGTGCGATCTCGGCTCACTGCAAGCTCTGCCTCCCGGGTTCACGCCATTCTCGTGCCTCAGCCTCCCGAGTAGCTGGGACTACAGGCACCTGCCACCACGCCTGGCTAATTTTTTGTATTTTTTTAGTAGAGACGGGGTTTCACCGTATTAGCCAGGATGGTCTCGATCTCCTGACCTCGTGATCCACCTGTCTCGGCCTCCCAGAGTGCTGGGATTACAGGCGTGAGCCACCACGCCCGGCTGATTTTTTTTTAAATCTATTTCCTTTGCATCATTATGATTTATATGTATATATCCAGAAAAAATTAATAAATGCCACATCCAGATACCATATAGGCAAATAAATCATTTCTGTCATGGCATGAACTAGTATTGGAAGCTATAGATGGCAAGTGAGTCAACAGGCAGGGTGGCCTTGGGCAACTTGTCTCATCTTCCTGGCATTGGGAATAAAGCACTTAGCATCATAGGATCTTTTTTAAATCAGTTAAATGGATAGTAACCTTAAGATCTCCTATAAATGTCATGAGGTCCTTTCTACTTAACATATTGTAGTTCCTTTGATGTCTACTGCAGTCTGCTCTCTTTACTTGACCTTTACTTTGTAAAACTAAGTAGTAGTTTGCAGCTGCTGGCTTTCTGCATGGGGACCCCAAAGGTAATAGATTCCAAGCCTCACAACATCAGAGGTACCTCTTCAAGGAGTAAGTTAATCCTTTCAAATCTCCCTGGTTAGTTTCGTAGGATCCTTATCAGACTCTCTGCTACTTGTTTGATAATATCCTTTAATCTAACCCATTGATTTGTTATCTCTAAACACCATTTTAGTTTAATTTGCAGCTATGATGTCCATTAGCAAGTGATTACAGTGAATGAACTTAACTGCTGTATATTGAGATAAAATACCTTTTCAAGTCCTTTGGAAGGCCTGGGGAGTGATAAATCTGTAGTGCTCAGGAGGGCTTAAAAGGTTATGACAATTGGGTTCTGAGGTTGATACAAATGGTTTTGAAATTCACTTTCTCATATTTATAGTTTGCACATAATCTTAGGGCATCAGTGAATGGTCATTCTGAAAATACTGAATAACCAGGAGCTAGTTTGCAAAAGTAAATATAAATGAATACCATTTTCTTAGTGCGCTTATATCCTATGTAATGGGTTATCTATCTTTAGAAACAATGATATTCTTTTTGGGACCACCTGCTTTAATTCTGAGTACGCTTCTGTACCAGGGGTTGCTGTAATATATGTTCATGAAGAGGTCCATATATTTCACTATCACTTGTGAGTGCACCATGCTAGGAAAAGTCTATTTAAGTGGATTTCCTAGATAACTGAAGCTTATCTTCTACTGAAAAATATTTCAAAATTAGATTACATTCTCGTCTTCCTTTTTCAAGCATCTTACATTTGGCATTTCTTTTATTTTATGAATTGTATATATGTTTTTGTTCTTTGTAATGGTTCTGGTATATATTTATAAACTTTTTACTTTATTGATTGAATTTAAGTTGTGTGTGTTTGTTTTAATTTTTGTTGTGGTTAAGCGATGTTTCTTCCTTCTGTTTACCACGTAGAAGGATTATTCTTACAACTAAATTGTTAAGATTTTCAATTTGTTAGGTTTATTTTATTTTATTTTATTTTATTTTATTTTATTTTATTTTATTTTATTTTCTCTTCGGAAACAGAGTTTCACTCTGTAACCAGTCTAGAGTGCAGTCATGCAATCATGGATCACTGCAGCACAAGATTAATTATTTCCATACACAGTTGTTAATTATGTTTCCAAACTGCAGCTGATATGGCAAGTAGCCATATTTGTCCCCAAGCACACTCTCCTCATTTTTGATAATGAAGAGATTTTCTTTGATACAATAATTATGAGTACTTTTTCACTCTCTCCCATCAATTTGTTTAGATTACCTGTGGCTTGCCCAACTGACTTCCTCTTTCTAATGAAACACTCAGGTTTGGAAATTCCTTTCTTTTTCAGATGCTATCCCCACAAATTGGCCCCATAGTCTCCTGGAATTTAACCTGTAAAATAGGCTGATTGTTAAATGGTCGTGTGTCACTTTTGTTCACATGAGTCATCTGTAGAGTAGATGTTTAGAGATTCTGATATGAAAAATGTCCTTGCAGAAATCAACTGTAATGGGAAATGGTTCCCAGAAATTCTCTGCTGCAAACCTAGATTGGGAGCCAGGGAGAAGATGCACAGTAATCTATTTCATTGCATCCCTTGGCTGTAACAATTCTGACAGACACTACATTCAGAAACTCTTTTATCAGTTGTTCATAACCTTCAAAGAATGTTCTACCCTCCCTACATTATTCACATCAGTCAATAAACAATATATAAGCTGGAGAGACACCAAAATGTATCATTGAGATAACAAGACCTAAAGAGCTGATAGAGGTTGGAGAGAAGATACTGAGTATGACCAGTACCCAGAACAGATTGGAATCTGACCAACAAGCTTCAGCCATGCTATCAAGAGGACAGAATCTAATCACTCAAATGTACAAAGTATTGTGAGAATGAAAACTAGTGCTAGACATCAAAGTTTCTGCGTTTATCTGTAGGTGAATGATTTGATAAAAACTAGCCTTTTACAATAAATACTCTTATAAGTGTGGTCAAGTGCCCTGGTATGTTTTCCATATAAGTGTGTGTCCCTTTTGTAATACAAAATATTATTCTTTGGAAAGATATGGATATGTAAATGAATAATTTTGTTACCATAAATCTGTTTCATCAAGAATACTACCCTCATTCTTGAACCACGATTTTCATTTATTGGTACATTGGTTAAGTTTCTTATAAATATTGCAAGCTGGCTGATTTTGGTTTGGTGAGCAGAGGTTTGGGCCCAAGGTCTGCGTTCTAGGTTGGTGTCGTGTCAACATATGTTACAGACTATTGAGGCCATCACATGTGATCAAGTGAAAGAGAAGTAGCCCAGTCTCCCTAATCAGAAGGGAGAAGATCATTCCTGACTAAAGGATAGTTCTTTCCTTTCTGTCATAATTTGCCTTGAGCCAGCATTTTAACGAAGTTTTAAAAAATACTGTAAAGTCAGGCCGGGCATGATGGCTCACACCTGTAATCCCTTTTGGGAGGCCAAGGCGGGAGGATCATCTGAGGTCAGGAGTTTGAGACCAGCCTGGCCAACATGGTGAAACCCTGTCTCTACTAAAAATACAAAAATTAGGCTGGGCACGGTGGCTCACGCCTGTAATTCCAGCACTTTGGGAGGCCGAGGTGGGCAAATCAGCAGACGTCAGGAGTTCGAAACCAGCCTGGCCAACATGGTGAAACCCCGTCTCTACTAAAAATACAAAAATTAGCTGGGCATGGTGGGGCATGCCTGTAATCCCAGCTACGTGGGAGGCTGAGGCAGGAGAATCACTTGAACCTGGGAGGCGGAGATTGCAGTGTGCCAATATCATGCCACTGTACTCCAGCCTGGGCAAAAAGAGTGAAACTCCATCTCGAAAAAAAAAAAAAAAATTAGCTGGGTTTAGTGGCTCATGTCTGTAATCCTGGCTACTCTGGAGGCTGAGGCAGAAGGATTGTTTGAACCCGGGAGGCAGAGGTTGCAGTGAGCTGTGATCGTGTCACTGCACTCCAGCCTGGGTGACAGAGTGAGACTCCGTCTCAAAAAAAGTGTAAAGTTAAATTTTGCTAAGTGGCCCTTCCATTGTACATATGTTTCTCTGCCTTTTGTGGATGCAAATCTTCCCTGAAGCCAGGCTCACCTTATCACTCTCATAATACTTTCTTTGACTACACCATCCTTAAACATTTCTTCTGATTCTGTACTCCTACAGTATGTATGCTCTTTTTGGGACTCTGTCTTTACTCTCCATATGCAACTTTCTGTCTTAGAAGATATGACATGTACTTGGTAAAGGAACTGATAATATAAAGCAGTGGCTTAGACATGTATATCCCTCCTGTGCCTGACCAAATGGCGTGAACTTTGAGAATGAAAGTACTTAATAAATGCTTGCAAATTCGAGATGGAGCCGCATAGCATAATGGATGAAAACGCTGACACTAGAGCTAAACTAACTACATTCAATCCTGGTTTGGCCACTTATCATCTATGTGGTCTTGGACTAGTCATGAAACTTTTTTGTGCCTCAGCATATTCATCTGTAAACTGTCGTCTATACTAGCTGGGCACGGTGGCTCACGCCTGTAATCCCAGCACTTTGGGAGGCCAAGGAGGGCAGATCACAAGGTCAGGAGATCGAGACCGTCCTGGCTAACACAGTGAAACCACATCTCTAGTAAAAATACAAAAAAATTAGCCGGGCGTGGTGGCGGGCGCCTGTAGTCCCAGCTACTCGGGAGGCTGAGGCAGGAGAATGGCGTGAACCTGGGAGGCGGAGCTTTGCAGTGAGCCGAGATCCCACCACTGCACTCCAGCCTGGGAGACAGAGCGAGACTCCGTCTCAAAAAAAAAAAAAAAAAAAAAATGGCTATACTAATAGTTCCTGCCCAATAAATTCGTGGGTTTACATGAGTTAATATATGCAAATCCCTTAAAATGAGCCTAACACATAGTAAGGGCTATTAAATGTTTGCTATTACTGTGATGTTTTATAAATTAGTAAAAAAAATAGACCAATTATGGTTAATATATAAAGCACATTTAGAAATTTTTCTTAATTCCCCAAACCATACTATTTAGAAACTTTATCCTTCCTTCTCTTGCCTTTATTCCTTTCCTATTTTCTTCTTTCTGTTTATTCTCTTGTCCTTCCTGCTTTCCTTAAAATTATGAATAGCACATATTTAATATGATAGTATGTGAAAATTAGGTGTTCATATAAATATTTAATGAGCTAATTTCTAAATACATATTATAAAATTAAGAAAATATTTTGTTTGTCCATTCAATCATCAGACATTGATTAACAACTTACTATGTAGAGGCCCTAGAGATAGTGAACTAAAGACGATGAAAGGTTCCAGTGTGTGGTATTGATATTCCAGTCTGGAAAAGGAGATACACAAATAAGGAAATAACGACAAAGTAGAATTGATCTGGGGATAGCATTAATCCCAGGGTGCTTTTGAAGGACTGAGGAAGGTCACCTAATCCAGCCCACTGAAGGCCTAGGAGACCCTCTGTTTCTTTTTAAGATTCACCTGGAACTGGCCGGGTACGGTGGCTCATGCCTGTAATCCCAGCACTTTGGGAGACTGCGGCAGGCAGATCACAAGGTCAGGAGATCGAGACCATCCTGGCTAACACGGTGAAACCCCGTCTCTACTAAAACAAAACAAAACAAACAAACAAACAAAAAAATTAGCTGGGTGTGGCGGTGTGCGCCTGTAGTCCCAGCTGCTGGGGAGGCTGAGGTAGGGGAATGGCATGAACCCGGGAGGTGGAGCTTGCAGTGAGCCGAGATCGCGCCACTACACTCCAGCCTAGGCAACAGAGCAAGACTCCATCTTAAAAAAAAAAAAAAAAAAAAAAAAAAGATTCACCTAGAACCTATGTATCTTTTGGCCCCTCAATCTCTGCTGTTGATGGTATGTTGGTGAACTATAACACACAGACACAGAAATCCCTTGTGTATGGTATTGTACACAATCCTAGAAATGTTCTGTTAAACAGAGATATCAACCTTTAGGAAGTCTTACAGTCATATGGAGGTTTTATGTAAGTATCACTTAGCATATACTTTTTTATTTTTCAAAATGATTCATGGACATGACCAATTACTTTCCTTGGTGGGTGAGTCCTACTGGTACATTTAATTATTTATTAATAGATTATTATTATTTTTTGCTTGAGAGGTTAGAGCTAGTGTTAGAAGGTATCACCCTCTATAGGTCAATTACAAATGAGACAACATATCCAGCTGTAGCAGTGCATCAAAATCAAGAGCCTGGTCTAAGTTGTAGAAAAATAGGGCAGGCAGACAATTCTGACTCCCTGTAATAGGTCCTGCTTGATCTCTATAACCAAATGTTACATTTGTGGCAATGCATATAATAGTTCTGCTTTCAGTCACTTCTGAATCTAGACATCCTAGGCTTCTTGCAGGAACTTGAAGAATAAAGTGACAGAAGGCAATTCCCCTTTTAGGACCTGTGTTAGTCTATTTTCATGCTGCTGATAAAGACATACTCAAATGGTATTTCTAGTTCTAGATCCTTGAGGAATCGCCACACTGTCTTCCACAATGGTTGAACTAGTTTACAGTCCCACCAACAGTGGAAAAGTGTTCCTATTTCTCCACTTCCTCTCCAGCACGTGTTGTTTCCTGACTTTTTAATGATCACCATTCTAACTGGTGTGAGACGGTTACTCATTGTGGTTTTGATCTGCGTTTCTCTGATGGCCAGTGATGATGAGCATTTTTTCATGTGTCTGTTGGCTGCATAAATGTCTTTTTTTGAGAATTGTCTGTTCATATCCTTTGCCCACTTTTTGATGGGGTTGTTTGTTTTCTTCTTGTAAGTTTGTTTGAGTTCTTTGTAGATTCTGGATATTAGCCCTCTGTCAGATGAGTAGATTGCAAAAATTTTCTTCCATTCTGTAGGTTGCCTGTTCACTCTGATGGTAGTTTCTTTGGCTGTGCAGAAGCTCGTTAGTTTAATTAGATCCCATTTGTCAGTTTTGGCTTTTGTTGCCATTGCTTTTGGTGTTTTAGACATGAAGTGCTTGCCCATGCCTAGGTCCTGAATGGTATTGCCTAGGTTTTCTTCTAGGGTTTTTATGGTTTTAGGTCTGACATTTAAGTCTCTAATCCATCTTGAATTAATTTTTGTATAAGGTGTAAGGAAGGGATCCAGTTTCAGCTTTCTACATATGGCTAGCCAGTTTTCCCAGCACCATTTATTAAATAGGAAATCCTTTCCCCATTTCTTGTTTTTGTCAGGTTTGTCAAAGATCAGATGGTTGTGGATGTGTGGCATTATTTCTGAGGGCTCTGTTCTGTTCCGTTGATCTATATCTCTGTTTTGGTACCAGTACCATGCTGTTTTGGTTACTGTAGCTTTGTAGTATAGTTTGAAGTCAGGTAGTGTGATGCCTCCAGCTTTGTTCTTTTGGCTTAGGATTGTCTTGGCAATGCGGGCTCTTTTATGGTTCCATATGAACTTCAAAGTAGTTTTTTCCAATTCAGTGAAAAAAGTCATTGGTAGCTTGATGGAGATGGCATTTGACCCAGCCATCCCATTACTGGGTATATACCCAAAGCATTATAAATCATGCTGCTGTAAAGACACATGCATACGTATGTTTATTGCGGCACTATTCACAATAGCAAAGACTTGGAACCAACCCAAATGTCCAACAATGATAGACTGGATTAAGAAAATGTGGCACATATACACCATGGAATACTATGCAGCCACAAAAAAGAGTGAGATCACATCCTTTGTAGGGACATGGGTGAAGCTGGAAACCATCATTCTCAGCAAACTATCGCAAGGACAAAAAACCAAACACTGCATGTTCTCATTCATAGGTGGGAATTGAACAATGAGAACACTTGGACACAGGAAGGGGAACATCACACACCAGGGCCTGTCGTGGGTGGGGGGAGGGAGGAAGGATAGCATTAGGAGGTATACCTAATGTAAATGACAAGTTAATAGGTGCAGCACACCAACATGACACATGTATACATATGTAACAAACCTGCACGTTGTGCACATGTACCATAGAACTTAAAGTATAAAAAAAAGACAAGACTGGGCAATTTACAAAAGAAAGAGGTTTAATGGACTTAAAGTTGCACGGGGCTGGGGAGGACTCACAATCATGGCAGAAGGTGAAAGGCATTTCTCCCATGGATGCAGACAAGAGAACAGAGCTTATGAAGGGAAACTCTGCCTTATAAAGCCATCAGATCTCGTGAGACTTATTCGCTATCACAAGAACAGCATGGAGAAGATCTGCCCCCCAGGATTCAATTACCTTCCACCAGGTACCTCCCACAGTACATGGGAATTCAAGATGAGATTTGGGTGGGGACACAGCCAAACCATATCAGTACCCATAAGAAATGGTACCTCATATTTCAAGGAAAGTTCCGGTAAACTTTCTGTGTCAGATTGCTTTATATCTTAGCCCATCTCTGCCTACGGTTAGTTTTAAAAACATTTTAGAGGATTATGTGGTTATTTTTACTTTTTACATCTGTGT
Organism: Homo sapiens; assembly: GCF_000001405.40. Lineage (NCBI taxonomy): Eukaryota > Metazoa > Chordata > Mammalia > Primates > Hominidae > Homo > Homo sapiens. The sequence goes on along the minus strand of NC_000010.11, from coordinate 106,797,835 downwards.
GCCACTCTGGGGTTGCCCTGCTCCCTGGGTACCTGGACTGCACAATCAGAGATGCAGTCTGAAAAAGCCATCATCTGGGAGCATCTGGCTGCATGGACTGAAGGTGGTAAAAGCAAATTGGCCATCTGCTGGGGCTGGTATAGACATGGAGATGATACTGAATAATATTCAGATTGATGTTTTACCCCAAGCGTGCTTGGAGAGGTTTTGTTTTGCATGTTTTTCAGCAGACCTGGTTTAAAAATTCATGAATGCACCTGGTTGGTTGTTTCTACCCTCTGTTTTTCATGTATTCTGGCACTGCTAAAAAAAAAAGCAACTCCTCAGCAAGAGACTAAATTGGAAAAGGATTGTATTCAGAGTTTAGAAGAAAATCTGTGTGGTTTTCATGAAAATCACCTAAGTATAGATGTTGGGGTCAGGATTTCCAAGAGTTAACAACATCATGTAGTTTACTTTTCAGTCTTAGAGAAATTTAGGCAAATGATATATTTGAAAAAAAAAATTGTATATTTGAGTTAAATGCCATTGTCTAGGAATTCCAAAATGCTCAGAGGTTTTTGAAACACTTTGATGCAGATAAAAAGAGCCAGAGCAAAATGACAGTGTTTTTCCCAGTAAAGAATCTTACTGAATCTCTTAGAATAAAGATGAAAGATAAGTAAAAAAGTGGTTGTTATCCTGTCTGAGAAAGGTACATTCTTTTATTTTTATTATTATTATCTTTTTGAGACTGAGTCTTGCTCTGTCGCCCATGCTGGAGTGCAGTGGCGTGATCCCGGCTTACTGCAACCTCCGTCTCCCAGGTTCAAGCGAGTCTCCTGCCTCAGCCTCCCGAGTAGCTAGGACTACAGGCACCCGCCACCACGCCCGGCTAACTTTTGTGTTTTTAGTAGAGACGGGATTTCACCATGTTGGCAGGATGGTCTCAATCTTCTGACTTCGTAATCCATCCGCCTTGGCCTCCCAAAGTGCTGGGATTACAGGCAAGAGCCACTGTGCCCGGCCAGGTACATTATTTTCTAGGTAAGATTTACTTTTGGTTTGAGTGGAAACTCTAGTTAAACTATGGATTAGACAAATTAAATTTGGTTAGGATCCAGGGAACCAATTTCAGATCCATTAGTAAAAGTTTCTAGTTCCCAAACTCTGCTCGCTCTCTTTCTCCCCACCCCCAACTGTCCCTGTCCCTGTCAATCTTTGTCTCTCTCACTCTTTCCCAGGAAAAGAGAAGAAAGATATTTAGCCTAAAGGCTGAGCTTTAATACAGAAAATGACCTTTACATTTTAGCTCAAAGAAGTAAATATAATCTTATAAGTATCATTGGCAATTGAGTCTTGCCGGGATGGGACTTATGAGTATAATGCAGCAGTGGAAGAATTTTCCTTCAGGGAAAAAAACAAATTTGATAAAGGGACTGGTGAGAAACATTGTATGTCAAGAAGATCTACATCTTCTTGAAAATTTCTGATCTTAGATTTAGAAACATGCTGAAGTTTCTATAATTTAAAGCTTCCATTTAGCACAGACTTAATGTCTGCTGTGTCCTTGGCACCCTAGGTTTACCTTGATTTTAGAAAATCTGAACTGTCAACATGTAAATGTAGAAATTCTTCACTTTACACAAAGAAGCAGTGCAGACATTTTAAAAAATAGCAGGCAGTCCTTGTATGTTTTGCTAAATAAGGGCAAAACTTAAGACTAAAATGCTAAGATCCAGTGCCACAGGAAGATCAATTAATGGTGAGAAATGGCATTTTTGGAAAATGTAATATCAATTTATAGGTATATAAGATTTGATTCACTAAAATTTGATTTGTTCATAACCTCACTAGCATGCATCTCTCACCCCAGAAAAACCACATGATGTTTGAACTGGAAGATCACTAGAAACTTTCTCTTCTAACTCAGCATTTGACCATGATGAAATTTGGGCTCACAGATGTTAGTTGGTTTTCTCCCAGCGTCTTAGAACTAGACAGTGGCAGAGATGGACCCCGTATCTCATTCCACGGCACACTGCCTCCCCCTGCTGTCTCTTAGAGGTTGACCCACCTTTACAGAATGTTCCCATTCAATCTCTTTCTTAATTCTAGAGTTGTAGCAAATTTCCTTCATTATACTGGATAACTTCAGAATATGTAGCAAATACCTTGATGCCTATAAATACCAAAGATCACACGAACACCCATTATTTCAATGGCTCAGAATGTTATGGATTTGATCATCTCCCGAAACAGAAAGGATCATTATAGCCAGAGCTTCTTACCCCTCTTTTAGCCAGCAACCCCACATCACGTGGTCTAGTCCTCAGTGTTCCTATTGTTATTATTTTGCATCTTGTTTTCACAGATAAACTTGAAAAAGCTGAATTTGATCTAAACCTTACAGAAATTCTAGATCCAGTTCTAAGAATGAGTTGATAACTGTTAAGTATCTACTATGTACCAAAAAGGGATACTAACCAATCACTAGTATCCCAAAGTATGTTTCTCAGAACCTTAGTTCTCTAGAAGCTTCCTGGGCAAAAAACAAAAAACAAACAAAAAAAAACAACTAGATTATATCTTTGAATACATTTGACAAATTATCTTCGACTCTTCTTGCTGTAGGATGCACTTTCCAAAGACTTTAATAAACCAAAGGAACCTGTTTTATTTTCTGCATTCTGGTATCCCCCAAATTTACATGACTATTGAATTCTTATGGTGTTAGAACTTTTAATTTCACTTAGAAAATGCTACATTCATTGTGTTAGCTCCATCAAATCATAATGAACACCCACTCTGTGAATTGTGTATTGTTAGCCTCATTTCATAGCTATAGAAATAAAGGATCAGACATAAGAAGTGATTTCCTAAGGTCGTGTGAGTGAGCAGAATTGGGGGACCCCTGGTTAAGTTTATGATCTTAGCTCCTACAGGAGTCTCAACTCAAATACCTATTGACTTACACAGGTAATTGTAGATGAATGGAGTGACTAGGGAGTCTATGAATACAGAAACTTTATTTTAAGAAAAGGAAACAATGAGGGCCCGGTGTGGTGGCTCACGCCTGTAATCCCAGCACTTTGGGAGGCCGAGGTGGGCGGATCATGAGGTCAGGAGGTCGAGACCATCCTGGCTAACACGGTGAAAACCCGTCTCTACTAAAAAACACGAAAAATTAGCCGGGCGTGGTGGCGGGCGCCTGTAGTTCCAGCTACTCGGGAGACTGAGGCAGGAGAATGGCGTGAACCCGGGAGGCACAGCTTGCAGTGAGCCGAGATCGTGCCACTGCACTCCAGCCTGGGCGACAGTGCGAGACTCTGTCTCAAAAAAAAAAAAAAAAAAAGAAAAAGAAAAGGAAACAATGCTAGTGAGCATAGGACGTTGTAGGAAGTGAGGAATATTTCCAGTGTTTAATGTGCTCTCTGCCCGCTAAATCTGTTTGTTGTTCTGTTTGAACAGCCAGAAGGATGCAATACTTTGTTTTAGCTAAGAATGTATGCTTTTTTCCCCTTACATCAATAAGAAATGCCAACAGAGACCTGCTTTTAGTTTTAACAAGATAACAAAAGATGATGTGGGTGGTGGTAACCTGGAAAGCTTATGACCTCTCTATAGGGGATAGCAGTTCTAGAGTTGTTGTAGAGTATGGCCATATGGGAATAATGTCCAGGACATCTGGACATTGTTGGAAAATCTGTTAAACAGTGCTCTTTGGGCCAATATTATCTACATCAAATAGAACTCGGGTGCTGGTCAGAGTCAGTCTGTGGACTATGGGGTTCTAATGTTTGCATTTCACTATGCTACTTGCCAAAGAAAAAAGGTCTGCCACTGAAATCATTCTTTGTAGCCTGATGGTTTCCTTTGTGGCAGTTATACATTCTGTGGCTTCAGGAATTTGTTGAACATTGAAAAGGCACATGTGCTCATTTACATTGTTGGCAAGTGTTAAATTGGGGAGACATATGTTTTGTTTATTCTGTCTTCCTGTTAGATCCTTAAAGAGGATTGATTGTCAGACTCAGCAGTAGCTTTATAAGTAGTGTGTTTTGGAAAAGTATTTTCAGAATTGCCAGTACTTATACATTTGGCTGGAAATAGCTATAAAGTATGCTTGGAATCCTGGTGGACATATTTTGGGTAATGCTTAACTGGTCATCTGCCTGGATTTAAGAGTATTTTTCTTTTGCCTAACGCTGTTATTGTGTGTTTCTGAAACACTCCTCTTAGCTGAACCAATGTAATAACCTCTTAGCTTGAACTTCCTGCCCCCCATTCTCTTGTCTTTAACACAATCTCTGTATTACCTCCAAAGTGATCATTCTGAATGAGCTATACTCTTTCTCTTCCCCTGCTTAAAAATCTTGATTCTGTATGTATGCCCCTGAATAAATAGGTTCTGTTGCTTTAGTCAAAATCGCTTTACCTGGCAAGTAAGTCTCTTTCAACTTGGCTGTAGACTGCTTTGCCTAACTTTAGCCAAACTGAGGAACTTGCCATTACCAAAACATGTAATGCATGCCCGCATTCCTCTGCTTTTGCATACGTGATTCCCCTGTCACGAATCTTTCCTACTTATTCTGTTAAACACCTTTACTTCCTTCAGAACTAATTTTGGTGTCAGGTATTCTGTGGTTACATCTCTTATTCCAGCAATAGGAAAAAAAAGTGCTTTTCCGTGTTCTAGTAAAATTTTGTACATTTCAATAGCTCTGCAATGGTAGTTTCATTGATCTGTTATTTTTGTGGTGTTATCTGTTGTAATAAGGCATTTAGTGTCTTTTTCATTATTTAATCCCAAGTCTTAAGCACAGGGACTGTCACTTGGTTGCAGAAACTTCTTAAATTAGATTTTAAAAAAAATGAAATGAATGGTTGAATGATGAACATCTGCTCATCCCACAAAGAATGAAATTTTCCTCTCAAAAAAGTGATGTTTTTCCAAAAGTCGTGTTTTTCTATTTGTTCTTGAAAGGCCTAAAAAAGGATTCTAAAAATTTTAATTTTTTTGAATATTTATTATATTCATTAAAATATTTTATAGACAAGGCACATAAGGTTCCATTTAGTGTATCACTTATGAATTGAGTGTAACGTGTGTCAAAGAGAGAATTTCTATTTATTTCACATTTTCACTTATGTTTTAGACAAATTTTAAAATGTTGGTTAGTTACTCTATAAGCCCGTGCTTACGAAGACCTGCTTATTATGTGCTCTAATGGTTAAGATGCAGTCCTGGGAAACCAGGTACTTGGGTGTGAGCCATGGAAATGCCAAGGATGCTCTGGAATAATCTTGGAGGAATGATTATGTCTCTCCATGCCTAATTTCACTCTCTTGAGGTTTGTTTCAATTTCCAGTTGGAATATCCTAATTAACATTTGTAAAGCGCTGTGTAATGCTTAAATGAAAAACGTCATGTGAGTATAAAATCTTTTGAAATAGCAGTTTAACAAATTTGAGTTTTTTGTGCAATGAGCTATTTTTTAACATCTTAGAATTTATAAAAGGATAACCAGAAAGGTTTGACTGGGAATTGATGACATAGTACAAAAAGGAGAAATAATGTTTTTCTACAGCTCCTTTATTTCGGGAACGCAATTACTGAAATATGCAGTTTAGAGTTTCTAATTTCTTAATTGTCTTCGAGCTTGAAATACGCACTTGGGATCACCCATGTCTATGTGTGTATAATATGTGCAGAATGCTACTGTGTTGTCTTTTTCCAGAAATGTAGATGAAGATAGAAAGTGTGCATAAGCAGACTTATAAACAGACTATGAAGTAAGAATAACAATGTATACAAATCAATAAGAAAAAGAGACATACCCAGAATTTTAAATGGAGAAAAATATGACCAGTCTGTGTATCAAATGAGGATTTCAAGTGAGTAAACATAAATGACAAAAGGATAAAAGGGAGGGAAAAAGGAATGAAAAAATTCACTGTCATTAGGAATGAAAGTGGTATATATTGACATAAAATACATCTTTTTCTCCAGTCATCTTAGAAAACAATATAAAAAGACAGACAAAACCTAGTGTTGCGATAGGCACTTCCAGTTAAATTAGTATACTCTTCTGAAAAACACTTGGTAGTGTGTATCAAAAGTGGTTGCAAAATTCATATTCTTTTTTTGTTTTTGTCGAAATAATGTCTTGCTCTGTCGCCAGGCTGGAGTGCAGTGGCCCGATCTCAGCTCACTGCAACCTATGCCTCCTGGGTTCAAGCGATTCTCCTGCCTTAGCCTCCTGAGTAGCTAGGACTACAGCTGTGCACCACCACGCCCAACTAATTTTGTATTTTTAATAGAGAGAGAGTTTCACAGTGTTGGCCAGGTTGGTCTCGATCTTTTGACCTCATGATCCATCTGCCCGCCTCGGCCTCCCAAAGTGGTGGGATGACAGGTGTGAGCCACCGTACCTGGCCAAAATTCATATTCTTTATCCATAAATTTCACTACTAGGAAATTACTTGAGGAAATAGTAATTGACATACAGAAATGTTAATCTACATTAATCATAATATTAGTGAAAATTGGAAACCTGGTAAATAAGAGATTAATTACATAGTGGCATATTTGTACAATCAATACTATATCACCAATAAAAATGATAACACAGAAGAATATTGAAAACCATAGAAAATCTTCGAAGTGCGGCTTTAAAGTGGGAAAAGCAGGTTAAAAAGCAGGAAGTGTCACACGACACCCTCTTGCTGTATAAATTTCTCTTTCTCCCACTTTGTGTCTCTTTCTGACACCCATAAACATTTATGTATATGTGTGTATATCTATATATGCATAAAACAAAGATTGAAAACAAATATCAAAGTGTCAGTGACAATAATCTCTGCATAGTGATGCTTAAGTGATTGTTCTTTTATTCTGAGTACGTTTTTGGGGACATTTTTCAAAAATATCTGCAGTTAATGCATATTTTTTCTTGTTCATATGTGAACACAATACCTAAACTTTAAAGCAAATAATATGACTAAATGAAAAGAAACAAAATTATTGTATCTTTGACACAAAGATTCATACCTAGCAAGAGCTAGACATCGGACAAGTAGCTTAAAAACCTGTCCGGCCATCACTAGGAGCACTCTTTGTCTTCATTCTTTTATTCTGAATTTGAAACCAACCCAATAGTCCCATAGACTGTCGTTTTGGATAAACATAGAAATTGACCTTTCTGGTCAATTGAAGCTTGAGGCTTACATTTGTTTTATCTGAGTTCCTTCCTTAGGAAAGGACCTTCAAGCCTCTCAAAAAAAAGTATCAAATAACTGAAACTCACCAGATTACCACATCCTGACAATGAGAAGCTTGGACCCCTCTTTCACTTTGATTGCTTCCTTGCCCTTCCTTAGTTCCTGTTTTCTTACACACGATTACATTTCTTCCCTGCTATATAAACCCCTAGTTTCAGTCAGTCAGGGAGATGGATTTGAGACTGAGTTCCCAGCTCATTGGCTGCAGCACCGGATTAAAGCCTTTTTCCTTGGTAATAACTCATCGTCTCAGTGATTGGCTTTCTGTGTGGTGAGCATCAGGACCTAGAACAAACCTCTGATGTTACAGTAACAAATTGAAGGAATTAAGTCCAGTACCAATTGTTGAGCATCAGGACCTAGAACAAATCTCTGATGTTACAGTAACAAATTGAAGGAATTAAGTCCAGTATCAATTGTTTATGAATTGAGAAGCACCATGATGTGGTTAGGCTTTGTGTCCCTACCCAAATCTAATCTTGAATTGTTATCCTTAGGTGTTGAGGGAGAGACCTGGATCATGGGGATGGTCCCCACCCGACCCTAACTATTCTCATGATAGTGAGTGAGTTCTCAAGAGATCTGATGGTTTTGTGTTTGGTAGTTCCTCTTGCTCACCTCTTCTTTCTCCTGCCGCCCTGTGAAGAGTTGCCTTCTGCCATGATTGTCAGTTTCCTGTGGCCTCCCCAGCCACGCAGAACTGTGAGTCAATTACACTTCTTTGCTTTATAAATTACCTAATCTTGGGCAGTTCTTTAGAGCAGTGTGAGAACAGACTAATACAGTGAATTGGTACTGCAGAGAGTGGAGTACTGGTATAAATTGAAACTGCATAACAGGCAGAGGTTAGAACAGTTTGGAGGGATCAGAAGACTGGAAGATGTGGGAAAGTTTGGAACTTCCTAGAGATTGGTGAATGGTTTTGACCAAAATGCTGATTAGTGATATAAACAGTGAAGTCCAGGCTGAGGTGGTTTCAGATAGAGATGAGGAATTTGTTGGGAACCAGAGCAAAGATCACTCTTGCTATACTTTAGCAAAGAGACTGGTGGCATTTTGCCCCTGCCCTAGAGATCTGTGGAACTTTGAACTTGAGAGAGATGATTTAGGGTATCTGGCAGAAGAAATTTCAAAGCAGCAAAGCATTCAGGAGGAAGCAGAGCATGAATTTGAAAAATTTGCAGTCTGACAATGCAGTAGAAAAGAAAAACCCATTTTCTGGGGAGGAATTCAAGCTGCCTGTAGAAATTTGCATAATTAGCAGGCAGCCAAATGTTAATTGCCAAGACAAGGGGGAAAATGTCTCCAGGGCATGTCAGAGAACTTCATGGCTGTCCCTCCTATCAGAGACTTGGAGGCATAGGAGGGAAAAATGGTTTTGTGGGCCGGGCCCAGGGCACTGCTGCTGCTCTGTGCAGCCTAGGGACTTGGTGCCCTCTGTCGCAGGCGTGGCTGAAAGGGACCACCACACAGCTCAGGCCATTGCTGTGGAGGGTGCAAGTCCTAAGCCTTGGTGACTTCCACATGGTATTGGGCCTGCATGTGCACAAAGTCAAGAATTGAGATTTGGGAACCTCTACCTAGATTTTAGAGGATGTATGGAAATGCCTGGATGTCTTGACAGAAGTTTGAGGCAGGGGCAGAGGCCTCATGGAGAACCTCTGCTAGGGCAGTGCAGAAGGGAAATGGGTCAGTGCCCCCACACAGAGTGCCCACTGGGGCACTGCCTATTGGTGCTGTAAGAAGAGGGCCACCGTCCTCCAGACCCCAAAGTGGTAGATCCACTGATAGCTTGCACTGTGCCCCTGGAAAAGCCACAGACACTCAACACCAGCCCATGAAAGCAGCTGGTGTGGGAGGGGTGCCGTACCCTGCAAAGCCACAGGGGGAGAGCTGCCCAAGACAATGGGAGCCCACCTCCTGCATCAGCATGACCTCAATGTGAGACATAGAGTCAAAGGAGATCATTTTGGAGCTTTAAAGTTTAATGATTGCCCCGCTGGATTTCAGACTTGTGTGGGACCTGTAGCCCCTTTGTTTTGGCCAATTTCTCCCATTTGGTGTGAGCATTTACCCAATACCTGTACCTCCATTGTATTTTGGAAGTAACTAACTTGCTTTTGATTTTACAAGCTCAGAGGCAGAAGGGACTTGATTTGTCTCAGATGAGACTTTGGACTGTAGATTTTCGAGTCAATGCTGAAATGAGTTGAGACTTTGGAGGACTGTTGGGAAGGCATAATTGGTTATTAAATATGAAAAGACATGAGATTTGGGAGGGGCCCAGGGCAGAATGATATGGTTAGGCTTTATGTCCCTACCCAAATCTCATCTTGAATTGTAATTCCTGGGTGTTGAAGGAGAGACCTTGATCATGAGGGTGGTTCCCCTCATGCTGTTCTCATGATAGTGAGTGAGTTCTCATGAGCTCTGTTGGTTTTATAACTGTTTGATTAATTTATCATCCAAGTCATATCTGCATGTCAGTAATAATATTTATGATGGTGCTATAGGAATAAGCCAAGACTTTCAAAGGCAACATGTAATGTATGTTCACCCTATTCATGACACATTCAAAGAAAGCCAAACCATCTATGAACTGTCTTTCATATGATCAAGGCAGCTCTTGAATCAAGATCAGACAACTTTTAAAATGACAGTATCTTCATGAACTTATTCAACTTATCATGAATATGAACCTGGGTCTGAAAATGGCTTTTGTATAGTCACAAAACAGAATTGGAGCTTTTATAATTGGACTTCATGGTAGCCCCTTGATTAGGAATTATTCTGATTGATGAGGATCCTTGCCTATAAGCAATTGTGGTGACTAGCTGTATAAAAGATACTAGGCCAGATCCATAAAAGATCGTGTTGTTTGAAACGGTTTAAAGAAGGCAACATTTTTGTTCCCTTTGCATACAAAATACTTTTGGGGTGTTGAGAAATACCACTGATGTCAAGAGAGCTGATTTTGTGGTTATTTTCTTGAAGTGTGGATTCCCTGTTGGTAATAACTTGGAGCAGATGAGTGTTTTATAGGGTTGGCATAGCAGCAGCAGGAATTGAGCTATGCAGCCAGATGCAAATACAATTTTAAAAAATAATAAAATAAAAATTTTAGATGGTTTTATGTGGGCCTGGGCATGATAAAAATTGAACTTTCTTTATGTTTCTAGAATACATTTACCATTCACTTTCAGACCTAAATGGCCTTTTGTTGTTGTTAGCCCAAGGATACCTGAAAATCATTAGGTTTATTTTAAGATCCATTTTCCAAACTGAAGGGAACACTAAGTATCCTATTTTCAATTTCTGGTTTATGTTGTAAATGATATCAGTGCTTTCTCTGTGAGCATAGAAGAGCAAGGACTACTTTGCTCTTAAGAAACCCATATTTCATGATATCAGATCCTTAATTAAATGAGGGGATTATAATGCCTAGATATAGGTTCTTTTATTAGAGAGTTGCTTAGGCACACTTTAATGGACATTGAACTGGTCTATTCTTCTATAATTTAATCTGGGTAATTTATGTACCCTGAAAATTCACACACTGAAATTACTCAACCTTGGCTCCCTTAATGTCCCTGAGAGGGACTAAACAATGCAATTCACTTGGTCTTCAATAAATACACTTACCTTAATCTGATAACAGATTAGAATTTTTCAGCCTTCAAAAGTTTAAGGTAAGACCCAATGAAAATTCTGGCAACTTCAAGATATCTATATCCCAGGAATTCTATGATTATGAGGACATTTTAATTCATATTGAATATAATAATTACAACTTTTTATCATATCTATTTTTAAAAATTATGTGACAAGTTTTACAGAAGATAGTTGTGGTTACTTATCTTCAATATGGCTTGCTTCTGTGTGTGTGTGTTTGTGTGTGTGTGCGTGTGCATGCTTTTCTTCCCTTGAGAGGTGAAGTCTATTTTTTTCCTCCCATTAAGTCTGGCCCAGAATTCTTTGACCAATAGCATGTGGCAAAATTGATGTCCTGGGTCTTCCAAGGATGGGTCATGCAAAGCTTTGCACCTTCCACTTTAGCCCTTTGGAATACTTGATCTTGGGACATTCACACTGAAGGAAACCACTGCTATATAAGAAATTCAACTATTATGAAACTGCCATGTTATGTGATGTTCAGCCACATGGGGGGTCCTGGAGGATGTGATGTCATGCAGAGAGAAAGGGAGAGGTCCAACCAGATACAGGAATGAAGGAGCCATCTTGGAAGTGAAATATCCAACTCTGGCCACCACAGTTGACATCATGTGGATTTGAGACTACCTACTCAGCTCAGCTTTTCCCAAATTCCTGACCCACAAAATCTTAAACAAAACAAAATGCTTGTTTGAAGCCACTGTTCTGAGATAGATTGTTATACAATACATAAGTAGAATAGAACTCCTTTTCTCTTTAGTATACTATGTCAGTTCTAATGCTTCTGAGGTATGTATATTGAGATAGAATTAAACCTAGAATATGCAGTCATGAAAAAAATCATCTTCATAAAACACCGCACTGCTGTCTTTCCTGCTGTGACTGAAATCCAAAAAGAGAGAGGAAAGCAGCAGATGATGTAATTATGCTCTGACATGTCAATTAAGCACATTGACCCTTTTCCACCTCTCATCAACAACTTGAGATGATCAATGTTTGTCATTAAATAACTGAAGAAGGAAGGAAAATTTTACATGAAATGGACCTCATTGTTAATATGAGAGGCTTCCTCCTGGATGACCCCCTCTAGGCCCATCTTCCAAAGAGCTCTGCAGTAGAGCTGCACCAGGCTATTCTCACTTCACTAATCTGCAAATCCTGTATAAGAGAAATCCCTGGTGGTCTCCGTAGTCTTTTCAGGAAAGCTTTAATAGTCAAATACATTAGCAAGGTCTCACGTGGCTGAGACTTCATTAATCTTCCCCAGTACACCCTAGTATATTTGCCAGTTTATCATGAAGCATTAATATAAGTAAAATTAAAACGTACTTGTTAGTGTAGGAAAGGGAAAAAATTCCCTCTACCCTCTGAGTGCTTTATAATTGAGTCCATGAAATAAACCATCACTGGACAGATTAATAAGAGAACAGGTAAACAAATGTATTACATGTACAGGGGCATCACATGAAAGAAAAGTGAATACCAAAAACCCAGTGAGATCTAAAAGCTTATATGCCCACTTCATAGGAAGGAGGAGAGGAGGGATGTAGGCAATTTAGGGAAAAGTAAATGAATTTTGGGAAAGACAAATGGGCCCTCAGAAGAACAGGTGATAGCGAGTCTGGTTGTAATGTCAACTTCTAGTCTCTTCTGTAATCTGAGTTCATCTTTGGTTGATGAGATTCCTGGGGAAGGAAATTATGACAATTGAGTTATTTTAGATCAGTCTTCAGACAGATAAGGAGAGCTCAGAGAGAGCTCCTGCCAGCATTGGCTGTTCCCCAAGAGCCCTCAGTTTGAGGTAATCAGTGTACCAAAGCAGGGTATTTTGGGGTGGCATTTCCTGAACTCCTTCATTAGGATGATGATACAAATACAGCAAGGGATGAAGAATGTGGATGGATTCTGTTCACTGATTTTTAGAGTGGATTAATGTCTATGGACTTTTCATTTTACTTTCCTGACTTTCAACTTGACACTTATTCAAACTCTAAAGTCAAGTACACAACTTACAGATTTTACCAAAAATGGATTTCCCTCACTTAAATCAATGTTAAGATAGACTGATAGCTTCTCTTTCCTGCTCTCTCTTCCTTCTCACCTGTGTTTCTTTATCATTTCTTGTGGAATAAAGAGATTTCTTATCATTAAATGAACATCATTTCTTGTAAAGTTTCCCATGAGCAAAGAAGATGAATGTCTGTTTCTCTTAGCATCATGGCTCCTTCTGATAGCAGCTAACATTTTAAAATGATGTAACCTTTTGGCATTTATAGACCTTTGGGGATTTAAGAGAGAAGTTACTTTGGGACTTGTAATGTTGATGGAAGTGTGTTCTGATTGGGTTGGAACGGAGGCTATAGGATAATGAGATTTTTAAGGTGGCTCAAATATTCTCAAGGTATTTAATTAGTTCTCATAGTGACTGCAATAATAAAAACATTCTTTGAATGTGTACATCATTATTTCCCTCTGAAATACCATGTTTAGGTTTTTTTTTTTTTTTTTGACGGAGTCTCCCTCTGTCGCCCAGGCTGGAGAGCAGTGGCGCGATCTTGGCTCACTGCAAGCTCCGCCTCCTGGGTTCATGCCATTCTCCTGCCTCAGCCTCCTGAGTAGCTGAGACTACAGGCACCCACCACCACGCCCAGCTAACTTTTTGTATTTTTAGTAGAGATGGGGTTTCACTGTGTTAGCCAGGATGGTCTCGATTTCCTGACCTCATGATCCGCCTGCCTCGGCCTCCCAAAGTGCTGGGATTACAGGCGTGAGCCACTGCACCCGGCCCCAGGTTTAGTTTTTTAAACCAGATGACCCAATGCTAAGCATTAGTGAATATTCCATATTCTGCACTGTCACCTCATATGATATTAATAATAGCAATTTCTCCAGTAAAATGAGTCTGTTTTTTTTTTAAATGACAGTTAAGCATGGGATGCACTTATTAGGAAAATAGTTACACTGTAATAGTTCTTATTTGCTTTAGCATAAACTTCTTTGCGAACTAGCATGTGGGAAAATGTTTCTCCACCAATAAGAACATTACATCAGAGATTTTTGCCCATTCCTATTATCCTTTTCCCATCCATTTTTATGATAAAGCATAAAATCCAATCTACGGAAGAATCATGCTGGAAGGACAAGGTAAAGGAAGCCAGAGCCATTGTGAAAAATCTGGGGTATGAACCATAACTGGCTGTTTTGATCTTCTGACTGTATATTTAAAACCAAGAAATTATCTTTATTTGTTCAAGAATATAGTGTCGTCTTACACTTGTTACTGGAATTCTCCATTATCTTACACCCCATTTCTTCTTGCTGTCTCTTTTTTTTCATCTAGGCAATATTTTTATGAGATATTTGTAATGCCAGATTTAAATCTCTTTCCCTCTCTTTTTTGGAATTCAACTATCATATTTTAGCAGAACATAAAGTACTATATATGTCATCCTTTGTGAGGTAAACGCAATATTTGCACAAAACTTAACAGTGCTTTTGCACAGATAATCTTATCTGATCTTCACACGAATCTCTGCAGGGCATGACATAGATAACCTTACCACTGACTAGCTGTGCAACCTTGAGCAAATTGCCTCATCTCTCTAAGCCCGATATCAAATGGACATAATGATATCTACCTGAAGTAGTTTTCATAAACAATCTGATGGAATAATTTAGTTTAAAGCTTTAGCAGGGAGCCTGATACACAACAGCTCAATAAATGGCAACTTGTTTGTGGTATCACTACTGTCTTCAATGAGGAAACTGAGACTCAAAAAAAGGATTTAATGAGCTATAAGGTATTCAAAGTGGCACAACTGATAATAGCAGAGAAGAAATTCAAATCCGAGTTTTTAAACCCAGGCCCCTTACTATTTCTTGTGATTGTAGCTTACCTTTCTTCTCATGGTGTGAATGACCTTCACTAAGCACACTCCCTTCTTTTCTATTTTGTGAGGAAAAGTACACATTCATGAAGACATTGACTAGAGCCAGGTTTAGGATTAGGTTATGGCTCTTCCTGTGGAACAGAAGTCTGTGGTGCACCAGCCCCATGCTCAGCCCTGTGGATCAACCCGCCATGGAAATATATACGTGGACATATATTTCCTTTATAGAAGTTCAGTGCCATTCACAATGGTGGAAGCAGATTCTTACAGTAAAATAGTGTTTGTACGTTTGGGTTTCTCTAAATTGTCTCAAAGGAGAAGACTATGTTCAGTAGTCCCAAGTGAAATAAGAAGAGATGTCCTATACGTTTTCTTTTTTGAATCATCTTCCAAGGACTGTAACTCATATGTTGTCATTCCTGATAAACCTTACTCATCTTCTATGTACTCTGTGGAATTGGCCAAGAGGTACTGAATGACTCCTCATTATTGTTACAAATAATAATTAATGGGTTGGGTCTCCTGACAAGGCAATTAACACACATATGAAGGACTGAAATTACATGCTCCTTAAAAAAATGTTTCTTCCCAGCCTTACATGGTGGCTCATGCCTATAATCTGAGTGTTTTGGGAGGCCGAGATGGGAGGATCCCTTGAGCCCAGGAGTTTGAGGCTGTGATCATTCAACTGCACTCCAGCCGGGGCGACAGAGCAAGATCTTGTCTTAAAAAATGTTTTTTATGCTTGTTTTTTTCCGTTAAAAAATCTGAGTCTGTGGATCCTCATTAGAAAACCAGTTTGAAATCAAAAGGACAGAATAAACTCTTTAAAATACAATGCCATAGTTTCCCAGTCATTTCACTGAATCACTTTCCAGGTCACAAGCAGACAGTCTGTTGCCTAAATGTTCTGTTCATCTCAGTATTGAATGACGCGATTTTGTGCTAATAAACAAAGATGGCACATAGGTAAGCTTCGCTGAGTTTGGAAGGATGGGATTTAGGAAAATTGGTTGTGTCATTTCCATCTTCTTACAGACTCATTTCTATCAGTGTGTGCTTGATTTGACTCATTTCTATCAGTGTGTGCTTGATTTGAGCTTTTTTCTTTTTAATCCCCTTCCTCCCCTTCCTTCACTGTTTGTATTTCTGTGATTTTCTTTCCATGGTTCATTCTGGGATCCTGTTCAACTTTCCCTAACACTGTCCTCCAAATAGTTGCCAATTGATAAGCACTTAATTGCTCTTTCCCTCAGCTCATCTGGGAAGGATAAGTACTCAGCCCTCATTGAGAATAGGTAGCTTTTCCACCCTCATTGGTCAGCAGATGACTTACTTTCTCTGATTACATTTTGCTTAATTTGATTTTAATTTTGAGATCAGAGGTTTGCAAATAGACTTTTATTCTGTTTATAGAGAGAAATATTTCTGTTTGAATAAAGTGGGTAGCAGTAGATAACTGGAGTGCCTAATTGCTGCTGTTGCTGTTTTTCTTTGCTGTTGTCATTATCATTATGAAAAGCATTTATTATGCACCTGTGATATGGGCATCTGGAGCTGAATTAAGCTCTGAGTAAAGCAAAAGAGATATCCACACAGCAGCCCATTACCTCTGCTTGATTCCAGCCCATTTATGACAAAGAATAGACAAATGAGCCAACAAATAATGAACAACATATAAAATAAATACTTTTTCCATTAGGACCAAAGAAATGGTACGAAAAAGTATATGCCCGGAGGTGGTGAAGAACTTTTTATTAACTCCACGCCACATAAACCAATAAATGGTGGAATTCCAAGAACAGCATATCTAGGAAAAGAATTTGGAAAACTAAATAGTAGCAGCATTCCTCTGGGAAGAAGGCCCGCAGGAGACGACAACTGGAAGGATCAGAAAGCTGCCTGCCAACCTTTTGTAGAATTACTTCCTGTAGCCATATGTTGAATCTGGAGCAAACTAAAGACAGTGAAAGTGCATTTAATTTTTGATGACACTGAGCTGTCAGAAGGACTAATACCAAAAAAAAAAAAAAGGAGAAGTGACGTATTTGAAATCTATAAATTGCATTTCATGTTCATTTGTCTACTCTAGGAAAAGCAAATAAAGTTTCTTCTTCCTTCTGAAGTGGGTGATGAATGATTGCTTGGAGTTGGGTGGTAGGATCCTGTGTTGCCATTATTGACTTTCTATGGAAACAATTCATCTGCAGGTGCAGTCAGTCGGCACACCCTGCAAGGCATAAGTAAACTGGTTCTAATCACTCATGGGTGGAACTGAACAGGGAATAATTACTTTCCTGATAAAGGCAGTGTCTTTCTCTTATCTTCACCTTCCTTGCCTCAAGTAGAACAGCGAGGATTTGCTCAAGGGGACTGGAAATCCCAGTGTTGCAGGGGCCCCTGGCCTGCAGGCAGCAGAAGGCAGGAATGAAAAGGACTCATTCATTTATTCATTCCTTTATTCATTTACAACAGTATGTGGACCTACTATGGAACAAGCTTTGATCCTGGCAGACAATGACCTCTCTTTTTGGAGAGCTTACTTTAGGAATCTGCAAAGCTTGGATTCATGCCTTTTACAAAGGCATGCTAAAATTCTGTTGTCCAGAACATGCTCCAGAATACAGAGAAGTAAACACAACAAAACATTATTTGTTCAAAGTTACATGAAGAGTCAGAAGGGGATAAAGAGTCATTCTAAACTAGCAAAAATAGGGATTGTTAGGCATCTTTAAGAAATGTAATCTATTGTTTTTGAAGAATATTTGCTAATTTGAACTTACTATTTTGAAAATATTTCTGAGCAGAAAATCTTGTGAGAAGATATGACTTATTCATTTATGAACAATATCATCTATGTCTAAAGACTGGATCATATTTATTATTTTCAGTGTTTGTTTCTCAAGTATGTTAAGGCTTTTTTATTTAGATCGCATTAAATTTTTTACTTATTAGCTTATTTATATTTTATTACTGATAAAATGGTAGGACAAACATCAATTCATTTGAAGCAAAATTATTAAAGAATTTGAATTTAAGACTAAAATAATAAGATTTTACTTATTCAATTAACAATTAGGTACATACTATGTTTCAGTCATTACAACAATCATAATTTAATTAATTTGAAGGTTGTGATTAATTGGAGTACATTATACAGTCATGTGTGTTAACGTGTGTGCATTTGTGTGTCTATGGCTCAGTTAAAAATGAATATTTGGGGGGCTGGGCACAGTGGTTCATGCCTGTAATCCCAGCACTT
Organism: Homo sapiens; assembly: GCF_000001405.40. NCBI lineage: Eukaryota > Metazoa > Chordata > Mammalia > Primates > Hominidae > Homo > Homo sapiens. The sequence continues at coordinate 106,779,748 of NC_000010.11, read as the reverse complement.
TGGGAGGCTGAGGCAGGCAGATCACCTGAGGTCAGGGGTTCGAGACCAGCCTAGCCAACATGGCGAACCCCATCTCTACTAAAATACAAAAATTAGCCAGGAGGCAGAGGGCAGAGGTTGCAGTGAGCTGAGATTGTGTCACTGCATTACAGCCTGGGCAACAGAGCGATACTCTTGTCTCAAAAAAAAAAAAAAAAAAAATATGGGCCATAATGTCAAACTTAAAAGAAAAAACCAGAATAAAATCCTCAATCCACAATAGGATATAGAGATGTGGATAAAGAAGTAGAAAGAAACACAAACATGGTTTAACTTGCAATGATAGGGTCATGAGTTTGTTTTCTTTTTCTTTTGAATTCTACCAGAGGTCTTATGGAGTTGTTTCTGCAATAAGAAAAATAACTAATGAAAAATGGATCCAGATTGACCTGTTTGTTCTGAGTAGAATTGAACAGAAATTTAAGAGAGCAGCCACTGGAATGTTTCTGTAGTACAGACATACCTATAAAGCTCACCGGGAAATTTCTATTTCCCATTATTTCCAAAATGTCAAATTCTCAGATGGAGAGTTTTAGGTGAGGGCTGCATAGAGAAGGTGGGATTTTGGTCTGCCTATTTTCAACATCCAGAAAAAAAGCCAAAGATACGAGTCGCTTTATTTTTATAATATTAAGTTTCCATCTGTTGGGAAATATGTGCGTTACTCTGCCACTCGCACCCAATATTACCTGATACAGGATGTCTTATGCAGTCTGATCACGTGGAGCATAAATGGGTATCAAAAATACTTTAAAGTGATTGATAAAAATCAGCTTGCTTTGGGAATATTCTGTAGGCCTAGTTTGTAATTGTGTTTAATTTTATTTTGATTAAGTATTCTGCCAGGAGAAGCAGGTGGGGAGATCTATACTCATGGGAAAAGAGGAAAGCATATTCTGGCTAACAGGGAACTAGAAAATCAGAGTGGGGAAGGGAATCACCTTGCCTGAGACAATAGATGTTCTATAAAATTGAGCTTCTTCATATTATCATGGAAATGACTTTTCGGCAGTAGTGCAAAAAGGTTGTTTTACATTATTGTTAATTGTGATTGGAGACACAAAACAATATGATCATTTGATGGCTTATTTGTTATTCAAAAAATGACAGGTTTTATGTATTCATAAATATGAACTCACTTGGAAATATTCCTGTGAATTTAGGAGCCATCTAAATGTACTTGCTTAATGCATACACTAGATTTTAATGAAGCCATATGAGTTTATACTTCGTAGATTACCTGATGGCTCCTTGTCGGCCATCTGATGAGGGAACGCCGTCTGCTTGGTGAATGTGAGACAGAGAAATCCATAACTTTGTCAGAATTTATGGTTGGTGGGCAGTGGCTTTCCTGGAACATGGTACAAGAGGCAATTAGTCTTCAGTTTTGTGTGCGCTTTTCATCTTGTCGGGAGTGTAGCTGATAGCAACAGCATTGCCTTCACCCCATTACATCCCTTTTCTCCTCTTCAAGAAGGGGAGGTTGAAAGAACAGCAAGGAACCTTAAATTCGTCCTGGATAGCATAAACAGAGTTTGGGCAGAGTGTCTGGCATGCAATCCTTTTGTGCCATTTACAGTGACAGGACACCACTTTCAAAGATGACACTAACTGTTCAGAGGCTTTAATATGATTGCCTCCAAATGCTTGAGAAAGCTCCATGTGTTTGCCTGGCACTCTGCTCTTTTAAGATATGATTCTATTCCCCTCTCTCTCTCTTTCTTGGAAGTGCAGCATCCTCAGCTGGTAATCTTTAATCCTTGGGCTGCAGTGATTTCTTTTCATACAGCAACACATTAAACACATATTTCATGCTTCCCTGAACCAAATTCAGAAAGTACCAATTAATAAGTTGATGGGGAAGAGGTCAACGGGTAGCATTAAGGCCACCTGTCTGGAGACATTAGGTGCACACTTTGAATGAAAGACCCACAGAGAGTTGGGAATGAAGTAATTTATCACACATTCGTGAAGGCATAAAATGAGGATTTAAGGCAGTTTCGAAGGCAGCTCCTCCATCTTGCTGCTATTGTGATTGATCCCATTGCTCTGGACAAAATTGGGCATCCCAATGAGACAGTGTAAAACGTCTGAAGCTGTGAATTTTTACGTATTTATAGCTTCTTCTGTGGTGCAGACTGTGCAGAGCAACCAACTTTTCTTTCAGAGAGTTTTAGAGAGTCATGTAGACTTAGAAGTTGTGAAGCTTCCATCCATATCTCAGAGTGTTCTGGGCATCTTTCTATGCATTCATTTATTCATTCATTCGACAAATATTTATCAGTGTACCATGCATACTGGACCTTAGTCTAGCTGCTGGGAATTCATCTGTGAACTATACAGACAGCTATCTCTGTTCGCACAGGGTTTATTTTTTAGTAGAGGTTATATAGACAAGAAACAAAATAAATAAGTAAATTATATAGTAGGCTAGAAGGTGATGAGGGTGGTGGGGTAAAATAGCCTTTGTGAAATTCCTAGAGAAAGCTTTAGAGCCTAGACTGACTTAAGACTCAGAAAATCAGGCTAAGTTTGGATGGCGTAGGAAATCATTGAAGTGGAATGAAAAGATTCGAGGTAGGGAAGAAAAACAATGGACTCCATCCTCTTTCTCTTCCACTTTTCCCACAGCAGACTATAACCAGTCTGTTAATCCCCCAAAATGGAAAGTGCATAAGGCACAGTAGGAAGAAGGGAAGAAGGGTAAGTGTTCCAGGTTCAGGAAATAACCTTGGAAATAAAACAAAGAGTCCCCTAAAAGAGAAGAGAATACAGTTATCTATTTCATCCCTCGTTCTTCCAGCTTCTCCTACTCCCTTCATTTCTTTGTAGAAATATTTCTGTAGCATTGATCCAAGATGGAAAAATAATCCTGACAGAGTCAAGGTCCCTGTTTGGCCAAGCATTCTTTGCCTGCCCCTGTCCTTCCCTTGTCAAAAATTAGCTAATTTTCAAGTTTTGCAAATTTGTAAACTTAATTTTCTGTTGTTTCTTTCTCCAACAATTCTTTGCTGCAGATAATGTTACTCACAGACCCGGAGATTGAGAGCAGTTTATTGATCAGCTCAGATGAAGGGGCAACTTATCAAAAGTACCGGCTGAACTTCTACATTCAAAGCTTGCTTTTTCACCCCAAACAAGAAGACTGGATTCTGGCATACAGTCAAGACCAAAAGGTGAGCATACTTACCTTGTTTGAGACAATGAAGCATGGTTCTCCGGGGAAAATAGTGCTAATTTAATCATCTCTCCATTTCACCTCAGTGATCATTTTTGTTCTGAGCAGTAGCCTGACCTCTGTGCTAATGGGACAAGGGAAAGCAAGGAGAGTCTCAGGTTGCTTGTTTAAATCATGTAAATATCTGAAACCACTTACCAAATAAAGATTAGGTGTACTAAGTAAGACATGGTGGAGAAGCAGTTCTCAGCATAGATGCTTAAGGCAGTCAGGAGCCTCTGACCCCCACTGAATTGGAGACAGTGTCTTATGTTTGTGGATTGGTGATCATTTCTCTTGGTGAAAGACCCATGGCTTTTCTCAAACTCTTAAAGGGAAGCATAACCCTGAAAAGTTTAAGAACACGAAGCAGGGTTGTTCTAAAACACTGAGAGAAATGGCCAGAGGAACAATAATGATGTATATAGGTAACCTTATGCAGAACCTAGTCATCTCAGAACTTTTCTTCACTTGGTGGTAAAGTTGAAGAAGTCCACTTCGTAAGAAAGGATTAAATGAGCTCATGGTATTAGCTGTGTGTGTGTATATGTGCATATGACCCATAAAATGTCATCCTATAATATATATTATGTACTCTATACGACATATATACTATAACATACATATGGTCCCTGCCTTTAAGGAACTTGCTTTCTCAGGTAGAATAAAAGGCTAGCAATAGCTAATAAAATTAAATTAAAATGAAAAGAAACAGCATTTACACAGGCAAATGTGAGAGAGACTCTGGCCATAAAAACCAGAGGGATAATTGGTGAAATACTAGAATACTCCTTGTGAAATGCATTATGCAGTGAAGTCATTCTGAGAATTCTCCTTAGAGGGATCATGAATTAGAAATTATATAAATTTAAAGAAATACTGGACTTAACTAAGTGAGGTGAATATTCTGGGGTTTCATTTGTCTGGGTTTGCATAGATATGTGGCATTTTTGAAGGTAGGAGAATGGTATGAGCAACTTCCCAAGGTCTCTACTGACAGGAGCATTTTAAAGGAAGCAAATTAAAATTCTTAAGATTGGAGTTTTATTCATGCTGCCCCTACTGCCAAATAAAATGCACATTAATCCTAAAAATAGAAAGAATTTACAATTCATTTTTTTTTCCTGTTGAGCAGCCTGGCTACCCTTTCAGCAGAATGTACAATTTTGTTTCTGGAGTCAAGCCACAGTGCATCTGGTCCAGGATGGTGCAATTAACAGAGGCGAAGCCTGACCAGCTCAGACAGAGTATTAGTCATTTAATCCACAGGGTTGTTACATTTTATTCGACAGTTGGTTAATTCCCCCCCACCGATGCCAGAGGCACAGCGAGGACCAGATTTACCTGCCTAAGTAAAAGCTTTGCATCTTTGCAGTTATGCTGGAGGAGATGCCCAAATATGTAACCCTTTCGTTCCCAGCACTTCAAAGAGTGCCTCCCATGGTCACTGTGGCAGAGTGGATGATACAAGACCAGTTAGGATGCCTGGGCTGTGACTTCATCCCAGCTACTTATGGTGAATAGTATTTAGCGTTGGTTTCCTTTGCGTTAAAATGTGTTTGTATGGATAATTATAATTGTAGGTACCCTTCCAAAGTGATTTAAAAAGAAACAAATGTTAGATGCCACATCTCTTTTAAGTGCCATGCATGATACAGTGTTGATATAAAATAACAATATTCTATCCATCTGGAGATAGATGATTAACACATATGAGTTGACCAATAGTTTAAGAGAGGCCACAAAGGCAGTGCTGTCACTGAATATTATATACAAGGGACTGGATGAATTACATTAAATTGGTAGCTCAAAGTTCAGGAGATAGAGATCTAGTGATCTGTCTACTCTAGAAGTCTTACAAAATGACTTCAGCTGGACTTTAATGGATATGTCGGATTTCTATTGTAACAGTAGGGGAGGCCAATTTTTTACAACAGGAATGTCATATACATGAAATTGTAAAAATCACATTTACAAAATTGCAAATTTTTCTATTTGGCTGAAACTAAAATTTGTTATAGCTAGTTATAATTTACACACACACACACACACACACACACACACACTTTGGAACCTAATCCTTATTATTTTTCACTGTTTTGGCTGTTTGATTTTTAGGAAAACTAATTTTTGTTTCCTTAATTAGGAGCCTTCAGAAATTTGCATCCAGAGAATGATATGTTTAGGGCTATAGATTTCAAGCGTTAATCAGTAGTAATATCAGTATAAACTGTGGTAATATGAGGTCAAAAACAAGACCAGTTGGGATGATATTACAGCAGTCCTGGCATCAGATGCTAAGGGTAAGAACCAAAAGGTACCCTTTGTGACCACAGACCCAATGAATCCTGTCATTTTAAAGTTGGAAGCAGTCTTCATTTATTTGTTGTTGTTTTTCTGTATGAGGCCAAGGATCTAAATATCTAAGAGGTTAACACATTTTCTCAAAGGGAAAAATCACTAATTGGTATCACATGTGGATATTCTACAAATGGGGTAAGGGGCTACCTGACGTTTGATAGTGTTCTCATTCTTTTTTTTTTTGAGATGGAGTCTTGCCCTGTCACCCAGGCTGGAGTGCAATGGCGCAATCTGGGCTCACTGCAATCTCTGCCTCCAGGGTTCAGGCGATTCTCCTGCCTCAGCCTCCCAAGTAGCTGGGATTACAGGTGTGTGCCACCACGCCTGGCTAATTTTTTGTATCTTTAGTAGAGACGGGGTTTCGCCTTGTTGGCCAGGCTGGTCTCAAACTCCTGACCTTGTGATCCACCCACCTTGGCCTCCCAAAGTGCTGGGATTACGGACATGAGCCACCACGCCCAGCCAGGGTTCTCGTTTTTGAAGGTGATATTTTGAGATGAACAGATGGGAAAGAGCCAGGCTTTCTACTGACCTCTCTGTTTCTTTAAGAGAGGATGAAGGATAAATCATACTGGAAAAAACACATCATGGATAGCCAGCTCTACAAGTAGGAATCAGAGAAGACCTCCGTATCTCAAGGCTTGAATCACAGAATAGGGAGTGGGGCATTCGCTGGAAGGGAGTGAGCCGCAGCCGTTAGCTGATGGCATTGGCTGGAAGTCAAGTTGAGAGGGTCTGTGGCCACTCAGGTGGGTCAGTGATACGGAAATAAAAGCTGACAGTCCCCCATGGGTCGTGGAACTTTTAGCACTGATGAGATGTGTGGCAACAAGGAGGACCATGTGCTGGTGTTGGCTGGCCAGTGACTGCCCTTGCCTAGGAAACAGGAACATTTATTCTTTCATGTAAGTATTGCTCATCAGTTTTTCTGTGACAGCTGCTAATGTCACTGCTGCAGATCTCCCAGCTAGGATCTTACTTAGTATTATCTCTGCTGGATGCTGTTTTACATCAAATTGTGGTGAACAATCCCTTAGAAAATGCATTATTGAGGTGGCAATTCCTATGAACAGGGTCCTCCTCTTTTCTCTTTTTCTTTATTTGCTGGCTTCCTTGTTTTTTTAAGGCATACTCTCCGTCTTTTGAACACATAGCCACATTTATTTTCCCCTTATCTCCCTGACATTGCTTTTTCTCTCCTTCAGTGCATGTGACTTTTAAGCTCCTAAGGACAGAGTTTGGAGCTCCGGCCTGCAGGATAGACCGTATATGAGCTGCGGTACCCTGCTCTAATTGTGTTTCATTTTGGGTGCCTAAATCCCAGTGGAGGCTTTTTGATGTGGGCATTATAAGGGACTCAAAGAGTTTTGTTGAACAGGTGTTCCTTTCTGGTCCAAGATAGAATTTTACTGGATATCAGTCCTATGGGAGGTCATATTAAGATTTTAAAAGGTGGTTTTAATCAGGGAAGAATGTGTATGGCCAAATGTCCTCAGAATTCACAAACCAAGGTTTTTGATATTTTTTGTTTTTACTTAGAAGGAGAAATCTATTTGTGATATTCAACATCTAGGTGGTTGTATTATTAAGGATTCTCCAAAGAAACAGAACCAATAAGGGGAGGAGAGAGAGAGAGGAGGGGAGAGAGAGAGAGAGAGAGATTGATTGATTGATTGATTGATTGATTATGGGAATTTACTCATGTAATTGTGGAGGCTTATAAGTCCCAAGATCTGCCATCTGCAAGCTGGACAACCAAGAATGCCAGTGGTATAATTCAGTCCAAGTTTGAAGGCCTGAGAATTGGTTGGGGGTGGAACCAATGGTGTAAGTCCTGGTCCAAGTCCAAAGTCCTGAGAACCAGGAACTCTGATGTCTGAGGGCCAGGGGAGACAGATGGATATCCCAGCTCAAAAAGAAAGAGGGAATTCACCCTCCCTCTGCCTTTTCTATTCAACACCTCCAAGGATTGGATGATGCTTGCCCACACTGGAGAGGGTGGATTTTCTCAGCCTACTGATTTAGGCACTAATGTCTTCTAAAAAAACCCTTACAGATATACCCAGATAAGTTTTATCAGCTCTTTGGGCATCTCTTAGCCAAGTCGACACATAAAATTGACCACCATCATAGTTGCCAAGAGGTAAATGCTATCTTGTCTGGGGATGTGGCTATCCAGGCACCACTAGAATGACTGAAAGGAAAATGTGTGGAGCCTTTTACCCATTGAAATTCTTAAATAAGTAGCCTGCGTTCATAGGAAACCCTGCCCTGAGACTTATCGAGTAAAGACATAGGAGCTGGACTTGGCCTCTGAAGGGCCTATGTGAGGATGTGCCTTTGGAAAGCCCTGAAATCTTCAGAAAAAGGAACATTATAGATACAATTATAGAGATTCTGTTTCAAATGGACAGGGGGCTACTTGGTGTCTACAATCCCACCCCTCACATTTTTAAAACAATGAATCCTTGTGGAAAGTATGAAGAATTCCATGGCATTTATTATAGGAGCACCAAAATGTTGCTTTCTTTTATTAATTTACTTTTTTTATTTCTATAATTTAAACAGTAGGCAAACCAAGCATTCTACCCATTTAAAAAAATTCTTTGCATTTGGAAACTGAGCAGATAAGAGAAAGGAGATATAGTCCTTTACTTCATTGCTAGCTGACTTTCTTGCCTCAATACAGGAAACCACCCAAGGAAGGCTTAGCAGAAGGCTGAGCCTGCCAGATTACATCTTTATTTCAATTTGGCAATAAACTAGTGTACAAACTGTGCTATAAAACATTGCCTCCAACGGCATCTCTCAGTCTGTCTTAAACACCTCACTAAACATGATGTGTTGGGAAACATTTGAAATGAGAGAAAACAAAGAGCAGATGTGACTGTAAGGAAATTTAAAAAAAAAAAACAGGAGAGAAGTATAAGAATCTGTGTATACCTCAGCTTTGCTGTCTATGCCGGGGTAAGGGCTCTTGGAGCCTCTGTTAGGATTTGCAACGGAGACGTGATTTGTAAAGGGGAGAGTGCCATGTTGTGAAACCAACATGAACGCTGTCAGGACTCTTGCTGCTGAGTGGCTGGAGAGCAGAGGCCCCTTGCTGTCCTTATCCAGACCTCTTCTTCAGGTAGCTCCAGAGAAGGGCCTGCTGCCCCTTACCAGGAGCAGGAAGGGCTGCTCTTCTCCTGTCCTGTGCAATTCCCACCCTTGTGGACGTTCAAGACCACGTAGAGCATGAACGCAGTTCCTATACAAACAGGCAAGAAGTACAACTGAACAAAACAGGCTGGGTCCAGGCTGTGGGAAGTTGGAGAGCAGGTGTTCATTTAGAAGGAGGGAGGGATATTGTCAAGCTCTAGCCTGCTGTTCTTGCCATGTAGGAAGGTGGGTCCAATGTCACCAGACCTTCAGAATTCTTTCTTTTTTTGAGAGAAGTAATTCTGCTTTGTTTTCAATGTGAAGTTTTCTTATTTTTATGTGTGTAACAATGACCTCAGAAATTTAAAAAGAAGCACTGCATAGGACAAATAAACCTCATCTGCTGCCCTGTGGTTGTCCTTTCTTCTTTCCCATTATCTTTGTTTTTCTTTGTTCATGGGTCTCTCTTTTGATTTTATTTGAGAAGATGTTAATTTTTTTTTTTTTTTTGCGATTTTTTGAAAAAAGTACATTCAAATAAATGATCGGTTTTGTCGAGGGAGAATAAAACTTTTAGGACAGTTTGGTGGGCCACCCTTTATTTTGTGGCAGTTCTAGAATATTTGTAAGTTTATATTGACTCGCTTATTTTGGAGCTCTATGAGTCCAAGTAAGAACATGTGGAAAACTTGCTTCATTCCTGATCTTCTTTAAATTCCAAAGGATCACAGTTTATGAAATAAACAGAAAATCCTAAGGCCTGTATGTTGGCCTTCCCTTCAACATTTTTTGGTACATATGTGTCAGATACCAAAACATACTTTTAAAGGCAGAAAACAGGCTTTGATAGGGAGGTTCTGTTTACAAATAATGGAAAATCTAATTTTTTCTTCTTTTTTTGAGACAGTCTTACTGTCTTGCCCAGGCTGGAGTGCAGTGATGTCATCTTGGCTCACTGCAACCTCTGCTTCCTGGGTTCCAGCGATTCTCCTGCCTCAGCTTCCCGCATAGCTGGGATTACAGGCACCTGCCACCATGCCTGTCTAATTTTTGCATTTTTTTAGTAGAGACTGGGTTTGACCATGTTGGCCAGGCTGGTCTCGAACTCCTGGCCTCAAGTGATCCGCCTCGGCCTCTGAAAGTGCTGGGATTACAGGCGTGAGCCCTGTGCCTGGCTGGAAACTCTAAATATTAACAGCTGGCATTCTCTTCAGAAATGAAGGCTGACTTTCAGTTAAAATCATATGGTGATAGAAAAGGAAAAATGGACTGCCAATGTGATGAACAGCCAATGACAGAATTTTAGTAACATGCATAAAAGTGAATTTTATTAAAAAAGAACTAATTTTAGTTCTCTGCCTTCTTTCTCTCTCTACCAGTCCTGCAATGTTTTTAAAGTTTCATATCTATTCTACATGTATATCTATAAACATATCTATAAACAAAAAATCTTCTCTTTATTCCTTTTAATTGTTCCTTTCTTTCTTTCTTTTTTTTTTTTTTTTTGAGACGGAGTCTAGCTCTGTCACCCAGGCTGGAGTGCAATGGCGCGATCTCAGCTCACTGTAACCTCCGCCTCCTGGCTTCAAGCGATTCTCCTGCCTCAGCCTCCCAAGTAGCTGGGATTACTGGCACCCGCCCCCACGCCCGGCTAATTTTTGTATTTTTTAGTAGAGACGGGGCTTCACTGTGTTGGCCAGGCTGGCCTCAAACTCCTGACCTTGTGATCTGCCTGCCTCAGCCTCCCAAAGTGCTGGGATTACAAGCGTGAGCCACCGCTCCCAGCCAATTGTTCCTTTCTTTTCCTGAGTGAGCCTTCACAGAAGGGCAATACTTATCATGGCTGCTTTCAATGGCAGACATTCCCTGGGAAATATTGACTACTTAATAAAGAAATAGATGCCAGCGCTTTCAAAATCTCAGTCATACTAAGGTTTCTCACCACTGACCGACAGTAGAGTGAGCTGGTAAGAGGATCAGCTCTCTGCTCTGTCACGTCCTACCCCTGCTCTGTGACCTTCAACAGGTCGTTTAAATGTAGTTTCTCCAACTGTAAAGTGGGAACAATAATAAGAGTACCTGGCTCATGGGACTATTTGATGATACTGAGATAACGCATGCAAAATATGAACACAGAGCCTGACACATAGCAAACATGGCATAGATGCCAGCCAGTGTATTATCCAAAGACCTGAAAGAAAGCACCCCTGGTGTGGTGCAGCTGGAATTAGACAAAGCATGTCTTAGGCAGAGGCTGTCTTATCCCTGTGCCTTTCCAGTACGCAGAGCTACAGGCACTTTAATCAATTTAATTTAAATGCCTTTTTAGACAATCACTAAAAGGTCCCATGGAAGCAGAATGAATGGAACAGGACCGACAGATATGTGGTACTTAGAAATATTATTGATTATAACAATAGAAAACCATTAAATATTAAAGTATTTATCTTCACATTAACTCTATTTGTTTTTTAATAGACCTAGCAGCCCCTTAATGTCAAAAGGGCAAGATTGAGATAAAGACAAATTGATCCTTGAAATTCAACCCCCTGGGGATATTCAAATGATTTCTGCACAAGCACAAACACTTAGGAAACTGATATCTACCTAATGCCATCATGTTTCCCCAAGGCACTGCATTAAGTTAAAAGGCACTCAGTTTTTTATAAGAAATATGTTGAGCATTATATACCATGCTGGTTTGGCAGGATTTTCATGTGCTTGAAATTTCCCAGTGTCAGATCTGATTTCTAACCTCATGAATATGTGAGTAATTTAAGTATCCAAGTACAAAACTGGCAATTAGAGTGGAAACCAGGGAGCTCGCTAAATGTCAACCCCAACACTTGTTTATAAAACGAATTCTCAAGCTGAAATGCCATCATATGCAAACAAGGAAGGCCTACTACGTTCACCTTAGATACTGTGTTTAAACAGGTTGTATCATTATTTTTCAATTGCTACCTGGAACAGTTTGATTTGCCTGTTTCTAATGATTTCGGGAAAAAAAAATAGAGCTACAAGAATAAGGAGAAATGAACATTTTAAAACAAGCAATTGGGTTTAAGATTTGAACAGGCACAATTGTGCTATTTAATAGTTTTGTAGGCTTTGAAAGAGAGGTATTTGTTTGTCCAAATTTTTAGCTAGTTCTTCATCTGTTCTATGCCACCAACGCTTGTCTTTAAGAACCTTTAAGGGGCCGGGCGTGGTGGCTCATGCCTGTAATCTCAGCACTTTAGGAGGCCAAGGCAGGCAGATCTCTTGAGGTCATGAGTTTGAGACCAGCCTGGTCAACATCGTGAAACCACCCCTCTCTACTAAAAATACAAAAATTAGCCGGGCGTGGTGGTGCATGCCTGTGATCCTAGCTAATGGGGAGGCTGAGGCAGGGGAATCTCTTGAACCCTGGAGGCAGAGGTTGCAGTGAGCCGAGATGGCGCCACTGTACTCCAACCTGAACAACAGAGCGAAACTCTGTCTCAAAAATAAATAAATAAATAAATATATAAGAATCTTTAAGGCCAAGATTTTATCTTATCATTTTCCTATATACCTCCAGACCTGAATGCACAGGAGGTGTTCACAAATCAAACTCGCCCACAGTCATATATTGGCCCTCCCTTCCCAACCGGCTCTAGTTCCGTAAGTCTAATCTTCCAAGCTTCAGAGTACCACCCTCAACTGTAGGGCATTTGACAGACTTCAGTGACAGCTGGGGAATGGGCAGTGACAAATTTGATAAATCCAGCTGTAGGAGAGATTGGTGGAACCAGCAATAGGCCATCATTCCTGCCCAGCCTTCATCAGCAAAGCCTGACTGTTCAGCTTTGATACTCTTATCTTTTGACCTTAATGACATTTGGATCCAGTCTACATCAGCTCCCCACAAGTATTGGTAAGATTGCACCTACCCAGCCTGGTTCCAGGCTCTCTTTGTAGCCCCAGCTTCCACTTCACTCTATTATGTATCCCAGCCAAACTGGGTCTCTTGCTATTGACCAAAGAAATGTGAGAACATCACCCTGAGTTTTGCTGCTCTGTTTATTTGCACAGACTGACCCATTCCCCTAGAACACTTTTTCTGCATGTCTTCATTCTAAGACATATTAATTGTATTACAAAGCCCGCTGTGAATTCTTTTGCAAATTCCAAACTTTTTCTCTACAACATAGGCCACTACAACACTGTGCACAAAATATTACACATTACTGTAGGTTGTCTGTGATATCACTAATACACAACATTTTCTTTGAGAAACTTAAATCTATTGGGGCAGGGTTGGGTGTGGGGGTCTGGATTGGGCATCATGGCTCTTTCACTATCTGCTCTCTGTACGGAACAGCCAAGTTAAAGACTTGTGTCAGCTCTTAGTGAAGTTTATGGAATCCTTTTAAGTGTTGTAGATTTTGGTTCCCCTTTGCATGGGTCGTGGCCCCCTCCTATGCTGTGGAACCAGAGCATCAGAACATACTTCTGAGGACCGCATTTTTCTCTGGACTGATTCTCTTTCTTCCTATTGAGGGTGATGGAAAAAAGAACTTGATATTTGTGATGCCTCAGGCCTGGCATTAGGAATTTATATGAAGTCCTTAAGGTACCATCTCTTTCTTGCTAAAAAAGGATGGAGGAACAGCAGTGAGAAGCAGAGAGTCATAAGGTGGATGAGTGCTTTGTACCCAGGCCATCCCCAGGGCAGTATTAGGATGAGGCAAATAAAATAGAACTGGCAGGATTTTCTGTCAGCCTTTTCAAGAAGTACAATTTGCAGGCCCCCTGCTTCCAAAATGTTAAGAGGAGAGAAGGAAAGAGGAGTGGGCAGGCAACCTTGAAAAGAGCCGACAGCAGGATGTTTTCCGCCAACACAGGCGCCTCCTAAGGAGCCTGTGTGGAGGATCCCCAGGAAACTACCCCTTGACCGGGGAAGCCACCGTGGGAAGCTTTGTGGTGAACAACATCTGGTCCCATGAACCAAAGACTTAAAACGTTATCACAACTCTTAGCTTCTATGGAATTCTCGTAGCACAAATTTCTTTGAAATGGATGCTCTTTCACTCATTTCCCAGCTGCAAAAGAGAATTCTATCACGTGCACCTGTCTAACAATCTGAAAAGAGAGGATACGTTGATCCGATTTAGGAATATTGAAAAGACTTTCTAGGGACACTGACAATTGCAAGCTTGTGGATCACCACAAGGAGTTGAATTTCTTATCTAGTAGCAAGTTGTCACTCTTCTAGGGATTTAACCAAAATGTGAATGTTAAGGTGGAAATGAAAGTTGGAAATGGCTGCTACCCTTCTCTCATCCCATCTTCATCTGCTGTAGACTAGGAATTGAGCAAAACCAGTGCATCCCATTCTTTCCCTCCCCCAGGCTATTTTGCCCTGCTGTGGCATCCCTCTTTGTCAGTGCCTACCACCCAACTGGCAGCTCCAAAGACATTCAGAGGATGGCGCCAGAGATGCCTAACAGTTGGCTCAAAGCTCTCAATGAAACTAACCCTGGCAATTTCATCCTTTGGAATTAAGTGTATTTTTATCTGCATTCTTCTTAAAGCAAACAAAGACAGATGGCAAGGAAACAAGCCAATGTGAAAGATGTCTTAAAAAAAAAAACCCTTCAGGAGAGGAACATGTCAGGATAGAGAGAGAAGTGCTAATAGCCCCAGAGTAGCATAATGACAGTGTGGAGGGTTAGGCCCTAAGGCTGCTAATAGATCTTGAGCACAGGTGAGTGTTGGGTTTGTGCTCATTAAGTTGTATTTACTAATGCAATGTAGTCACAGATACTTTAGAATGATTTTACACAGAAAGGATTTTCTGTGTTGCATTCTTATTGCAGATATAACCAGAATCTTTCCCTGTTCTCTAACATTTCTGCTCCTTCAGTTCTTTTTCAACATTTATACTAATGTTAGCTAAACAAAATCAAACCCAAGAATGGCTTTTTTTTTTTTTTTTTTTTTTGAGACAGTGTCTTGCTCTGTTGCCCAGGCTGGAGTGCAGTGGCGCGATCTCGGCTCACTGCAAGCTCCACATCCCAGGTTCACACCATCCTCCTGCCTCAGTCTCCCGAGTAGCTGGGACTACAGGCACCGGCCACCACGCCCAGCTAATTTTTTGTATTTTTAGTAGAGACGGAGTTTCACCGTGTTAGCCAGGATGGTCTCAATCTCCTGACCTCGTGATCCGCCCGCCTCGCCCTCCCAAAGTGCTGGGATTACAGGCGTGAGCCACCGCGCCCGGCCAAGAATGGCATTTTTAAGTTCATGACACGGCACTAGTAGAGGAATAGTGCCCTCCTAAAACTAGTTTAAGTACTCTTTCATTCTCTTCCTAATCTTTCTATCTTTCTCTAAGCTTGGCATAGCTAGAGAAAGCTGCTGCTGCTTTCTCTGATGTGACAGATAGTAATGATAGTTCTCAGTTCCGTGTTCTGACAGTCAAAAGAAACCTTGGAGTCAGAGACAGACAGGGAGGGAAATAAATCTTACTTAGGTGCTGCCAACACTATGAATTTTATTAAAGGACATTGACTCATTCTACAGGGAAAGCCTTCCGCTGGTGGCTGAGACAGTCATTGGGTAAAATGCTTTGATACCATTCCCTTCTTTGTGGAGGAGCACTTTGCTTCCAGACTCTGTAGGTTTAATTAACACGTTAACTTGAATGGCAGAGTTGTTGTTTTCTTTTTGGTCGGTATAACACCAGGCTGGACAATTAATTTTTTAGGGAGAAAATGTCTGAAGTAGTAGGTGGAGAATATAGAGCAATTTTGTCTAAAAGTGAATATTCAAGACTCTGCTTTCAAATCCTTGGGAGTTTCAAATATACTGATATTTATAGGGTTTTGTGGATGTGTGTTTTATTTGTTTTTTAGGTATACGCCTCTAGTTATAAATCCATGGAAGCAAAACATATTCCTCTGATAAATTTTCTTTGTACACCAATTGTGAAACCTGTGTTCTCTATTAGGTAGAAACGTGACTAGGAAATTCACGTGGTACAAAATCATTATCTTTTTCCTTTATCATCTACTGTGTTTGAGGCACCCGTACACGTAGAAGGATAGGATTTCCAACATCTAAAAGCTTTGCAATCTCATTAAAGAGGCAGGAAGTGGTCTTAGATATTTTAGAGTAATTTTAGATAGAAAGGAATTTCTGCCTTGCATTTGTGAAAGGTTCTCTTGAAAGGCTATTAAGAGAATTAAATATAAATACGTGGCTGGTAGTTTGATAGCATCTGCTCTTGTTCCACAGTTCTTTGGAGATGAGACCGGTAGGAATCTTAGTAGGTAGAGGAGGGTTCATAGAAGAGGTGGCCTTTCATCTGGCTCTGAAAACAAGACTGGTGTTGAAGAAGGAAAGTCTTGAAGCCACTTCTGCCAGAGTGGGCAGCCTCAGTGAAGGCGTAGCAGGGCATGTGTGAGAAGGTGACAGGGCCAGCCCACCAGGACCGAAAGTTACCTTTGGAGAGAGTAAATTGAAAGAATCTCAGTAAGCTGAATAAGAGAGGCTTGGTTTAGTGGATTGTTTTGTATACCCACCACTTGAGGGGCCTCTATATGCTCACAAATAACAAAGTTGCTCTTTGAAGATATAAACAAATGTCATGGGACATACCTGAGTGGTCCACAGGCTCCAGATTCAAGCTTAGGGGATACATTTAACAAGAGAAAAAAAGAACCACAAACGCTGGCGCCCAACAATTCCTCACAGAGATGAATTCTCTGTGGGAGCAGGAATAGCAATCCTTTGGTATAGCCATAGGAGCACACAGAGTTTATATATTATTCTTGCAGCATGTATATGAGTTCAGCCTGTTACCCAGACATATTATTATTTTGAACTGTCCTGATACTTTTACATTTGCATTAATTTTTGTATGTTACTAAATATCGATATATCTATATGACATAGGCACACCACAATGGTATGAACTCTGTTCCCTTTAAACTTATAGAAAGAAGTAGAGCTCCGGGCTTAAAAAAAAGAAGACAAAGGGGAGAGAGAGAGAAGCGGATACTCTCGGGTTGGGTGCCTGCTGTTGTTGTACAGTCCTCTGTGTTGAAATACCAGGTGTTCAGGACATGCTGAGAGCAAGAAGCAGGCCATGTATACACTGGCTGTTTGAGTTCTCAGTTAAGACAGTGTGACCTGTCCCATCTTCTGTTATCTCTATGAGGGGAGTTGTCACCCATCTCTCCTTGGCACTCATAAAATATATCAAACATGAAATGTACCCAGGAAACCAGTCTCCCCCAGGCATGATGGCCAAAGAATGAATAATAGGCTGGGCACGGTGGCTCACGCCTGTAATCCCAGCGCTTTGGGAGGCCGAGGTGGGCGGATCATGAGGTCAGGAGATCGAGACCATCCTGACTAACATGGTGAAACCCCATCTCTACTAAAAATACAAAAAAAAAAATTAGCCGGGCTTGGTGGCAGGCACCTGTAGTCCCAGCTACTTGGGAGGCTGAGGCAGTAGAATGGCGTGAACCCGGGAGGCAGAGCTTGCAGTGAGCCGAGGTCACACCACTGCACTCCAGCCTGGGCGACAGAGCAAGACTCTGTCTCAAAAAAAAAAAAAAAAAAAAAAAAGAATAATAAAAAAGACTTAGAAAGAAAAAGTTACAGATTCTCCTTGGCTAGATGCCTGAATAATGTGTAATTATTACTTAGATAAGCTTACATAGATAAGCTAGGCTTATTTATATCTTGTCCCTGTCTATCTTACCACTTTAACTCATGTTGTTCCTTTTGTGAATAATGCTATTTTTGTCCATTTGAATGCTGTCATTCGTTCAGGTCCCAGCTGTTTCACCACAGCATCTGGAAAGCATCCCTAAATTGGCTCCTGTCTTCTGCATTATTTTCTCACTGGCTGCCTCGTGCATTTCTCATTATGTGAGCCAGGTTCAGGTTACATTGCGTACTCTTCCAGAACCAGGTCTAGATTTTGCACTTCTTTGCATCACCCACAATGCTCAGCACATGCTAGGTCAAGTGGCACAGCTGACTTTATCGCCAGGCAGAACAGGGTGTGCATTCCAGTTCATTCAACCACTTCTTTGACATGTAATTTCTCACAAGTCGGTTAATCCTTCTAAGCTTCAGTTTCCTCAACTGTAAAATGATGATATTAGTCTGACTTGCAGAATTTGTATAAGGAATAGAGATGGTACACATGGAGCACTCACCTTGTATATGGCAGGTGTTCAGTAAATGTTGGGTATTATTATTATTACTATTGATCCAATGAACTGATGTTTGTGTATTTGATGTACTATAGAACCATAGTGCTGAGTAATTTCTGTTCTTTACAGTTATACAGCTCTGCTGAATTTGGGAGAAGATGGCAGCTTATCCAAGAAGGGGTTGTACCAAACAGGTTCTACTGGTAAGTCTCACTTTATCTTGTAGCACATTAAGATATGACCTAGTCAGATATGACCTAGTAAATGCCCATTGGAATCTTGTTCTCACCAGTGCTCTCACATAAGGTCTGTTCTTATTGGGACATGCCCACATCCCCTCAGGGCAGGATGTGACATTAGAGTAAGAAACACTTTAAGAGAATGTTAAAAAATGTGTCACAGTCTTCTTGAAAAACCTCAAATGGATTATGGAGGTTAGTGAACTGCAGGGGCTTTATGAGAATTGCTTTGTTATATTTTGGTGGAACCTTTGAGACAGACATTTAAAAAAATCTAATAGTGACTTTTTATTATTAAAAGCATTATATACACATATATCGCATATTCAGATGAAGATTTTCAGTCTAAATAAGTAGGTTTTATTTAGTCTAAAAGTAGATCTTCCTCTCATTCCTGATTTTAGATCTTGTAGGCCTTCTCCTTGTTATTTATTTATTTATTTATTTTAGACAGTCTCACTCTGTCACCCAGGCTGCAGTGCAGTGGTGCGGTCTGAGCTCCCTGCAACTTCTGTTTGCTTTGTTCAAATGATTCCCCTTCCTCATCCTTCCCAGTAGCTTGGATTATAGGTGCACGCCACCATGCCTGGCTACTTTTTGGATTTTTAGTAGAGATGGGGTTTCACCATGTTGGCCAGGCTGGTCTTGAACTCCTGACCTCAAGTGGTCCACCCACCTCAGCTTCCCAAAGTGCTGGGATTACAGGTGTGAGCCAGCATGCCTGGCCGGCCTTCCCCTTGTCATGTGGGACACAGTTGCTATTGCTAGTTTCTCAATTATCTTTCTAGAAATGTTCTGTGAATTGCCAAATGTGCGTGTGTGTGTGTGTGTGTGTGTGTGTTAGTGTGTGTGTGTGTTTGTGTGTATGTAGTCTTACTTTGCTTGGGTTGCCGTAACAGAATACCATAGACTGGGTGGCTTAAACAACGGATATTTATTCTTCGTTGTTCTGGAGGCTGGGGAGTTCGAGATCAATGTGCCGGCAGATTTGGTTCCTGCTAACGACTCCCTTTCTGGCTTGCAGATGGCTGCCTTCTGTCTGTGTCCATACATGGTAGAAAGAGAGAGCTCTGATCTCTCTTCCTCTTTTTTTTTTTTTTTTTTTTTTTGAGACGGAGTCTCACTCTGTCACCAGGCTGGAGTGCAGTGGTCTGATCTCAGCTCACTGCAAGCTCTGCCTCCCAGGTTCACGCCATTCTCCTGCCTCAGCCACCCAAGTAGCTGGGACTACAGGCGCCCACCATCACGCCTGGCTAAGTTTTTGTATTTTTAGTAGAGACGGAGTTTCACCGTGTTAGCCAGGATGGTCTCGATCTAATGACCTCAAGATCCCCCCACCTCGGCCTCCCAAAGTGCTGGGATTACAGGCGTGAGCCATCACGCCCGGCCTCTTCCTCCTCTTATCAGGGCATTAATCCCATCATAAGGACCCTATCCTCATGATCTAAGCTAAACCTAATCACTTCTTAAAGGCCCTATTTGCAAATACCATCACATCATAGTGGGTTATGGTTTCAACATATGAATTTTGAGGAGACAAAAATATTCAGTCCCTAACATATATAGATAGAGATACTTGCATTTACATAAATGGTAGCTGTGCACACTGTTCTATGCCTTGTTTTTTTTTGAGGGATGCAGTTTATTATGCATATATCATTATTTTTAGTTAACTACATATCATTTTGCTCTAAAAATATAGATTGGAGGTAAATCTTATGCCTAATTAATGCAAAACATAAACTATATATGTTAGCGGGAATCTGTGTATGGGAAAAGAGAAATACGTGAAGAGAGAGAGAAGGGGGCAGCAAGAGAAAGAAAGGGACAAAGGAAATAGCATTCCTTTCTTTAACTGCCTCAGTTCATCCCCCTAATTAAACTAGAGGTGGCTGTGTCCATGGGAATGGGTGGGTAAAATTGAAAACAAGAAAAATATCAGAAGTTAACTGTGGCTTTTAAGTTTCCAAGATCTTAGATTCTGGCAAAGTAAGAACAAATCACAGAACATTCTAGTGTGATTTTGATATTAATATTTATCAATACCTTTGAATGTACATCCTACCTCCTGCCAAAAGACGTGATTCTACCTTACCCTAATTTCTCTAATCTGCCTGTGGAAAAGACATTTAGGTTGTTTCAAGATTTTTACTACTATAAACCGTGTTACAAGGAATTGGCTCAGACAAGAGTTTAAATATCCTTTATTCATGTCATTTAGAATCACTGTGACAGTGACCTTTTAGGAGCCAATGATCTCCCTGTAATGAGGGCAGTGAAAGTATCTCCTCTTGATTCCTCCTGAAATCACACTGCCTCTCATCAGCCTTTAGAGTTACAGGCAGAATAGATCACCGAAGTACATAATAGCTTCCCACCTCCACTCCAATTCTTTCGCTTTTATATGAACTTCTAAGAGGAATGCATTTTTATCTTTCTCATTTTCAAACACTGCCCTAAAACCCCTGTGGGAGTTGAAAGCCAGAGAACTACATTAGAGAAATCTCTTAAAAAGCTAGCAAAACTGCCTGAAAAAGTTAGACAAGCTATTTGCAAACAAACTGGCTCAGAGATAACACAGGGACTTCTATATGGTAAGATACCACTTTTTCCCCTATCATAATGAGACATTTGTAACTAAAGGAGGTTTTTGTTGCACAGAAGCTTATTTACCTCTCTCCCTCTGGTGCTCTTGTTCAGGATGCTGTGAGCCTTGCTTCTAAAGTCCAAATTGACATCTTCTTTCTCCAGGATCTCAACTCTGTCTCTTACTGAATCTTCCTTCTCTGGTCAGCGTTTTTTTCTCCCTCTCTTACTAATTTTGTATCGTATTCATGAGAAACCTTCATCTCTGTGTGTTTTACATGTAAAGTATAAAGTTAGTTTATGGAAGAGAGGGTTCATGTCTTTTTCTTTCATTCTCTCCCTTTTTGGGGGTGTTATATGTGCATAGAAAGGCCTCAGAAAGTAAGCAAATGAAGGACTGAAATAAATGAATGTTGTCCCCCTAGTTTATCCTGGAAATGGAGTTGCTGCTTTGCTAATGAAAAAGCATGAGGGACAAATCTTTTCTCAAGTCCTACTTTCAAATGACTGCAAATATCTGTACATGGTGCCCAGAACTAGAGGGTAGGAAGTAGGGCTTGGCAGAAGTTGGTTCCTACCAATAGAAACAATGAAAAATATTGAAAGGATGGGCAAGAGAAAGGAACTGAGATGAGAACACTTCCCATGTAAATGGTACATATATACAGTGTTTTCTATGTCACCAGAGGTCTTATTTATGCATTATTATAACCTGAACAGACCTCACCACTGCTTCCGCCAGTGCTAATTGCAATATTTTCTTTCCTATTCCTTGAAGAAGGAATCTTCTATGTGAAAGCTTGATCAGCAAAGCTCTTCTAATCAAAAGCCATAAAATTATTTTTATAAAAGCCATTACACATTATTGTATGTGAATTCTGATTGATGTGTTAAGTAAAATAAATAAAACCTCCTTCTTTTGTTTTTGAATACAGACATATCTTGCCCATTCACGTCTTAGTAGTGCAACAAGCACTACTTAAACTTAAGCTATTTAATCCTCATAACAACCTTCTGAAGTAAGCTTCTCATTATCATCATTAACAGATAGGGAACCTATGGCATAGAGAAGGTAAGTAATTTGGCTAAAGTTACCCAGCTGGAAAGTGCCAGAGCCAGAATTTGAATGAAGGCTGTCTGTCACCACAGTCTGTGCTCTACTAAATCAACAAATGCTCTTGTCTCTGCCTCTTAGCCTTACGTTCTTGGCTGGGACTGTGAGCCCTGGAAATCTAGCCCACTCAGGCATATCAGTGGTGAGAGCCCAAAGTTCTTTTGACCACAGTGCCAACTGTGCTTGTCAAATGGCTCACAAGGGTTCCTTAAGCTTGGATGATTTTTCTAGAGAAGGCATGGGAACTCGTAAATTGCATAGTACCATGACTGTTGATGAAAATCTCGGTCTCTGCCCACATGGTCTGTATTTTCTAACTCTGAGCAACTACCTTAAGCTGACAGAAAAGTTGTCAATCAAAGCAATATTTATTAGACTCACTTCTGGAAACCAGTTACTTCAAATTATGTAGGAACTATGGGGCTATCTAGGATAATTCAGCAAGCGTAGTTAAAAGAAACCTCCTTTAATCATTTCTGCTTGGAACCTGGCTATTGGGGGTGTGTATGGGACTGAGGGAGATTTCTCTAGTGTTAAATCAAATTGTTAAGTTACCATGGGTAATAACATAGAATTTCCCTAGAGAAGAAATGAAGGCAAATTCATATTTTTTCCTCATCACCTAACATATTGATAATTATTTTTATTTCTGGTAGCAATGGTCATGCCACCCCTGGAAGTAATAAATAGCAATTGTGAAATAATTATGGCATGCAACAGCTTATTCTTACGTTATCACAGTGGTTTCTGATAATGTTACCAAAGCACTGGAGGTTTGGTCAAGACCCTACTGCACACAAAGCCAGTCACTGAGACAGCAAGTATTGCCAAAGAAGAAGGCTTTAATCAGGTGCTGCAGCCAAGGAGACGGGGGCTCAGTCTCAAATCCATCTCCCTGGCTAAAAGTATGGGTTTATATAGCAGGAAATCAATGTAACAGGGTGTAAAACAGGAACTAGGGAGGGGCAAGGAGGCATCTGGTTCATGATCTGGTGAGTTTCAGTTCTTTAATACTTTTTTTTTGAGAGGCTTGAAGATCCTTTCCTGAGGAAGGAACTCAGATAAAACAAATACAAGTTTCAAGCTTTAACAGCAGAAGGGTCAATTTCTATGTTTATCTAAAAGAACAGTGTATGGGAGTATTGAGCTGGTTTTATTAATACTACCATAGCAACCATAAATAAGAACTTTCCTCCAAGGAGTTCAGATTGTTTCTAAAACTGACTTACATATATAGGACATCATGTAAGAGACAGCATAATATTACCATTAATAGAATAGGTGTCCTTTTAATTTAACTGACAGCAACAGTGGTCTTGTTCTTTCCTGTGCTGGAAATCAATTATATTGGGAGGCAGTACAACTTGCAGGTCAAGGGGTTCAAGGACACTGAGGTTTACTTTCTAGCATTGCCATTTACTAAGTAAAAAAATCATGGGGAAGTTACATAACTTCTGTGTGACTCAGTTTTTTCCCCTGTAAAATAATTAATACCTACTTCATCAAATGAGATGCTTCTTGTGAGTTGGTTACATGCCTTGTGCCTAAGAACCATATTGAATGCCCACTGGCTACCAGTGTTAATATTATTCATATCTATTTCTATCTCTATTAGTTTTGTTTTTCTTTGTGTTGTCTTATGATCAGGTTTGCTTTCCCCATTTTGTGACAGCAGTGGACACTAGCAGCTTTAGGCTTACTTATTTTATTTATTTTTTTTTTTGAGACATTGTCTTGCTCTGTCACCCAGGCTGGAGTGCAGTGGTGCAATCTCAGCTCATTGCCACCTCTGCCTCCCGGGTTCAAGAGATTCTCCTGCCTCAGCCTCCTGAGTAGTTGAGACTACAGGCACAGGCCACCATGCCTGGCTAATTTTTTGTATTTTAGTAGAGACGGAATTTCACCGTGTTGGCCAGGCTGGTCTTGAACTCCTGAGCTCAGGCAATCCGCCTGCCTCAGCCTCCCAAAGTGCTAGGATTACAGGTGTGGGCCGCCATGCCCAGCCTAGGCTTACATTTTAACAGCTTAGAAGCCCCATCAAGCCAGTCTGTCTCTTTTTCTCTATTTCCAGGGATTGAATCTGAGAGGCCTGGCTTGGATCAAGGACATACAAGATAATTCATTACTCATGTAGGTCAGACACATATCTACCCCAAGAATTGAAATACAGTCTGGGGTTGAGACCTAATCAAACTGCATGGTTCAAGGTTGGAGGAAATGTAATTCCTAAAAAGGGAAAAAAAGACACACACACACACACACACACAAAGATTATGTTACTGTAAGGGAAGATGGGTTTTCTTCTTAGGGAAAAAATATAGAGATGGGAGAACTGAGTGTCATAAGGATATAATTCCATCAGGGGATTTATATTTGTTGAGTAACTACATTGGTCTAGCTAGCCACATGATAATCATGCTATTTGATCCTCTTAACAAGATTATATGGTAGCGGTTATTATCCCCATTCTGATGAAACAGAAAAGTGAAGTGATGTTGTTTATCCAACATAACACATAATTTGTAACAGCCAGGTTTTGAAAGATCAGTTCAAATTCAAGACTTACTCCCTTCTCATCCTCCAATAAAAGACAGGAGAAAAAACTTTAAATTTTGAAATTGTATTTTAGTTTAGCACTTCAGTAGGTAAAAGCTAAGGTGCCGCATTTGACACTGAACAAAGAACATGGTGGTGGACGATCAGTGGTATCCAAATGCCTTAAATAAGGAAACCTCCTGCCAAAAGCCAAATTCTCTACTGGAGGATGGTGAGTGTGGTTTGTTAGGATCTGAGTCAAGTTTAGTATAAAGCAATGGAAGGCATTTCTCATTAGAAACTCTTCAGCAACCTATTAATTATGCAAAAGACAATGCAATCTTGGGGCTGTTTCACTTAATTAAAAATAGGTTCAGCCTTACCTTATTGATTATGTTGCTCTGACATACAGACAGCTGGCTTGAAATAGGGACAGCTGAATGGTGATACATATTTTCTGTGACTAATTCACACATGGAAAATCAAGAGCTGACTCAGCAATGAACCTTTGTTATTTTGGAATGCCAGCTATGTTTCAAGGATGTCCCTCCGGGAGTTATATGACATCTGTATTATATAGCAGAAGGATAAATGTTTATCCTTATGCTATACTCAGTGCATTTCAGCATGTATACACATTCTCATTCTTCCCCACAGTTCAATGCCAGTCAATGTGAATGACTTCCCATTCCCCATCTTTTTCAACAAGTCCCATTTGTTGAGCATTTACTGTGTGCCAAGCCTTGTGCTAAGTATTTTGCATATATCGTTTAAATCAATCCTCAAATAATTGATGTGAAATAGTTTATTGATCAAGACTCTTTCAAGATATGTGATAGAAAAATGCATCCTGTTTTAAGAAGAAAAAAATTTTAAAGAGATATTGGCTTATGGGTCTGGAAAGTCAGAAGGAACTTTATTAGACTCCACTGTATCCATAGGCTTCTTAAAGGCATAAGAGCTTGATCTCTCCCCATCATTCCACTCTCCTTTCCTCTGTTTTAGCTTCACTTGGGCAAAATATCTCTTTGCAGTGGCCTCTAGAAGCTTCTATCTTCCCAATTCACTCCAATGTTAAAGAAAAGGACTTCTTGCTTGTTCCAGAAAAACTCCTAGCATTAAATCTTATGGGCTCTGATTAGGTAAAATGCCCATAGATAGACCTCGGGCTAGAATCAACTTTACTAAACCACATGGACAGAAAGTAAGGAATATGATGCCCCAGGAGAGACTAAGGTGCTTTTACCAAAAGACGTGGGGAAGATAATGCGAAGGCATCAACAAGAGGTACCCATTATCCAGAGATGTTTCAGTCCTCTTTTTCAGAGGAGAAATAAATAAGGTAAATAAATAAACACAATCTTATATAATTTTGCCTAATGTTTCCCACTAGTAGACAATAGTAATGAAATTTAAACCCAGGTATGTCTGGCTAGAGAGCCTGTGTTATCTGCACACTATGCTATAATCTACCTCCAGTGTATCTTCATGGCGCCCACTGTGCTATGGACCAATAAAGTCTGGCTTTTGAGCTTGAGTTCTCTTCTTACGTAAAACTCCTACACTGGCAGATACTTTATCCATATCCACTGGGCCTCACCGCTAGTCCTTGAAGTGACTTTTTTTTTTTTTTAATATACCTGGCCTATTATCGCTGCCCCAAATTTTCTCCTCTAACCTTGAGTATCAAGGCTGACACGAAAGAGGCAGCTTCATAAACTTTTGCTAACATACCTGTCCATGATCAGAAAACACTCCAGAATATAAAATAGCCTCTCTCTCTCTCTGATTCTGACTCGTATCATTACCATTCATTCTCAAGGCCTTGTTGAATATTGCTGCCGAGCCAACTTCAGGTTTTTATCCCTCTTATTATTGTTTGATAGTTTGTTATATACACACGAGGTCACCATGGCCATTCCTCTTCCTCCTTCAGATATACCAGCTATTCAGCACAGTACCCCTAAGACTTCTCTAAGCCACCCACACCAAAGAGACTTAGAGAATGTGGCGCGAGATGGCTGTAACTCTTTCCTCTTCCTGCCCCCTGGTGAATTTAGTGGATTCAGTAACAAGAGACTGAGCCTCTGCATTTTTCCTTCTCCAGGTTCTGCAAACTGGAAATAGGATGAAGTCTAAAAAGGTTACAAAAAAAGGAGAGAAAGAGCATAAAACTCTATTAGATAAAAATGACCAGATATACCGATAATATATTAGGAAGGGGGTATGGCTTTTTTTTTTTCCAAGATACTCTGCCTCATCTCTTACTCAAAGCTATGAAGCAGGTCACTGTCTGCAAAAAACTTCAAAATGAATACCATCACTCACTTTCAATTTATGTTGCGGTGGCAGTGGAATATCTTACCATTTAGAATCAGCTTTTTAAAAATAGGCTTCCATATTTCCTGATTCCTCATATCCCAGTGTGAATACTCTTGGGTCATATTTATCTCTGCTGTCTTACCTCTTCTTAAATATGTGGATTTCCAAGTTGTGTCAGTTCTTCCCTCATAGTATTATCCCTGCCCACTTCCTCCCCCATTCTCCTTAGCATTACCCTGGTTTAGCTCCACCACCAACACCCCAATGAGAAATAATGAAAAAGCCTCTCCATTCATCTTCCTATATCACTGCCCAAGGACTCTTGTGTCTCCCCAATCAAATATTTGTCTCATTCCTCATTGTTTGCAACATAAATTGAAGAGGAAGAATCTAACTAGGTTCTTGCCATTGTGGGGTTGAATGTACTTTTTCTGACCTACTACCCACTCTAATTCTGTATGCTAAATTCCAGGAGTCCAGGTAAGTAATAGTAAGCACTAGTAAGTCTATGGATCTGTCAATACTTCTTATATCTGTCCTTATTTATTTTAGCAATGATTAATTTTTAGCACCTATTATGAGCCAGGACAGTTTTAGTCTTTGAATACAAAGATGCTGTGTGAGGATTTTTGTCATTTATTAGGATCACAGTGGATCTTTCTGGCCGTATACGAAAGCCCACCTGTGCCATGGAGCCTTCTTTAGTTCTTCCTGCTTTTGGGGACAAAAGAAATCTCTTTCTTCTCTGAATTTAAATGTGATGATGTCACAGATAAAATGTAATATATCATACCATGTACCAGATTGCAGCTCTATATATGTGATTGGTAGGAAAAGCATGGATTTAGGATGAACATATTCAGGTGTAAATTTCTAGCTTTACTATTAACTAACTAGGTGATTCCAAGAAACAATTTCACCTGCCCAAGCTTCAATTTCCTGCTACAAAGTCTTATTTTTAGCATTAAAAATGACATATTATCATTATTACCATTAAGTAACTTAGCACTTAGTATGTTCTCCATATATATTTCTTTATTGTCTTCTTTTCATTTCCTTCTAGAAGATAAGTTTTTTAAGGTTCAAGGCTCTGCCTTTAACATATTTCTATCTTGTGTACTACAGTAAATAGAGCAGCAGAAACTTGTGCATACACACACACAGGGTACTAAAATTCATCAGATTTACACATGCTTGTACATGTACACATGTAAATCCATCAACGCAGAGACTGAAATATCTTGAGTAGACCTCATTAGTTAAATTAGAGAGCTATAGTAGGTAACCTCTGTATTTCCCTCTAGCATGAAAATGCCAGAATTCTAAATCACTGGAGTATATATATTGAAGGAATGAAAATTTTAGATCCATGAAAGGCACACTTTTCCATGCACTAGGCTATTTATTAACTCCTTAGGCTGTCCTAAGGAGTAATGAGATCCCTGTAACCAGAGAAATTCAAGCAAAAACAGAAAGACTCATCCTAGACTGCTCTCACAGTGCGAGCCTGTCCTTTACTGCTGATTTTGACAGGTCTTGATACATTTCAGAATATGGAGTTCAGGAGAAGAACTCAGAAAGCCCTTTTCTTTGAGAATGGACTTTGTTCGCTCTTCTTTTACACTTTCCCTAATTCTCTGAGGCAGTCTCTTCTAATTCTGAGCCCCTGCCCTCTGAGTAGAATCCTGTATGGTTTGGATAAGGAGCAGGGAGAAGTGGCAGAGAATCTTCCCAGAGATCCCTTCCCAAGGTCTACTGAGGCGTTTCTAGTGCCTGCACTAGGAGTGCTAGATAAGAAAATTTTTATTACCTTGAGAGGCGTGGTATTTCTTCTTCTTTTTTTATTGTTAATGATCTCCACATGAATGCTGCTTGCTAACGCTTTTGCACCTCCTCCGCATTTTTTTTTTTTTTTTTTTTTTTTTTTTTTTTTTTTGAGACGGAGTCTCACCCTGTCGCCCAGGCTGGAGTGCAGTGGCACTATCTCGGCTCACTGCAACCTCTGCCTCACAGTTTCACGCCATTCTCCCGCCTCAGCCTCCCTAGTAGCTGGGACTACGGCGCCCGCCACCACGCCCAGCTGATTTTTTTATATTTTTAGTAGAGAGGGGGTTTCACCGTGTTAGCCAGGATGGTCTCCATCTCTTGACCTCGTGATCCGCCCGCCTCGGCCTCCCAAAGTGCTGGGATTACAGGCATGAGCCACAGCGCCCGGCCTTTTCTTTTTCTTTTCTTTTTTTTTTTTTTTTTTTTTTTTTTTTTTTTTGAGAGGGAGTCTCACCCTGTCGCCCAGTCTGGAGTGCAGTGGTGCGATCTCGGCTCACTGCAAGTTCCGTCTCCCAGGTTCACGCCATTCTCCTGCCTCAGCCTCCCGAGTAGCTGGGACTACAGGCATCCGCCACCAAGCCTGGCTAATTTTTTGTATTTTTAATAGAGACGGGGTTTCACCGTGTTAGCCAGGATCGTCTCGATCTCCTATCTCGTAATCCGCCCGCCTCGGCCTCCCAAAGTGCTGGTATTGCAGGCCTGAACCACTGCGCCCGGCCCCTCCTCCACTTCTTAATCTTTTCCTGTGATTAGCAAGTTTTACCTTCAAATTAAGTTAAATTTCCCCTTCTGCAGTGTGAGCCCATCACTTTTCATGCGACCTTCATTCACTAATGGCCATCACTGATTCCTGTGATCCTTATCTTGATGATGCCTGTCCCCATAGGCTGCAGCTTCTCTATCTTTGAACAATATTCAGTCACTTCTCGAGACTTCACTAAGAATTCCTATGATGGCAGAATGCAAGTGATTACCATGAGTGAGGGTAAGAGGGAAAAAAAATCCTCATAATTGTGTCTTCTTAATTTATAATTTTATTAGGAGGAGTTTACTTGGCCCTAGTGATCACACCTCACTTAGCTTTCAAATTAAGGGCCTCTAAGTTTGCTTCACGTCTTTGTATGCTTATCCTTGTTCATTCAATCATCGATTTTGAATGTTGCCTTTAGTCAATAGGAGATGGTGTTTAATGTGTAAAAATTGGAGTTCTGGAGTCAGAATACCTTTGCCAGAATCCTGTTTTCAAGGGGTGTGACATTGAGCTCTTTAATTAACTTCTTTAAGCCTTACAGTATTCATCAGTAAAATGGTCCTCATAAGAGTATCTTCCTCGTATACTCATTGTAAGGATTAAAATGAGATCATTCAGGTTGGTTACATATGTGATGAGTAAATGTTAACTGCTGCTAAAAGGAGGAATAGGGAAGAGTTGGATATTAATGTGTTTCTGAAATGTGGCAATCTCATTTTGATTCGATTGAATAATTTATATTTTCAATGGGAATTTTTAATGTGTGCATGTATTTTACTTCTTTGTTGTCCAGAATCAGGAACAGTGGATAGAAAATCAGCTGAAGGTTTTATTTGTAGCTTCTCAATTTTATATTATTCAACTCATTTAATTAGTTTCAATGGAGTGATTTTACAGGCCAAATTCTGGCCACAAAGATGTAGGAAACACAGTTCCTTCCATAAAGGGGCTTGCAGCTGCTTAGGTAGGACTGCAAAGAGAATGCCTAAGGAAGCATATGGAAGGATATTTTCCCTGCATAGCTACTGCTCAGTGAGTTTGCAGCCAAGCAGGTTTGGGGCCTGAGGTCACAAGGCGGGCAGTCTCAAGTAAAACTGGGCATGGAATTGGGAAGAGAAGAACAAGGACAAACTAGAACCTGTCGGGACATCTGCATCTGCCTCTCACTACCTCTAACTAAAATGAGTCTTGGAAGGAATTGACTGCGCCCCTTTCCTGCCTTCCAAATCTCATATTTCCTATTGGTGAATTGTAATATGAAACCTTACAGAGACTCTGAGAAATATAGTTCAGGCAGAAGTAAATCACAGTCTATCCTTTGAAAACTTGTCACCTGTGCAGGTATTTTGAAACCATGTATAACTCCCAAATAAAAGCAAAAGCAAAATTATGCTTCTACCTAGCATGATGGCATTTCTGTTCCTCCATAACTTAAATGTGATAAATAACTTTCCCCAAAATGAAATCATTTGTGTATGCCACATTATGTATATTTAGGTAATATTCCTCCTCTGGTTGAGTCATGCTTCCCCTTTCTATATCCTGAAAGCAAAATGCTGAGATGTAGGATTAGTCAATATAATCAATATTGACATATTTTCTGCAGAAAACATAGGTAAATGTGGGAGAAGAAGACAAAAGGAAAGGATTGTTACACACACTCACACACAGGTGTAAGAAGAAATTGACCACAGAGCAGAGACAGCAAAGTGCCTAGAACAGTTGGTGGCATGTAATGTTATCATAAAGTCTAAATTTTCATCAAATGGAGGTGCATTATTATTTTATGTATCAGCAAAAAAAAATGCTGCCAATTAAACTACAGGTATATCTAAGATATATTGTGGGTTTCGTTCCAGACTAGCACGAATAAGTGAATGTTGCAATATTCTTGCATCTCGGGGAATAGGGAGGCCTGAGGAGAGGGAGAGAGATGGGGGAATCGCTGGTCTGTGGAGCCATCAGAACACACATGCCATTAAGTTTGCAATTAAGTTTGCATCAATTAAGTTTGCAGTCTTATATGGTTGTTGTTTGTGGCACTCAAAAACAATCACAATAGTCACATCAAAGATCACTGACCACACATCGCCGTAACAGATGTTATAATCATGAAAAAGTTTGAAATATTGCAAAAATTAGCAAAATGTGGCACGGAGACATGAAGTGAGCACGTGCTTTTGGAAAAATGGCACTGATAGAATTGCTGCATGAAGGGCTGCCACAAACCTTCTATTTGTAAAAAACAAACAAAACAAAACAAAAAAACTCAGTATCTATGAAGAGCAATAAAAAGAAGTGCAATCAAAGTATGCCTGTATAACATTTGAACAATCATAAGATACCTACTGATGTACAAGATGTTAAAATGAGAAAAAATTTGCATTTTGGAATGGATGGAAGAGGTGCTCAATAAATATTTTCTGAGTGAGTGAAAAATGTAGGACAGATGATGGGAATGAGGTGGCATTATTTATTCATTTTATTTATTTTAATATTTCAATTGACACGTAATAGTACATATTTATGGGATACATATATATATAGTTATCGGATCAGAGTAATTAGCATATCCATCTTCTCAAACATTTATTTCTTTGGGCTGGGATCATTCTATATCCTCTCCTCTTGCTATTGGAAAATATATAATAGATTATTGTTAACTGTAGTCACCCTGTTGTGCTATAGAACACGAGCACTTATGCTTCCTATCTATCTGTCATGTTGTATCTTTAAGTACATTTTCAAATTGAAGGTTAAATAGGGTTGTCATAGTAGATAACTACCGAGATGCAGAATGCTAAATTCAAGACAGAAGAGTAGAGAAGACCCAAAAACTGAAGGTTGACTTATTTGACTGAGCACAAAAGAAAGGCAGAGTAGATAGAGGAAAATTCTAAAACCAACTGTAAGACTAGTGAATCTATGTAGGTGATGAGCCCTGATGTATTTATGCATCGGAATCTCAGGATCAAAGATAACTTAGAAGACATCTCATCTGACCCCCTATGACTTGCAGGAATCTCTTCTAAAAAATGCTAGAGAAATGGATGGAAACATCATTTTGGTTTGGGAATGGAACTTGGTCTGTCTGTCAGGATCTGTCTTCCTCTAAAGAGAATAACTAGAGGAAATGGAGCTGTCCCACTATTTTTTATTGTTGACTCTGGCACTTAAAACATCAACACCTCTAAACAGGACAATTCTATAATTTAGAGAAAGCTGTCAAGGTTTTCACAGGCATGGCAAGATGTGCCCTGGGGTGAGGGACAGAACCTGCGTTTATGAGATTTATGGTAAAGGGTTTTACATGAGTGCTGAAGTTTAAGGCAGCTAAATCCCAGAAGACAAATACTACCAATAATTGAATTACAAAGCCATTATCATGTGCTGAACAGAGCAATTTTATGACTCTATTGTGACAGGATGAAACCTGTTAGAATATTTATGCACTTGGGATAGCTTCTGCTTCACCATCCCAGGGAACAAACCAGCTCTTCCATTGCCTTCTATGATCAGTTGGCCTTCCTGAGTAATTGAGTAGTCAAGGAAAGCGAGATGCCTAAGAGAGAGGAATCCAAAAGAGACATAGCAGACAACCACATCAGGCACAAGCCTCACATTTGACCTCACATTTCAGCAGCTCCTGGACCCAACATCTTTATGTTGTCATCTGCTATCAGGTTCTGTCTGTGGTAACCAGGGAAGCCCAAGAATAAATAAGAACGCTGGCTGTCAGCATTGTTTTCTACTTATGAATAAATCAAAAATAAAAACATCCCAGAAATAAGAGCCACTAAAACAACCTTAACACTTTTTTGAAAAATGAAGTAGCTTAATTATTTTGTGATTGTCGAAATGCCTGAATCATAAATATAAGACAGCTGAAGTGATACAGTTGTTTACCTTCTTTAATGACAGTATAACCAGTCCATTCCATGTGATGAGGCTGACTTACTGAATAGATTACTTTCCTCTTTGTAGGAAATTGTGGCTTTGCTCTAATTCATGTCCTTAATAAGATTTGGGCATAGGATTTTTTTCCTCTTTTATTTAAAAATAATTTTAGAATTGCAGAACAATTACAAAGATAATACAGAGAGTTCCCATATCCTATTCACCCAGCTTTACCTAATGTTAACATCTTACATTACCATGGTGCAATGTTTACCAATAAAAAATTAACATTGGTAAAAAACAGTGAACTAAAATAGAGACTGTCTGGTTTTCTCCAGATTTTCTACTAATATCCCCCGCTTTTTTTTTTCCTGACCCAGGGTACAATCCAGAATCCCAAATTGCATTTATTTTTCATGTCTTTTTAGTCTCTTCAAATCCATAGGAGTTCCTCCGTCTTTCCTTGTCTCTGATGACCTGGACAGTTTTGAAGAGTACTAGTCAGGTATTTTGTAGAGTGCCCCTCAAATTGGGTTAGTTAGTCTGATATTTTCTCATGATTACAGGGTTATAGATTGTTGGGAAGAATATCAAAGAAATGATGTACCCTTCTCATCACCTCATATCAAGGAGTACAAGATATCAATATGTCTTATTACTGATGATGTTAACTTTGATCACTTGGTGAAGGGGGCGTCTCCCAGGTTTCTCCATTGCAAAGTTACTTTTTTTCTTGTCCCGTACTCTATTTGTTGGAAGCTCCCAGATTTCTCCATTGAAAAGTTACTCTTTTTCTTGTCCCATACTCTGTTTGTTGGAAGCAAGTAACTAAGTTCAGCCCACACTCAAAGGAAGGAGAATTAAGCTCTAACTCCTGGCAGGATAAGTATCAAAAAGTGTGTGAACATATGTTAATATAACCAGAAAATTGATCAAGATTTTGGAGAGATACGTTGAGAACATGCGTTTTGCCTACTATAGTATTCATAGCCAATCTTGCCTACAGCAATTATTACTGTAGTGTGCTAATGAAGGTGAATAAGCTCAATTCTAGATTGTGTTTTGTTGTTTCTTTTTTTCTTTTTCTTTTTCTTTTCTTTTTTTTTTTTTAGACGTTGTCTCACTCTGTCGCCCAGGCTGGAGTGTGGTGGCACAATCTCCGCTTATTGCAAGCTCCACCTCCCAGGTTCACCCATTCTCCTGCCTCAGCCTCCCGAGTAGCTGGGACTACAGGCACCTGCCACCATGCCCAGCTAATTTTTGTATTTTTAGTAGAGATGGGGTTTCACCATGTTAGCCAGGATGGTCTTGATCTCCTGACCTCTTGGTCTGCCCGGCCTCCCAAAGTGCTGGGATTACAGGTGTGAACCACCGCACCTGGCCCTTATTGTTTCTTTACTAATATCTCTTTCTCACTTTAGGTGTCCCTCTGCCCTGGCTCTGAGCTATTGTCAAGAGGATCCCTGTTGACCTACTAATTAAGGGCAAGACTTTTTGGCTAATAAACTTTTTGTTGGTCTTTTTTTAAGGAGCATTTTAGAGTCTGACCTGGAATGGAGACGTCAGAAGCAAATGCACTTTCTCTGTGACTGATTTTCTTGGTTGACCATGGAGGTGGGGTTCTCACCCAGTAGTTCTGAGCTTTCCTCTTTGTTCAGTTGGGCAACTCACACATCTTTTCCAAAAGGAAGATGTTATACACATACACACACATGCACACACTCACACTCACACTCTGTTTTACCTTTTCCTGTCTCTCCTCTGTCTTAACCAAGGAAAAAAGCAAGCCTGGCTGCTCCCAAAAACAAAACAGACCTGTAAGCAGGCTACTAACCTCTGTGTTTAAGTCATTTTAATTCCCAAAACAAAGAATGAAGGTTCTAAATTCACCAATTAAAAAATACATGAAAAATATGGTATAGTCATAAGGTAAATATTCTAAACATTGTAAGCACTCTTATACCTTATGGACTTAAACTTTGTGGGTAAGGGAAGACTACAATATCTCCTCTTATAACAGTTGTTCCTATTGAAAAACTAGAGAGATTAGAGACACATACAGATATTTACCTACAAAGATCATCAGTGCAGCATCATGTCTAAAAGTAACATGATGGCCGGGCACGGTGGCTCAAGCCTGAAATACCAGGACTTTGAGAGGCCGAGGTGGGCGGATCACGAGGTCAGGAGATTGAGACCATCCTGGCTAACACGGTGAAACCCCGTCTCTACTAAAACTACAAAAAAATTAGCTGGGCCTGGTGGCGGGCGCCTGTAGTCCCAGCTACTTGGGAGACTGAGGCAGGAGAATGGCGTGAACCCAGGAGGTGGAGCTTGCAGTGAGCTGAGATCGCGCCACTGCACTCCAGCCTGGGTGACAGAGCGAGACTCTATGTCAAGTAAATAAATAAATAAATAAATAAAAGTAAAACGATAGATATTACCAATACTCTGTGATCAGAAAACTAGTTAAGTCAACTATAGAATATTGTACGGCTGGCAAAACAGTGTGTTCTAATATTACATCGTGTGTTACGCTGTGTTCGTGATATGATGCAAAAGTCTTAAAAAGAAAAAGGAGTGCCTACACGAACACTGAAAAAGTACTGAAGGATTAACAGCAAAATATTAAAGGTGGTTAATTCTAGATGGAGGGATTGTAAGAATGTTTTAGTTTCCTTTTTTTTACTTCTGTATACTTAGTATTATATTTTCAATGAATACATACTCCTTTTGCAGTCAGATTTTTCACAGCGGTGTTATTTTTAAAGCATGCTATTTAAATAAATTATACAGGCCGGGTGCGGTGGCTCACACCTATAATCCCAGCACTTTAGGAGGCCAAGGTGGGTGGATCACTTGAGGTCAGGAGTTAGAGACCAGCCTGACCAACATGGTGAAACCCCGTCTCCACTAAACATACAAAAATTAGCCAGGCACGGTGGTATGCACCTGTAGTTCCAGCTACTCAGGAGGCTGAGGCAGGAGAATCACTTGAACCTGGGAGGCGGAGGTTGCAGTGAGCTGAGATCGCACCATTGCTCTGCACTCCAGCCTGGGTGGCAGAATGAGACTCCTTCTCAATAAAATAAAATATACAAATAATGATAATAATAAAGCAGTCAAACATATTTCCAGATGGATGGTGGTGTGGTGGGACTGGTGGCAGCCAGGCAGCAGGAGGGCATGGTGACCCCTGTGGAATAGTCATAGCGAAGAAAGTCTCCTCTCTCTGGCTTCTCTTTCCTCCCTTTCTATCCTCATTCTGTCTCCAATGCCTTCATTTGCCCTTCTCATTCTCCTATCCTCTCTTTCCCATGTTCTCTTTTACTCCCTCTCTTTCCCTTTCCCTCCTCCACTTCTCTCTTTTCTTTGTCACATTGAGATATTTTCAAAACCAACTTTAGGAATTCACATCCATAGTGGACTACTGATTTAAAAACAGACCCCAAAATGAGATAAATTAAGAGGTGTGTTTTTCTTTTTTTGTCATCACACTAGTTTCCTTGGCCAAGGAGTTTACATGAGTTCAAAAGCAAACTGGCACAGCCTTTAAATTATTTTCACAAAATAGCTTCCCTGTCTTTGCCCAGTTTCAAATCCCTTCACACCTTATACTCAGAACTCCAGAAATTTTTCATCAACAAACAAAGTACAGGTAGTACAGCCCTAATTTGAAAATCCCCAACCATAAATGCTCCAAAATCTGAAACTTTTTGAGTGACAACATGATGTCACAAGTGGGAAATTTCATACCATACTTCGTGCCATGGGTTCTGGTCGAAATGCAGTCACAACTTGGTTTTATGCACAGAACTAATAAACGTATTGTATGAAATTGGCCAGGCGTGGTGACTCACACCTGTAATCCCAGCACTTTGGGAGGCCGAGGCAGGTGGATCACTTGAGGTCAAGAGTTTGAGACCAACCTGGCCAACATAGTGAAACCTCATTTCCACTAAAAATACAAAAATTAGCCGGGTGTGGTGGCATGCGCCTATAGTCCCAGCCACTTGGGAGGCTGAGGCATGAGAATCACTTGAACCCAGAAGACAGAGGCTGCAGTGAGCTGAGATTGTGCCACTGTACTCCAGCCTGGGCAACAGAGCTAGACTCCATCTCAAAAAAAAAATTGTGTAAAATTATCTTCTGGCTATATGTACAAGGTGTTATAAAACATAAATGGATTTTGTGTTTAGACTTGCGTTCCATCCCTAAGATATCTCAGTATGTATATGTAGACATTCTAAAATCTGAAAAATAAAATCCAAAATCTGAAACCTTCTGGTCCCAAGTACTTCAGATAAGGGATACTCAACCTCTGCTAAGGAGAGCAGTTGCCATTTCGCACCCCAGGAATTGCCTCTCCAATGAAGATCAATCTAATTTCCTCCTATATCTAACCCAATTCTATTCTTACTCCCTTCCAAGCTTTACTGACTGGATCTCTTTTCCTTCTCAGTTGAAGTATTTGAGGGCAATAGCCTCTTAGTGTATTTTTGCAGAAGTACCAATACCCAACCATAAAGCAAGAGAAGACTTTGTGTCATAATAATCTGACGAAGTATGGAAAAGCGACTACAAGGATAGCTAAACCAGCCTTACCTACAGGCCAGGCACTGAGCTGTCCGTGTAAAAACTGACACTGTGTTTTCTGAGAAGGGAGAGAATGTATTAGTCATTTTGCAAGTGACTGCAAAAAAGCCACCTTCAAACTTAGAAACCCTGCTATTTAAGGTCTAAGCTGAAGAAATTAATATCTAGTCTGTTTCCAATCTCTGGGACATGGGACCCCTCATATATGTCTAGGCTCATGTATGCCAATACACTTAACGCTTGCAGGATGTTGAAATGTCAGGATTTTCCATTCTCTCTCTCTCTCACTCTCTCTCTCTCTATATATAATTATTATTATTTTTTGAGACAAAGAGTCTCACTCTGTCACCCAGGCCGGATTGCAGTGACGCAATCTTGGCTCACTGCAAACTCTGCTTCCTGGGTTCAGGTGATTCTCCTGCCTCACCCTCCCAGGTAGCTGGGATTACAGGTGCATGCCACCACGCCAGCTAATTTTTGTATTTTTAGTAGAAACGGGGTTTCACCATGTTGGCTAGGCTGGTCTTCACCTCCTGGCTTCAAACAATCCACCTGCCTTAGCCTCTCAAACTGCTAGAATTACAGGTGTGAGTCATCACGTCTGGCTTCTCCTTATCTTTTTAGTGTGTAAGACACACATTATCTTCCTAGTTAACACTGTCTTGCCTCAGACACTAAGGGGTAATTTTTTTTTCTATGAAAAGAATTATTGACATGAGTTAAGGACCTGGGTTAGTAATTCCAACCTTGATACACTCTGAGTGGTATGACTTTGGACATGGTATTTGCTCTCTGGAAGCCTGGGCTTTCTTAATTGTAACAGGAGGTATTTGAACTAGTTAATCTCTAACAGACTTTCTGTCCCTAAAGGATTCCTTGATTCATACTCTTGACAGTAGTAGTAGCTACACGTATTTCGTCTTTTACCTTTCACAACAATCGTATTATTCGGTACTATTATCTCTACTCTTTTTTACAGGTGGTGTATAGAGCCCTAGAGAAATTAGAATGCCTAGGTTCCAGTCTGATTGTATCTTTTATTAGCTCTATGCCCTTAGGCAAGTAAATTGCTTTCAGAGATAACACTGTCTTTCTCTTATCTTTTCATTATTTTTCCTGAATTTGTGTCATGTATGAATTTTCTAGGCACACAACATGTATTTTCACCCAAGTTGTTGACAATTGATGAGCAGGACACCAACAAGAGCACAGCCTTGTGGCCCTATATGACATCAATCTCACACTTAATAGATGGAAACCAGCCATTGATTGACACCGGGGAACAATGGGTTTTTTTTTCTGATGGAGCTAAATGCCTTGTATTTTATATATTTTTCCTCACACAGCTTTCAAGAAATGTTATGAGCATCACCTGACATGTTTATTTTTAATTTCTCTGTGTTCCATATTGAATTGTAAGCTTCACAAGGTACAGGGATTTTTCTTTTTTATTCAATTTTAAACCC
Organism: Homo sapiens; assembly: GCF_000001405.40. Lineage (NCBI taxonomy): Eukaryota > Metazoa > Chordata > Mammalia > Primates > Hominidae > Homo > Homo sapiens. The sequence goes on along the minus strand of NC_000010.11, from coordinate 106,740,457 downwards.
CTAATGTCTAGAACTACACCTAGCATTTGTAGTTACTCAGTAAACATATTCAAAAATTTATTTATTTATTCATTAAAAAATTAATTCAGAATCAACCATCTGCCATGCCTGGTGTTAAATATTAAGGATATCCCAGGAATCCTCAGTTTAGAGCAACAGTCTCCATGGTGACTTACCTGCACCCACACCCTAGGGGGGTAATTGGTGATTCACTGAGGTGTGGGAAGAAGATACTTTCTGATTATTCTTTGCTCCGATTTTAGTTTCTATTTTGTGTATATTTTCTAAAGTTAGTATGTAAGTACTGTACTGCATTTCCACAACTTATATCTAATAAACCATCATGTATTGGGGGTGCCTAATTTCCCCCCCTTGCTTGATGTGTTCAAACAAAACATGTGGAGATAGCTGTTCTGGAATTCTCTTATAGAATATCATTTCCATGGGGTCAGGTTATCTCCAGCAGCAAAATGCTCAGGTTTAAATTTTCTTTTTTTTTTTTTTTTTGAGACAGAGTCTCACTCTGTCGCCCAGGCTGGAGCTCAATGGCGTGATCTCAGCTCATTGCAAGCTCTGCCTCCGGGTTGACGCCATTGTCCTGCCTCAGCCTCCCAAGTAGCTGGGACTACAGGTGCCCACCACCACATCCAGCTAATTTTTTGTGTTTTTTAGTAGAGACGGGGTTTCACCACATTAGCCAGGATTATCTTGATCTCCTGACCTCGTGATCTGCCCGACTCGGCCTCCCAAAGTGCTGGGATTACGGCGCTCGCCACCACACCCAGCTATATATATATATTTTTTTTGTATTTTTAGTAGAGACGGGGTTTCATCGTGTTAGCCAGATGGTCTCGATCTTCTGACCTCGTGATCCACCTGCCTCGGCCTCCCAAAGTGCTGGGATTACAGGCATGAGCCACCACGCCCGGCCTGGTTTAAATTTTCAATTCCTTTTTTTTTTTTTTCTTTTTGAGACAGTCTCTCTCTCTCTGTCACCCAGACTGGAGTGCAGTGGTGCAATCTTGGCTCACTGCGGCCTCTGCCTCCTGGGTTCAAGTGATTCTCCTGCCTCAGCCTCTTGAGTAGCTGGGATTGCAGGTATGTGCCACCACGCCAGGATAATTTTTGTATTTTTAGTGAGATGAGGTTTCACCATGTTGGCCAGGCTGGTCTCAAACTCCTGACCTAAAGTGATCCACCTACCTTGAACTCCCAAAGTGCTAGGATTACAGGCATGAGCCACCATGCCCAGCCAAGACAATGACAGTTTTCCCCAGGGGAAGAGTGGGCCAAACTCTGGACTTTCTTCTCTGAATTTCCATCTTCTCTCAGTTTTTGGCCTCATGATTCTTTTATTTCTTTGCTTGGTCTCTTATTACTTTTAATATTTACCCAACCTTTCTGATCATCCATAGTGAGTCTGTAGTTCAAATACCTAGTCCACTAACCTTGCCTTTTAAAACAATCCCTGGCTGGCCACAGCGGCTCACGCCTGTCATCTCAGAACTTTGGGAGGCCAAAGTGGACAGATTGCTTGAGTCCAGGAGTTCAAGACCAGCCGGGGCAGTATAGTGAGACCCTGGGATTACAGACGTGAGCCACTGTGCCTGGCCTTTTTAAAAATTTTTAATAGAGATGGGGTCTGGCTTTGTTGCCCAGGCTGGTCTCAAACTCCTGGAGTCAAGCGATCCTCCCATCTCAGCCTCCCAAAATACTGGGATTACAGGTGTGAGCCACTGCGCTGAGCAATTCCTTTAAACTTATATTTGTTCTACCCTCTAGTCTGAAGTTCTTTGTCCTTAACAGAAATGGATAAAGAGAGGAGAAGTGGAGAGGTTCTCTCTTCTCCCTGTCTTCTGTCACTGTGGCCCCTCTGGCCCCACGCAGGATCTCCAGCCTCCTTCCTCTCACACTGATTTTAACATCAACACAAGCACACCCCTCCAGGAAGTCCTTAGCACTGCTTCTCTGACCACAACTCTTCTAGGCTTTCACCTTCCTGGCCCTCTCACTAAGATGGTGTCTGACTTATAAGTATTCAAGATTTGAGAAAATCCCAGGTCTCCTCCCTACAGAAATGTCACTCATCCTTTTTTCTCTCCCTTTGTGATTTGCTCACATTTACTACCCACTTAGATTTTATTTTCCAGATGGAGAATATTTTCTTTTTATTAATAGTACAGCTGTATTAATTATTAGACAATCGCATATATACATCTTCCTTATAAAAGTTCTTAAATTACTGATAAAGATAAGGATCCCTTTGACTATTACCCACAACCCCCAAACTCTACCAAAAGTGACTACAATTATGAATTTTTAATGTGTATCTCCAGTTTTTTCTTCCCCATTTATGTATATTTTTTCTTTGCGTCCATCAATAGACAACGACTGAAAAAATCGGATATTTTCATTTAATAGGTTGCAATAAAATAGTTAGAGATTTATCTCATTAATTTTTTGTTCTGGTATGGAACCATCTCCAAGATATATTATTGAGTACATTTAACAAGTTGCTAAAAATATGCAGGGTATGATACCACTAAAGTTTAAAAAGATAAAAAGAAACCTTATTAAAAATATTTTAAGCTTTTCCTTTACCTTAATCTCATGCTCTTTTTGATCAGTTGAAGTGCATTTCTCTGTATCTCATTGGCACTGTGATTTTTGTTTGGGGATCAGGAGCACTGATTTGAGCATGGTCCCTGGTATCTCTCTAGACCCCCCACATACTTTTATCCTTTTTTGGTGGGGGTGGGTAGGGGAGTGCAGTGGCATGATTTCGGCTCACTGCAACCCCTGCCTCCTGAGTTCAAGCAATTCGCCTGCCTCAGCCTCCTGAGTAGCTGGGATTACAGATGTGTGCCACCACGCCTGGCTAATTTTTGTATTTTTAGTAGAGATGGGGTTTCATTATGTTGGCCAGGCTCGTCTCGAACTTCCAACCTCAAGTGATCCACCCACCTCGGCCTCCCAAAGTGTGTGAGCCACCATGCCTGCACCACCCCCCTCTTTAAAAAAAATATTTATTTAAGAAACAACAAAGACAAAGAGGGGGCATAAAAGTGGGGAAATAAGAAGGAAACAGAAAAATGCAAACACTGATGGAAAAAGCAAAGTCATTAAATTAGAAAAGGGAAAGTGGGGAAAGGAAGGGGAGAGCTGCTGCAGAAAGCTTCTTCTTGGCTGGTTTAGGTCTGGTCATTGTGATGTCTTTAGAGACAGGTTGCTTGTTTCTAAACATTGTTGTTTAAACTTTTAGTCCTATTTACCAAGCCCTTTGCTCAATAAACATCTTCATCTCCTCACTGCTCTCCTGAGCTTTATGTATTTCTTCATTCCAGGTCAGACTTGCGTGCCTCACTTTGCTCCCTGACACCTACACATACACACACACTCACATGCACACACACACACACACTTTGCTGCAGACATCATAGAAATAAACACTTGGGCTTCTGGCTTGGGGAGTAAGGATGACAAAATGCAGCACGTGGAGGGCCTCAGGTTGCTGGCAATGCTGATTCTCAGTAGGCCATTGTGCATTGAGGAGATTAAGCATTGTTTTTATCTGTCTGTTTATCTATTGATCTATTTATTTGTTATTTTTAGTAGGCACCTTTGGTTCTGGAGAACCAATGTGACTGACAGTGTCGGGGGCCAGAGGAATAAAAGCAGAAAGCAGACATGTTTCTTAGGCTAAAGGGAGAGGTTAAATGGCACCTTCGGCTGCTTTGTAGATTATCTGGCCCATTTGCCCGTGTTGGACGCAGACGAGACCTCAGGCTAAGATGATCTATTCAAAAACAAAAACTGTGGCCTTAACCAGGGTTATCTTTTTTTTTTTTTTTTTTTAACCAGGGTTATCTTGATGATGTTTTTCTGAGGGCCTAATTATAGTGGCAGGTGAAGGGGAAACCCTTGACTGTAGGAGAGGAAACCAAGGTATGTCACTGCCAATACCTGCCAGGCACTTTGGTAGCAGACAGGACCTGTTGCCCTCATGGACTTTGTTTATGAAGAGGGGCTGTGGGAACATGAAGAGGAAGGCAGGGGTCTCCAACCTTCCAGCCTCTGTTCCTCTGCAGGTCCCTCCTCGTTTCTTCCCATATGCCATTAACTGCAATTCTGAATCTGAATAAATAGGTGCTATCCCATCATGATATTTATTTTGTAATACTTGCTCTGCGGTTATCTACATCAGGACATTTTGTGGCTCTGCAGCATTTATTGGGCACTATATTAAGCTGGTATAAACTCAGACAAAATGCCAGGCGAATGATAAACTAGTGACATTTCTGAGTTTCTCTGTAGAAAATGTCTACAAAGGCTGCATTTGGCTGATTGTATTTCAGAAGGCTGATGTTGCGCTGCTATGTCACTGGTATACTATTTCAGAGTGTGATTTGTTTTTATTCATATTCTTGTCTTTAGTGATCTTTAGGTTTTATTTCAAAATAGCTCTTAAATGTGAAAACCTACTTAAGATACTGGAAGTATAGATGTAGGAGGCTGCAATGGGCTTTGTCTTGTTTTCATCAACAAAGCTCATCTAGATGACCTGTGCAACTTCGCCTCATACTCCCTCAATAGCGAGGACCACACATAGACCAGGACTGAAGTCTTTTCACCTGCTTATAAATGTATACGCTTACCTTTCTTTAGCACCATCTCATGGCTTTTAGGATCAAATACAAAACCTGAGCATTACACAAAAGGTGCTTTTTGATTGGGCCCCTGGTGTCTTTTCAGTTCTCTTTTGCTAATCTACTTTGGAAACACTGGATCCATCCTATTGACTTACAATAGATACATATATGGGTCATCCTTTCTTTGAGCTAGGGCCCCAGTACCTGCTATTTGTCTGTAAATGGAATGCTCTTCACTCCTTCTGTCCATTGATCCTATTGCTGCATATACTTGAAGATTTGATTCATTTACTCCAAAGGGTTCCTGGACCTTGCTTTTCCTCCAGGTTTCCATCTGCAGGTGAAAGGTCATTCCTCCTGTGTCTTCAAATAGCACCTTGAATGTTAGAACCCTTTCTTCATTGGGTTACTGCCTCTTCTGTAGTTCTAAAGCTCTTAAGTGCAGTAATTATGTAGCCCTCATTCTTATTTCATAGTAGGGGTTTGGAATGTTTCACTGACTAAATAAATGAATAAATAATTGAATTGTATTTATTCATATAATTGATCTCTGAGCCATTGACTCATTTTTTGTCTATTGACTTATGACAATCAATAATTTTGATAGATCATTTCTGTTAGCAAGGCATCCATGATATGTCAAGAATTTTTTTTTTTTTTTTGAGATGGAGTCTCGCTCTTGTCGCCCAGCCTGGAGTGCACTGGCTTGATCTCGGCTCACTGCAACCTCCACCTCCCGGGTTCAAGCGATTTTCCTGCCTCAGCCTCCTGAGTAGCTGGGATTACAGCTGCCCGCCACCATGCCCGGCTAATTTTTGTACTTTTAGTAGAGACGGGGTTTTGCCATGTTGGCCAGTCTGGTCTCAAACTCCTGACCTCAGGTGATCCTCGGATTATAGGTGTGAGCCACCACGCCTGGTCAAGAGTTTTTTAATACCAGCATACATTTTAATTTCTTAGGTATTAATATTCCCCCACCCATTTCTTGAAATAAAAAGGGGGAAAAAGAGAAGAAATAAATTAACTGTATTTCCTGAGCCCTAGCTCTGTGCCAGGAGTCTTCTAGGTACTTAAAGATGTATATTATAGGAAAAATATAGAAAAAATTATGTTAACTTATTTTAAAGACTAAAAAAGTGACGGCACAGAGATGTTAACTAACTTAACAAAAGTTACATATACAGATAAATTAATACATGCTGATATGGCTGGTTTGTGTACTTCTCTTTTCTCAAAAGCCATTCAGTTAATGCTTTTTGCTAATCTATCTGTGGCATGCAGGTGCCTGGCACAGAGGTACAGAAAGGTTTGAGTCTGTCTGTCAATAAAGGAGATTGACAAATGAGTCACCAATTATAACATGGCCTAATTTTTTCTGTGCAAAAGTATGTTCATCATTCTGAAAGTCTCAGAAAGGATAACCAACTTGGCTTAAGTGGCACCCCCACTGAGAAGCCTGTTTTCAACTTCAGTCATCTGCAGCTGAGCCACAGCAATAAGAGTTATGAAGGCAGAAGAAGGATGAGAGGAGATCCCAGGCAGACACCAGGATGTACACAGAAAGACTCCCTTTCCCTTCCATAAAATTCACTTCAAGAAGGGAGTTCATTTTCCTAGTTCAACATAAAGGCAGTGTAAAGGTACACAAGATACATCTACCTATTGCCTTTTTTTAAATAATTAAAATATCCTAGACAAAATTTTTATCATATATTTACAGAGAGGTTCTGAGTCCCAGAAAGAATAACATGCTGTATTGGATGTTAGTAAATATTGACTGGTGCAAAAATGTTGTATATGTATTTACTGAGAAAACTTGCTTCTCTGTACTTAGGCAAGCAGAGAGAGTTCAGTGATAAAAGACAGAACACTTGCCTTTGGGAGTCCGGTGTATTAAGAGAGTCATTTATGCAGACATGTAGCAAATCATTATGAACTATGACAGTGATATGTGTCGGATAATCTAGAGGCATAAAACAAAGGTGCCCAATCCCTTATACTTAATACCAGAAGTCAGATTTACCAACGTCTTTGGATAGAGATGCTTGAATATCAGTCTCAAGATCTCATTCTGCAAGTAAGACCATGAAGAGTTCATTTTGTATTAAATTCTATGTTGATGCTGTTTTTCTTTGATGATTATAATGATGATGACAGTGATGTTTAATGATGAGGATGAGGATGAAACACATAGTTGGTCTTAAAACACACAGAATGCTACCTAACTCTGTAGCTCCAGCTAAAATTTAGCAGCATATATAGGCTAGAGTAATGATATCATTTGGGTCAACTGCAATGATATGCTTTTCTAAGGTATCTGGTCAATGACAGGACCGTTAAAATCAGCACTTATACAGACATTCAGCATTGATTGGCCTCAGCAATTAAGAACTCACTAGGCCATAAAGTAAAAGCAGCAATAATTCTTTATCATCTGTAACTGCTAGAGATACTCTTGGACCACAGGTCTAGGGGTGAGGCATCATCAAATAAAAATCATTGGAAACACTGTGGTTTGACTTTCATATGTAAAGCTTTGTTTTGTAGTTGTAATTGTTTTACTATAGATGAGAAAACATTTAGGCAGAATAAGGAGGTTTGTTAGCCACAGTAGATTTGGGGAGAACAGAGAACTCTGTTTTGCTCTTGCCTCTTTTTTTTCTTTTTCTTTTCTTTTCTTTTCTTTTCTTTTCTTTTTTTTGAAATGGAGTATCACTTTGTCGCCCATGCTAGAGTACAGCAGTGTGATCTTGGCTCACTGCAACCTCCACCTCCCAGGTTCAAGGGATTTTCCTGACTCAGCCTCCCGAAACAGGTACACACCACCACACCCAGCTAATTTCTGTAGTTTTAGTAGATACGGGGTTTCACCATGTTGGCCAGGATGGTCTCAATCTCTTGACCTCATTATCCGCCTGCCTTAGCCTCCCACAGTGCTGGGATTACAGGCGTGAGCCACTGCACCTGGCCTTGCCTGTTTTTTGTTTGTTGATAAGGCAGTGGGAGATGTCACTGGAAACAACAGCTTTGCCATTAAAGATAATACAAGATTTTTAAAAACTACTGCTATTATTTATTTGAGACTATACGCACATGGAAAGCTACACTGAATCCAGCGTAATTATTTTGCCTCCCGTTGACACTAGCCGTAAGCCAAGTAGATAGGCTTGCATGCTAGTTTTAACCTTGTGTTTCTGGGGTACTGCGTTTCTCCTGGGAATAAGTGGTGGTAGTCATTTCAAGGATGAAACTTAAGGCAAGGTGGACAGTTGAACAACATGTAACTGCCCATTTTGAAATAAAACAGTTAACTGCTGAGCTTTCTGGATTGAGGCTTGTCAAGCAGCTCATTTTCTTTTTTAATGCTCATGACTTGCAGTCTTGTCAGAAAAGGTCACCTGCGGATCCAGTTAATGCTTCAGTGTGAGGAGAGTCACCACCCAAAGCCTAGTAGTCGCTGCAGTACTTAACTGAAATTCTGATGAAAGGGTCACTTTCTGCCTGGATTCAAGCAGATTCCAGTGATTAAAATGTGCAAATGCATGTCCCATGTCTATATGAGGGAAATTATGAGACCCTTATTAGGAAATATCTGCTTCCTAGGGGAAGAACAAAGTAGGATTTAATGTTTCAAGCATAGGCTCTGAATTGCAGGCCATGTATCAATCAGAGAAAACTTATTGACAGCGATAACAGGGCTTTAAGGAGACTTCTTTTCTCCAGATGAAGAGTGATTAAGCCAGCTAGCCACTCAGCTTCTTTGAGTTGGAAAAATGAGTTTAAGTAAGTAGAGTTCTGGGAATAACCCTAGGACAATGATTAATGTACTTACTTCAGAAAACCCGCAGACCTTTATAGCCCCTTCGCTTTCTTTCTCTTTACCTCCTTCCTCTTGTCCTCCCTGCCTTTCCTCCTAACTTCTTTCCTTTTCTTTAGTCTTTCCTTCATTCCTTCCTTCTTTCATTTCACATTTGACTGTCTGTTATATACCAGGAACTATATCTATGAATATAAAGTGTGTAAAGAGAAGACCTTCCAGTAGCTTTATTGGGTATCTCTGTGTGTGTATCTTTTGTATTTGTGTGTTGTGTGTGTGTCTGTTGGGGGAAGAGGATGCCTTCATATTGGAAAAACACAAAAATAATTCTTTATAACAAACTCTGATAAGGACCTTACAGGATTTATAACAAACACTTGCTGATCGGAGGAAAAGCCTTTCCCTGTCGTAAATGAGACATATTTAACAGAGGAAGTGACTTTTCACTTGTGTCTTAAACTATGATTCAGGGGTTAGGTGAAGCTGGAGAAGAGCATCTCAACCTGAAGGCAGAAGCTTAGAGACTCACAGAGGGGCGAGGAAATGAGTGTGGCACTTTCAGACAATGGCAACATCTTTCAGTGTGGCAGGAGATGAGGCAGCAAAAGTGAGATGGACCCAGTCTGTGCAGGGTCGTGGATACCGCACTAGGCTCTGGAGAGATAAGTACTTTTTTTTTTTTTTTTTTTTTTTTTTTTTGAGACGGAGTCTCACTCCGTCACCCAGGCTGGAGTGCAGTGGTGCGATCTCGGCTCACTGCAAGCTCTACCTCCCGGGTTCATGCCTCTGGAGCAGCTGGGGCTACAGGCACCCCACCACCACGCCCGGCTAATTTTTTGTATTTTTAGTAGAGATGGGGTTTCACCGTGTTAGCCAGGATGGTCTCAATCTCCTGACCTTGTGATCCGCCCACCTCAGCCTCCCAAAGTGCTGGGATTACAGGCGTGAGCCACCACGCCCGGCCCAGGGATAAGTAGTTTTAACATCTGCATTTTCTAGCCTTGATTGAGTGGCTGGGCTGAGTGGCTGGGGGCAGGCAGAGGGACCAGTTTGGAGGCATTTCGCTGTTTTCTGTGTAGAAATGGAATAAATTAAAGTTCTGCAAAGCCTGATTTTTTCAAAAAGTGCAGATGTTCCCAAGTTTAATTAATCTCATTGTATAAAAATCCTAGAGATAAAGCGTGATTGCCCATATTATTTATGTTCCAGAATAATAATTATTTTCTATTTAATATAGCTTACTGCAGGATTACACAAAATAATATGTGTCTCCAAGGCATTTTAAATAGGCTTTTATTTTGCTTACACATATGGTTTCAGGCACGTATCAGAAAGTGAGGTGCATCTATTTCTCTTCACACGGGTTCGACAATACAGAGAATCATCACTCTGCTGTAACTGCTGCTGTATTGGTTGAGTCACAGGGTTTGTTCATAGGGCAGTCGTAGGTGGTTTGGCAAATTTCAGTGAAAAAATTAATTAGATCAGTGTGCTATGGGAATCGCTGATCAAGTCACCCAGCTGAAGCAGCATGCCTGCCTAATAAGTTTTGAAAGTTTAATACACTGTCACTGGGGTTGTTGCAAGAGTACACACCCAACATGCGTAGGACCTGTATGCAAGTCCCAGCTAATAACATGCAACATCCTTGCTAGAATGCAGCCTGCCTTTCATCAAATGTAGTTTTCATTATCATTTTTATTTTAAGTGGAAATTTTACTGTCAGGCTGTATAAATACATAGAGTAGATATATTCTAAGGATTGTGGGTTTAGATGCCTGTGGATATTAATAGTCTGGGGGCTCTGCCGAGTTCCACTAAGGCACATGTGAAGTCATTAATATGGATGTTTCTTTTCATGTTTCTCCATTTTTTAGGTCTGTGATGGGGTCAAATAAAGAACCAGACCTTGTGCATCTTGAGGCCAGAACTGTGGATGGTCGTAAGTAAATCAACTTTGCCGCAATACTCATAGTAATATTAGTTCTATGACTCTGTCATGAACTGAGTCTGTGTAATAATCTCATGGTGTATGCAGAGTAATAGTGGATGTGTGGTTTCTGAGGATTTGGGGTTGCAGGGGTGACCTGCTTCTTTTGACTCTAAGCTAGTAAAGTGCAGGTATCTTCTGTTCGGAAGAGCTAAGGATAGGTAGGCAGGCACAGTGGCACAGTGGCAATAATCGTGTGATTTAGGCATGAAGACATTTCCTGTCTTCAGTAATACAAAATAGTCTTAATAATTTTTCATAAATATATATTTTCACATATATTTGTAAATATAAATATATAGGTTATCCAGAAATATGCATATTTTGATAGTGGTGATACCAGCACAGCCCTCTCATCCAATCAAAGTGTCTTTCCAGGTAAAGAGAATACTTCCAAACTCTTGATTCCTAAAGTGTTTCATTGTTGTTGCTGCTGCTACTCTTTTGTGTTGAATTGTTTCTTCAGTCTCCTTATTTTGTCAGATACCATCCAGGCCATGCCTCACTGTCTTGTTTGGAGATTCACAAAACACTTGGAAAGAATTAAAAAAAAAAAAAGAGAGAGAGAGAATTTTTCTGTGTGTCCCCATGAGAGGCAGCAGGAGGAGAGTCAGTTGAGTGAATTGCTCACCTGTCAGTAGTTCTTATCAACTCCGGGTGGTTATGCTGCAGTGAAGGACAGGACTACACTTTGTAGCCTCATGACAATGTTGTAGGTTGTTTTTCTCATTTCACATATGAAGAAGCAAAGGCATAGAAAGCTTAAGTAATAATATAGCTAAGCTAATATGGTAAATAAGTAGAGGACAGTGATGTCTATCTCACAGAGCCTATTCAGGTGAGAATTCAAGAAACCCATGCATATACAATACTTCACACAGTGCCTGACCTACTAACACCAGCAATGAATGTTTCCTTCCCCTTCTCTGGTACAGAGGATCCTCAGAAGGGCTAAGCATTTGCAGGGGTACCGCTAGGCCTAGGATAGAGCACTCCAGGTGAGGGGGTAAAAGAAAATGAGAAAAGGGGGAAACTGTATATAGAAGAGGGTGAGGGGAGAAAAGACAGGGAGAAAGGAAGAGGTCTCAGATGTAGAGGAGAGGAAGAGAATGGACTATCCACAATTACCACAGAGCAATGAGGCTGTTGTAGGCTACCCAGCGCTGGCCCAGAGAGTGACCATCTCATTTCCAAGACCTTCCCAGTTTCTAAAATATCCCTCACAATTCAAAAGCACCCTAATCACTGCCGTTTGTGCCTACCAGTCCTTGGCTCTTCTGAACACAAAGGCAGAAGGTCCTGCACTTTACCAGCTTACAGCCAAACAAAGCAGGTCAACCCTATAACCCAAACTCCCCAGAAACCACACATTTTTCATTACTATGCATGTACCATGAGATTTCTCATCTCTAAAGGTTTGTTTCCCTTTTGGGGGAGTGAATATATTTTTTGACAGAGTCAGTTGGGGCACAGGTTAGGGATCAAGGCTGACCATCATCCTCTGTAACCCAGGCAAAGCTGCCACATGTAACATGCCCAGCACTGTGCCTGACACAGAATGAGCTCAACAGGTCAGAGCAGCTTTCCCACCTCCTCAGGGGGCTCGCTCTGGTGGTGACGTCTCCATTTCCCTGGAGCAGATGATGTTATCTTGGATTCCAAGGTCCAGTTCTTGCTACATAACAGATCAATATTTTCTTAATGCAAAAGTAAACACATCATTGTTTAAAAGTCTTGCTTACTGGAGATAGAGACCATCCTGGCCAACATGGTGAGACCCCATCTCTACTAAAAATACAAAAATTAGCTGAGTGTGGTGGTGCGTGCCTGTTGTCCCAGCGACTTGGGAGGTGGAGGCAGGATAATCACTTGAACCCAGGAGGCGGAGGTTGCAGTGAGCTGAGATCGCACCACTGCTCTCCAGCCTGGCGACAGAGCCAGACTCCGTCTCAAAAAAAAAAAGTCTTGCTTACTTCCCATTGCTTTGATGATAAAGAGCTAAATTCTCATCTTGACCTATAGCTCCAGCATAACTTGTGTCTGCCCATTCCCTCAGCCTAATCTTAGTCTGCCCTCTCCTCACTCGTTGCCTGCAGGCCTTTAGGCGGGTTTTCAATTCTTGGAACATACAGGGGTATGTGTCTTGCCATAAAGCCTTGGTACATGCTGTTTTCTCTATCTGGAATACCCTTCTTTCTTGCCCATACCCTGACCAATCGAGCATAATTGATTACTGTGGATGGTTGAGACCTCAGGTTAATCGCCTATTTCTTAGAAAAGCCTCTCGTAAACTCTCAGTCTAAATGAGTTTCTTATTTTGATTGCTTTTATACAACTATTTTTTTTCTTTATCATGTTCTTCTCTGTTTGAAATTATACTTTCTTTTTACGTGTTTATTCGATCACAACCGTTTCTCGCCACCAGTCTGTAAGTTTTATGAGAGCAGGGACCATGTATATCATATTCAGTATTGTGTCTCCAGAGCCAGGAATGGTAGCACACATCTGTAGTCCCAGCTAGTCAGAAGGCTGAGGCAGGGGGATCATTTGAGCCCAGGAGTTCAAGACTGTAGTGCACTGTGAACACAACTGTGAATAGCAACTTTACTCCAGCCTGGGCAATATAGTGAGATCCCATGTCAAAACAAAAACATTATGTCTCCAGCACATGCCATGGCATCTACATGTAGAGAGATCTCACTAAGCATATGTTGAATGATGGCATACCCGGCTGACCAGTTGTCAGGGCTACCAGTGGCTATCTCACCTCACTTACCAGGTTGTCTGAAAATGCTAGAGCCTCACATCTTAAACCTTAGCATGTATGCTACCCACCTAGGGACCTTGTTAAGATCTGCATTGTAATTCAGTAGGGGCCTGACAGTCTGCATTTCTTTTTTCTTTTTTTTTTTTTTTGAGACAGAGTCTCGCTCTGTCACGCAGGCTGGAGTGCAGTGGCACTATCTCGGCTCACTGCAAGCTCCGCCTCCCAGGTTCAGGCCATTCTCCTGCCTCAGCCTCCTGAGTAGCTGGGACTACAGGCACCCGCTACCACGCCCGGCTAATTTTTTGTATTTTTAGTAGAGACGGGGTTTCACCGTGTTAGCCAGGATGGTCTCGATCTCCTCACCTCGTGATCCGCCCGTCTCGGCCTCCCAAAGTGCTGGGATTATAGGCGTGAGCCACCGCACCCGGCCGAGAGTCTGCATTTCTAACAAGCTCCTAGATGATATCCATGCTGCGGGTCTGTGAAACATGCTTTGAGTAGCAAAGTTCCACAACAGAAAATTAGTGAAAGAGCTTGAGGGTCTGTTTCCCATGATTGCACCCCTAGTTTAGGAAGCTCTGGATGGAATTGGTAGCATCCCGGGTTGCTTTCATTTTCAAGCTTTTGGGCATATGCTGCTGTTTTCTGGCTTGTGGCATCCAATGCACATGACGCTTTATCCTAAAAACAATGAGGCCATCACTCTCTGTGATCTGCACATTTTCTTACACCCAGCATTATTCCTGTGCTCCCTGAAGGCATGGCGGTTGATAATGCCAAACTGTCATCTCAGGCTTAGCTTTCACAAAGCATGAAATGTATCAGTTCTAATTTTATTTATTTTACTTTTTTTTTTTTTTTTTTTTTTTTTTTTTGCGAAGGCAGCATCTTCAGAAACTATCCAAGGGTGAAAATTCAATAAAAGGATTTAATTTGAAAAGTTAGCCCTGTCGAAACAAAACAGGAAAAAAAAAATCTACCAATTGTTTTAAAGGGTCCAAGCATAACACCTGACCTGTCACAGTGTAAAAAAAAAAAAAAAAAAAAAAGAGAGGGAAAGAGATTGTCTCAATAACCAAGGCTCCAGTTAAAACAACAACAACAACAACAAAATAAACAGAGAGGAGGAGGTTGGAAGTAAATAGCACAGAGAGGTCAGGGTAGCAAGGTGTCAGCAAATGTAGTGGGCAAAGTTTGACAGTGTATTTATCAAAATCAGGTTACAGTCTCATCAGCTGCACTACGAATTTCATATCTCTGTGTTATCTCTTTCTCATTTCCTATTTTTTTTTTTTTTTTTTCCTGAGACAGAGTCTCACTCTGTCACCCAGTCTGGAGTGCACTGGCACCATCTCGGCTCACTGCAACCTCTGCCCCCTGGGTTCAAGCCATCCTCCTGCCTCAGCCTCCCAAGGAGCTGGGACTCCAGGCGTGCACCACCACACCAGGCTAATTTTTGTATTTTTGGTAGAGATGGGGTTTTGCCGTGTTGGCTAGGCTGCTCTCGAACTCCTGACCTCAAGTGATCCGCCTGCCTCTGCCTCTCAAAGTACTGGGATTACAAGCGTGAGCCACCATGGCTGGCCTCTTTCTCATTTCCTAATTGAGATCCTCTGTTTTTTTCTCCATCCATTCATTACTGTTATTATTTATTTATTTATTTATTTATTTATTTTTGTGTATGTGATGGAGTTTTGCTCTTGTTGCCTAGGCTGGAGTGTAATGGCGCGATCTCAGCTCACTGCAACCTCCGCCTCCTGGGTTCAAGTGATTCTCCTGCCTCAGCCTCCTGAGTAGCTGGGATTATAGGTGCCCGCCACCACACCCAGCTGGTTTTTTGCATTTTTAGCAGAGATGGGGTTTCACTATGTTGGCCGAGCTGGTATGGAACTCCTGATCTCAGGTGATCCACCTGCCTCGGCCTTTCAAAGTGCTGTGATTACAGACATGAGCCACTGCGCCCGACCCCATTCATTATTGTTTATGTATATGGAACCCATGGTTTTTATTCTAGGTTGTACATCCTGTAGAGTATATGCCAAATATACTTTACAATAATATAATGTTTTTATTTTGTTTTGTTTTGTTTTGTTTTGAGATGAAGTCTCTCTCTGTTGCCCAGCCCGGAGTGCAGTGGTGCACTCTCAGCTCACTGCAACCTCTGCCTCCTGGATTCAAGGGATTCTCCTGCCTCAGCCTCCCCAGTAGCTAGGATTACAGGCACCTACCACCACACCTGGCTGATTTTTGTATTTTTAGTAGAGATGAGGTTTTGCCATGTTGGTCAGACTGATCTCAAACTCCTGACCTCAAGTGATCCACCCACGCTGGCCTCCTAAAGGGCTGAGATTACAGGCATGAGCCACCACACCTGGCCATCATGTTTTTGACTTTGAACCAGAAATTATTTTCTGATTTTAGTGTGTTCACATATTTTGTAGTCAAGATACTGAGACATTTGACACAGGAAAAATCCCCCACTTGCCAGTTTGGCTCTTCCCCATGGAGTGTGTTGTGAATTCTTATCTGGGTTTGTTATTCAAAATTTAGTTTTGGTCTATTTCAGATGTCCCTAGATTACATGTTATACTTAATTTCTGTTTCCATTGAAGTTCCCATATTTCAGGGGAGGTGAGCTCTGGAAAGCTTTAGTTTTTTACATGAGAAAAAAGAATTATATCTTTATTTTTATTTTTTTATTTTTATTTTATTTTATTTTGTTTTTTTTTCTTGAGATGGAGTCTCACTCTGTCTCCTAGGCTGGAGTGCAATGGTGCAATCTCAGTTTACTGCAACCTCCACCTCCTGGGTTCAAGTGATTCGCCTCAGCCTCCTGAGTAGCTGGGATTACAGGTGCACACCACCACGCCCAGCTAATTTTGGTATTTTTAGTAGAGATGGGGTTTCACCATGTTGGTCAGACTGGTCTTGAACCCCTGACCTTGAGATCCGCCCGCCTCGGCCTCCCAAAGTGCTGGGATTACAGGCGTGAGCCACCATGCCCGGCCTTATATCTTTATTTTTATAAACCTTATAACTTACAAGATTACTTTCAATTGTAAGGGTTGGAAATTAACTCGAGTAGTATTAGCAATATAAGCGACTTTGTTGCAATAGAAATCACAGAAATTTTTATATCATAATACAGTCATTACATCTGAAAATATTATTTATGCTCATTCTTTCCTCAAAATTGTAGTAGTTATCAGACCTGCCAGTAGATCTTGATATATAATATATTAATTTAAAAAGTACATACAAGGGTATTAAATATTTGTTTTTTAATCTTTTAATAACTTTATTTAAATTTAATTGAATTAGTTTTTTTTGGTCTATTCTGGGTAATTTATTTTATGCATTAAAAACATTCTGAAAAAATGGGTCCACAGGCTTTCTCAGATTGCTGATGGGGTCCATGGCACAGATTCTGAACCTTTGCTCCCAAAGCAACAAGTGTCTGCATAGGAATGTGTGGTTATTTATATAAACTAGTACTTTATCTTAGATCCTTTAGAAAGCTTTTGTTCTGTGAGAGTCTATGGTTGGCACTGATGTTTCTTACCAACTATCCTCTAATATGTAGATATCTTGTAGTTTACATCTGTGACAAGGATGTTATTCTTTATTGTATTACTTTCTGCCTTGGGAGGTGAGCTGAAAAGAGCAGGCTCAACTACAATCAATCACGGGAGGTATTACTGGAAATTTTTGAACATATTTATTGGATGTGGCATTTATTATTGGCCCCTGAGTTCAAAGAAGACAAATTGACAGGTCCTCATCCATGAAGCAGATCTTTTATTGTTTAAATATTCTGTGTGTGTGTGTGTGTGTGTGTGCATCGTAGGAGCCCAGTACATTAAAATACTAAAAAGGAAACCTACATTCTATTGATTTACCTAACATAGGTGCATTTGTGTATGTGTGTGTGTAATGCATATAGTTAAAGAGAAAACGTTGACCAAACTGTTGGATTGAAAGCTGTGTGAAAAGTTGTATCTTATTTAATCTCCGTTCTATGTCCAAAAGATAACTTAGAGCCCAAAACATTCTTTTTTATTTTATTTTACGTTTTTAGTAGAGATAAGGTCTCACCATGTTGCCCAGGCTGGTCTTAAACTCCTGGGCTCAAGCGATCCTCCTGCCTTGACCAAGTGCTGGGATAGGCATGAGCCACCACACCCAGATGAAACATTTAATATTTGTTGAATAAATATATTAATGTGTCACTGTTTAGGTATATCTACTGAAAGAAGGATCTTTAACCACTGGGTCTGTGGAGTCCTGGAGCACTAACAGATGAATGCAAGAGACTTACTACCTCCCTGAAACTGGGTGCCACATTTTATGCATATTTGATTTTGGAGGAAAATAACATAACTTTTATCAGAATTTTTCACATGGCAATTACACATGGATATATAGTTGTATATTATGGTCATCTGTAAGAGAACCTGCAGTACCACCTTTGGCCATTATTGCTTCTCCCTTTTACTTCTGAAATAAAAGGCCCAACCCGCAACCTGAATGTTTCTGTACTGGTGGTGATCTGTGCCAGCAGGAACAGGGGACAGGGGACAATTACTGGTCCCAGTGTTTATTTTCATGAATAAGTAACCTCATAACAAGTTTCCCAAGGACTAATCTCATTCACCGGGGAACAACAAACCTTGGCCCTTTAACCAACTGTGAAAATGACTGCCTGAGAACTCTGTGAAATGAACCTCAAACTAGCATTTTAACAAGCAGAAATAAAAGAAACTCACAACTTTATATAACTATGCATCCCACTAATTCTGGTCTTGGGTAAGAACTGGAAATCTCATTTTCTACTTCCTATCCACCAGCTTTCCAACCTAGTTTCCGTATTGAACAGTAAGTATGTCAAAATCTGGATAAGGTAAGCGCTGCTGAAATGCTTTGGGGAGGTAATAGAGATCTCAGTTCTCAAAGTCTTCAATATCTCAGCTACAGAGTGTGTTTACTATGAATATAGATTACTTTTATACCAACAAAAATAGCAATGATAACAATAAAAAGGTATATATATATATAAACTCTTATCTTTTTATTGTTATATATATATGTGTGTGTGTGTGTGTGTGTGTGTGTGTATTTATATATTTGCTATATTTCTCCAGAAATTGTTTAGGCTTATACAGATGAGTATGTATATGTATAGACACGTATACTTACACGCATGTTCTTGTTGAAAAATTGTTGTGGCAAATTTAGTGTTTGTGCATACAAATATAAGTTAAAAATCTTTTCATATCAGCACATATAAATTTAGCAACTTCATGGTTAATTGATACATAGAACTCCATTATAAAGTCAACTATATTTAGTAATTACTAAATTATAGAGACCTTTGTAGATATACAGACCTCTGGTTATTTCAAACAATGCGAATATATACACATACACACATATTATTTATTTGGTTAGTCCGCATTCAAGCTCGCGTAAGCAGCAAACACTACGGAAAGAGAATTTATGAAGGAAAATTCCTGGGTCAGAGATTATATACATTTCAAATTTTTGTAAACATTGTCAGATTGCCTTCTGAAATATTTGCAACAATAAATAGTCTATCAGTATCATAATGCCTGTGTTTGCAAGCCCTCAGCAATCTTGGACATTATCAAAGACTTTTCAAATATAACCCATCTGAGAGCAAATTTTAAAAAGGCATATCCTTATTGTTTTAATCTGTATTTATTTAATTAGGAGTGAGGTTGAGAATTTTTATTTGTTTTTCGTCACTACCTTTATTTCTTCTTCAGTGAACTTTAAAAAATCAAATCTTTTGAATAGAAAAGATGAAACCTTTGGCATTGATACACACATTTAAAAATATCAGATTGCTACCCCCACTTTGGCCAAAGTTCCAACACTAGCACAACAGTTGCCATTATTAGACCCCGCATTTCATAGTCTTCCTTTATCTTTTTTTTAGTCAATTTATTAATAACTTCCAAGGTAGACCTTGGAAGAGGTTAGACGTTTCCATTTCTGGTCAGCTTCAGATTCTAACAGATCCTTACCACTTCCTGACATGCTGAGAAAATGCACATTCTCACCTCTCTTCTATCCCCAAATAAAGCATCAAGGTTTAGCTAGTATAGCCAGAATCTAGTACTATGCTTTTTTTTTTTCTAGCAGTGTTATTCTGACCCCATATTTCGTATTGCAAAAGGCTCTTGATTTCAATGACTAGTGATATCCACTTGACCTCTCTGATTTAGTAGCCTGAAGACAGCCCTAACAACCACCCAGAAAAGCATGAAATAAGATAACACGGGCCTCCTAGCACAGCATTGAAAAGCCTGATAGTGACAGTACAACAACAGGCTCAGCTGGGCAGCTTTCAAATTGGGTTCTTTGTAGCCATTATATGCCACTTCCTCTGCTTCCCAGGTGCCCACCCACCTGCATGAAGCTCTGTGCCCTTATCTTCCATGCTGAGGCTGAGAGAACAAAGGTGCACAGAAAACTTTTCACTCACAGGCCTTAACTTTAGGACAAAGATCTAGGCTTTGGGTCCTTGGTATCCCTCAGAATACAATAGCAGCACTCCATATAACATGCAGGTGTGGTAATCCCCAAGTGAAAAATTTCTAATGTTTCTGGCTCCGGCTTAAAAAAAAAGTAGCATCGTACTTAAAAAAAAAGTAGCATCGGCATTTACTCACATATTTTCTTCCTTTGTCCTCTAAATTCTCAAGTGACAGTGATGCTAGGATCATGCATTATATTCCTATTATTTATCTGGTGTGAGCACACTAGATACTTTTCAGCTGCCTTACTTATAACAATCCTTGGAGGTAGACACTATTCTTATTTTCCTCATTTTAATGATGGGGAAGTGGGGCTTACAAAGATTAAGTGTTTTTTCCATTGTTTCAGAGTTAGGATTTAAAGCCAGGTCTGTTTCACTCTGGACCTATTATTCATTCATTCAAAAAATATTGTTGGACATCTACGCCACATCAGATGCTCTTCTAGGCATGAATGAGGGATGATTAGGAATTGATGCAAAGGCTCTGCTCTCATAAAGTTTACCTTCTAGTTAGGGGAGATGTTATAAAAAATGCATGAAGTATTTGTATGAGAAGTGGAGCTACAAATGTGTGAGAAAAACAGAGTAGGGAGAATAGAGAGTGATCAGAGAAAGAGGGCCATCAAGGAAGAAATCTCGGATAAGGTGGCATTTGGTATTTAAGCCAAGTCTGTATGGAAATATGGGAGAGACTTGTGTGTCTGCCTGGTGGAAGAGCATTCCAGACAAATGGAAGAGTACATGCAAAGGATATGGATATGAGGATGCTTAGCATGGCTGAGGCATAACAGAAGGCCAGGTGGCTGGAATAGAGAGAGGGGCGGGCAAACGTGTCATCTGTCTTTATTCCATTATCTGAGACAAGGACTGTGCCATACTGTTCTTTGTTGAGCATCTCTTATGTTTCAGGTATGATAGCTGGTATGGAGGGTGATAAAAATAATCAAGAAGTTATTCATTGAGGCCGGGCGCAGTGGCTCATGCCTGTAACGCCAGCACTTTGGAAGGCCGAGGCAGGTGGATCACAACATCAAGAGATCGAGACCATCCTGGCCAACATGGTGAAACCCCGTCTCTACTAAAAATACAAAAAGTAGCTGGGCACTGTGTTACTTGTCTATAGTCCCAGCTACTTGGGAGGCTGAGGCAGGAGAATCGCTTGAACCTGGGAGACGGAGGTTGCAGTGAGCCAAGATGGTGCCACTGCATTCCAGCCTGGCGACAGAGCGAGACTCCATCAAAAAAAAAAAAAAAGAAAGAAAGAAACTGTTCATTGAATATATCCACATGTCTTAGAGGCAGTGTCTCTCTGTTCTGAAATTAATCTTATAGCGTGTAGACACATCTAAGTAAATGTGCACACCTTCTCCCCTCACTCCCCCTTCCAAAAATAAAAATAAAACACCTGGAGAAGAAACTGGAAACTGTATGCTTTCTCCTTCATGAGCTAAATGGTTTCATTTCTTCCTCCCCACTTTCCACTTTTCATTCTTGCTTGCTTTCTTCTTTTCTTCCTACTTTTTATCCTTCTCTCTCTGTCTCTGTCGCTCTTTAACTCCTTCCCCTACTCCCTACTGTCTTTGTAAACTTAATTTGGACATGAGAGGTGAAGCTGGGTGGGCTTCTGGATTGGGTGGGGACTTGGAGAACTTTTGTGTCTAGCTAAAGGTTTGTAAACGCACTAATCAGTGCTTTGTGTCTAGCTAAAGGTTTGTAAACGCACCAATCAGCACTCTGTAAAAACGCACCCATCAGCGGTCTGTGTCTAGCTAAAGGTTTGTAAACGCACCAATCAGCACTCTGTAAAAACGCACCCATCAGCGGTCTGTGTCTAGCTAAAGGTTTGTAAATCCACCAATCAGCACTCTGTAAAAACACACCAGTCAGCACTCTGTGTCTAGCCAAAGGTTTGTAAGTGCACCAATCAGCACTCTGTAAAAACGGACCAATCAGCACTCTGTAAAATGGACCAATCAGCAGGACGTGGGCAGGGCCAAATAAGGGAATAAAAGCTGGCCACCCCAGCCAGCAGTGGCAACCCACTCGGGTTCCCTTCCATGCTGTGGCAGCTTTGTTCTTTTGCTCTTTGCAATAAATCTTGCTGCTGCTCACTCTTTGGGTCTGCATTACCTTTATGAGCTGTAACAGCGCGAAGGTTTGCGGCTTCACTCCTGAAGTCAGAAAGACCACGAACCCACCAGAAGGAAGAAACTCTGGACACATCTGAACATCTGAAGGAATAAACTCCGGGCACACCATCTTTAAGAACTGTAACACTCACCGTGAGGGTCTGCAGCTTCATTCATGAAGTCAGCAAGACCAAGAACCCACCAGAAGGAACCAATTGCGGACACAGAAAGTTATGTGATGTGCTTCTCAGTTCTCCATGATTGAGTGTGACTTTGTATATGATTTTCTGTCTTTACCCAACTAAACTAGGTTCTAGTGTGGGTTTCCAGTAGGACTTTCTCGCAAAACACACAGCCAGTGTTCCCCAAACACATCTCACATTCTCTCTTGCCTCTCTGCTCCTGCCCAGTGCTCCTTCTTTCTGGAATAATGAGTTATCCTTGTCATCATTCCAGGCAGCCTTCTAGGCTTTCCCTCAGCTTTTCCATCATGTCCCCATCCCTGACGAAAGTAATTCACTCTATAACATAGTCTGAATAGTAAAATAGTCTCTAGCCTAAAGAGGACTAAATAGGCCATGAAAGAATAACAAGTCCACAGCTCTGTGTGATACAAAGTGAAATAAATTCAGAGTCACAGGAAAAGTTTCTAGCACAGAGTAAAACATCTGTGCAGAGGTATGAGGATTAAATATTTCACCGGCAAGCCCATAGCACTTCCATTCATCCTAGAATGCGCTCACCATGCTGCATTGTAATTGGACAGTGAACTTTCTGTATTTATATTATTAGATTGGTGCAAAGGTAATTGCGGTTTTTGGCAATTACTGCAGTTACTTTTTGCACCAACCTAATAGTGTGCTTTTGTTTTCTCTCTCATGTTCCCAGTTTTTAGTTTCATGCTTGGCTAAATTTTATGATCCCAGAATTTTCCCTGTAGTAGTCATGGTCTCCTGAATGCCTGAAGGCCAACAATAAAATACAATATTTAGTCAATTACACTGGTCCCAAATCAAGAAATTTCACAGAAGAAAGCAATGCTAAATCACACTCATCATGCCAAGCTAGAACATTTGATGTAAGTCTATAATTTTCACAGAAGTATCTTGTCCTCTGTGTAGACTTTCTGGAACCAAGACTAGAATCTCACTTTTGACATTCTCAATTTCTAGCTGGTACATGTGACAGAGGGCACTAGAATCCTGATAGGAATTAAGTGTATATGAACAGCAGCGTGTTGACACGTGTGTGCGTGCGTGATGAGTGAGAACATTTAATACAGAAGTTTCAAAATAAGTAATAGAGCAGTAGAACAAAAGGAAAAGTTATATGCGCTTGTATGGGCTTTAAAATCTGTTCTGCTTTTAAACAGATTGCTTAAATTGCTGATTTAAATTGTTTCCAAGTGGAAACAATGAGGAATAGGTGAGTTTCAAAGTGCTTATGCTTGCCTGCATCGTTTCTAGCTTTGTTTATAATTAAACGTCTACAATATTAGGGAAAATTAAAGTATTTGGTGCTAAATAAACACTTGTTGAATGATAGAATGGATGGATAGAGTCCCAGAGACCTGTAATATATTTTTTTGCTGTGTTGGTCAGGCTGGTCGCAAACTCCTGACCTCAAGTGATCCACCCGCCTCGGCATCCCAAAGTTTGGGGATTACAAGTGTGAATCACCGAGCCCGGCCTGGATTTTAAGCAAAATTTAAGAGAGAAAAAAACATGTGATCCACTTAGCACAGTTCCTGACCCCGAGGAAAGGTTGCTCTGGTTATTTTGGAGGTTAGTGCTGCTGCTGCTGTTATCAATGAAGACATTCTGGGGATGGAAAGGTTTGTCTAAGCCCCAGGAAAAAGTTCACAGAAGAAGGTCCAGGAAGTATTTGGACTGAGTAACAGGAAAGGAAAAGGCTGTTCAAGCCAGCAGAACTCTGAATGAACATAGGGAATCAGCCAGGAGTTAAGCATGCTGTTTAGAAATAGCAGAAGCCCTCAAGACACAGACTTGCCAGCAACATCACAGAGCTTTGTTTTGTTTTGGCAGCAGTGGGAAGGAAACAGGTTTCAGTGGATAATTTATGGTAAAGATTTGTTGGATCTTAAAGTCATAGTCTGATTTTTAACATCCGTTTTGTTTCTAAGCTTCTAATAACTCTCATTATGTAAAGAAATAGTCTAAAACTGAGCTTGGTTGATGACCTTCTCAGAGTCACACGCCATGCTGGAGATGGAACTAGGACCTAGAAGATAGCTCCAACAGGAAGACGGAACACCTGCCACACCTGCTGATTGGCCCTGTGTGTTGGGTGCAGAGATGACTTCCACATTCTCCTTGTAGCCCTACTTATTTGGCAGTGCTGTCTGCTGCCTATGCAGAAGATCTGTATTTGTATTAATTATTATATAAGGAGAATATTTTTTCATGGTGTTTTTAAAAACGTACTTAAAAAATCTTTAACCCAAACAAAAATTGAATATAAAAAGAAAGAAGTGGCCGGGTGTGGTGGCTCACTCCTGTAATCACAGCACTTTGGGAGGCTGAGGCAGACGAATCACGAGGTCAGGAGTTCGAGACCAGCCTGACCGACATGGTGAAACCCTGTCTCTACTAAAAATACAAAAATTAGCCAGGCGTGGTGGCATGCGCCTGTGGTCCCAGCTACTCGGGAGGCTGGGGCAGGAGAATTGTTTGAACTCGGGAGGTTGCAGTGACCTGAGATCGCTGCCACTGTACTCCAGCCTGGGTGACAGAGTGAGACTCTGTCCTCAAAAAAAAGAAAAAGAAAGAAGCTGCCTCAGGTAGAAATATCCTTAGCACTTTACAGGTGGTTAGCTTGAGACACAGTGAGCAGTATTGGTGATTACAGAGAGAGGACTTAAATACCAACTACAGCTATCATTATGTGAGTACAGTCTAATCTGGCGCTAGACTCAACACATTTCAAGACTAAGGTCATCAAATGTCATAACTTCTGGCTAGATGGATATTGTTTGTTCCCATTTTCTAGATCAGCGTTTGGAGACGTGGAGTGATTTACTAAGCTAGCAGGCCTTGAGCCTGCATTTAAACCTCTGATCCTCTGTTCAAAGCCTACCTTTTTAAAAGCAGCTTCCCTTCTCTAGAACAGCACAGGTTTTGGGTGGATGGGGATTGCATTATTCTAAGCAGCAGCTGTTGCAGAGAGTGAAGATGCTTGAAAAGAACAGCACAGTGTCCTAATTACCTATGGCAAGGAAAACATCTGTGTAGGAAAAGTAATGAAATTAATTCTAATGTCTAGCAGTTGCATGCATTAATTGACATTAATTAATGCCAAATTACAAGATACTTCCTATGGAATCACATCATACACTCACCAGAATTGAATATGGAAAGAGTTCATCATACTTAATACTATTACAGCAAGCCCCAAGGGGGATGAGTGCTTGGTCCCTTATTATGAAGTGCAGCCAGTTTCTTTCTGTTTTCCATTAGGAGGAGAAAGGGAACAAACCAGGAACACTTTACCACGGGCAGACTGTTCAAGATGGTTCATTTCCCCTTCAGCTTGCAAATTTCACTTTGAGCCACTCAGAGCAAGAAGTGGTTTGAAGACCTCTTCCGGGGCTTTTCTTGTGTCCCTATTTTAAACTTGGTAATTCTCAGACCAAAGATAGGCTTATTGCACAGCTCAACAGCAATATGAGGCATGGGAAGTAGAGAAAGAACAAGCAGAGAGATTAGAGACAGTTGATCTCACAAGTCCATCTTGACTCCCCGCTCCCCTACTTGCCCGGCTGTAGAAGGGCTGGACTAGGGATTTGTTGTAAAGATTGCCAACTCTTTCACATTAGTGGCTCTCCGCTGTTGTTGACATCTCATATATATCTTTTATTTATTTTTCCTGTGCAAACATACATTTATAGATATATATACGACTTGCAAAAAAACTCAGGTCCATAATGCACGTATTTTGGTAACCTACTTTTTAAAAACTTTTATTTTGGAATAATTTTAGATACACAGAAAAGTCACCCAAGATAGTACAGAATACATGTACTTTATACCCAGCTTCCTCTAATGTTAACATTTTATGTAACCATGGTATATTTTTCAAAACTAGGAAATTAACATTGGAATAATATTACTAATTGGTAACCTACTTCTATAATATAAAATATATTAAGCATTTCCTCATAAAAGCAAGATTTTAATAGCAAACTCTAAATGTTCCATAGTTTATTAAGTTCTTTTTCTATTGTTGGCCATTATGTTTTCTCCAAAATTTTTTATTATAAATAACACTGATAAATATCTTTGTTGTTGAATCTTTGCATTGATCCTTGATTTTTTTCCTTAGATAGAATTCTCAGAAATAAACCCTAGGTCAAAGGGTATCTTTTTTTTTTTTTTTTTTTTTTTTTTTTGAGGCAGAGTTTCACTGTTGTTGCCAGGCTGGAGTGCAGTGCCGTGATCCCAGCTTACTGCAATCTCCACCTCCTGAGTTAAAGTGATTCTGCTGTCTCAGACTCCCAGCCAAGTAGCTGGGATTACAGGCACGTGCCACCATGCCTGGCTAATTATTGTGTTTTTAGTAGAGATGGAGTTTCACTATGTTGGTCAGGCTGGTCCTGCATTTTTAAGTATCTTGATTCATATTGCCAAATTACCACACAAAAATATTAAGGTGTTCTTATTTTGTATCTTGGGGTATCTGTTTGAACCTTAGATAGAAGCCAAAATATACTTAACAAAAATTGGCCCCAAACTTACTGGGATTTTTCATGCAACACAGTATACTAGAAATAAACCAAAGTTGGAGTCAGTCTAACCACGTTGCAACCACATACTGCCGTTTCTACACATCACTATTTTTTAGCTTCATTCTCTTTATCTGCAAAGTCAGTTGGTATACTCTGCAGTGTTGTGAAGACTAAACGTGCTATAGCTATGTGAACATGCTTCAGACTGCCTGGCTCACAGATGAACAACAAATGTTAAATTCCATCTTTGTTTTCTCCCTAAATTCCTTAGATTAATAATTTCTATATAGGTGAATTAGAAACATGAAAAGGGTATGTTATTATTTTCCATCTTATGTTTGTACAGGGTCTTAAGGAAAAGAAAAGAGCCATCAGACACTAATACAAATAAAACAAGAATTGTGTATGCATCAAGTCCTCATTAGGTGTCAGTCTTAAAAATTCTAGTTGGAAATTGTATTTGTAATTTGAAGGTCAAGACCTCCTAATCAAACTCTCATTGTGTTTAGCCATTGTTTTTGTTCATTATCTCACATAACAAGAAGCACAGAGGTTGGGGCAGCTTGAGGCTCAGTACCATCAACAGCTCAATGATGTCATTAGGAAATGGGTACTTTCCATCTAGTTGTCATACTCGTTATATAAGCTTGACTGTAAGACTGGCTCCTTTGGGCAACCAGAAACCTAGAGCCATTCACATTGAGACACAGTGTTTACAGAGGCAGAAGATCTTCTGCTGTATCTCCTGATATCTCTCAGATTCCCCTTAAAAGCTCTCTCCTCACTTCTCATGTACCAGTACTAGGTTTAAATACCCTCTTCTAAAACAACCAATGGCAAGTGGAGAAGGAAGGCTTGAGTAGGTTTAGAGTGACAACATTCCTCCTTGCATATGGGAACTTCTGAGTCACATGGAGAAAAGATGAGCTGACAGATCCGATATTGGATTTTTCAGCAAAAAGCCAGAGAACAATGGGTGTTCAGTAGCTCGCCAAAGAACCTGATTCAGAAATATAACTGGAATATTTAAATTTGGCTTAACTAGTCTTTTTAAGTGTGTTCCCAAAATTTCTCATCATTATGAAAGGTGGCAAAACAGAAAACAGAAATATTATCATTCTTAATCATAACAACTAACATTTGTATGAATTTGAGTTTCAAAACATTTAGCATATATGTTATTTTAATTCTTACAGCTAAAGTACAAGATAGTTGATATTGGCATCCTCCTTTAATAGATGAAGGAGGCAGTGAAATTGGCCCAGTTGTCCCATAGAACATGATGTTTATGCTTTCTTTTGAATAAACACAGAAATTGATCCTTCCAGTCTTCAAACTTGAGAAAGTTACATTTGTTTTATCCGAGTTCTTATCCAAGTTCCTTTCTCAGGAAACCAACCATCAGGCCTCCCAGGTATCATCAAGGAACTTAAGCTTACCAGATCACTGCATCTAGACAATGAGATACCAGACCCCTCACTCATCCTGATTGCCTAACTGACAACTTGCTTTCTGTTGACCAGCTCTTCTTCCTTACACCCCCTAATTCCTATTTTCCCACACATTGTTACATTTCTTCCCTGCTATATAAACTCCTAATTTTAGTTTGCCAGGGAGATAGATTTGAGACTGATCTTCCATTTCCTCAGCTGTGGCATCTGATTCAAGTCTTCTTCCTTAGCAATACTCATTGTCTCAGTGATTCGCTTTCAGTACCATGAACAGAAAAACCAAGATGGAACATTGGTTAGCATTGCAGTAACAGCAAGACTCAGGAAGATGAAAGGATTTCTTATGAACTACACAGCTAATAAATAAACCACACCAGAATTCAAGCCCAGTTCTTATCGTCATAAATCTCCATTGTTTCTATGACCCCCAAGCTACATTTTGGAAAACAGAAGTCACTTAAAAGCTGTAAAACAGTCTGGTGGAGTGTAAAATTGTGAGGTAAAGATTTTGTGTGCTAGACGGAGGATCGTTCTGGGAAGGGATAGTCCCAGAAACTGTCTTTAAGGAAAAAGATCCTGTGTTCTGCTCTAACGTGAAATTACAGGAATGCCTGAAAAAGGAGATGAGGAAGGAAGAATAGAGGACTCTAATTTAATTTTGGAGGTGGCTTCACCAGGACTAGACAGGTTAAAGCACTTGAGAGCTATCCCCATCTTCGGAAATGGCAGTGGGGTGAAGGAAGATGGTGTGTAAGGCTCTCCACCATTGTCTACTGAGAGGTTATCAGAAACCCCATCAGTCATTGGTCAGAGGGAGCAAGAGTGCATGCCGCCCCCTAGTGGCACTCTGCAGAATACAGGTAGGTACACATAAGTTCCTTAAGTAAAGGTGGTCCTGGACAATTCCGCCTTCCTAGTTTTCTTAAGAGAAATCTTTAGTGAATCCTTATATCTAGCTTATCTATCTCTACATACTATTCCCCACCTCTATTTCCTGTAAATAATCATCTTCTGATATTTTCATTTGGAAAAATAGAATTCTGCATAAGTCTCTGATATCTTAAAATCAAACCCACCTACTCATTAAGCATCAAAAACAAGTAAAATAACTCCTTTTTTATACTCAAAAGGATATATTTCAATAAGTGGCATGTTCCAACAAATATTCATTTATTGCCTACTGTGTGCCAGGAACAGTATTAGGATCTGGTGGACACAACAGTGAATAACAGCAACAACAACAAAAACAAAAAAGGCATTTGTCTTTATAGAGATTACATTCTAATGGGAGCACGGCTCAGTAAGAAAGAAATAACAAGGTAATTTTATATTGTGATAAATTCCATAGAAAGAATTAATAGGATGGTGTGTGATAAAGAATAACTATGGAAGATCCTCAGATGTAACAGTGAGCTAGCTGAAATCTAGAACGTGCTTTGAGAACAGCCTGGGGAGAAGCATTTTAGGCAGAGGGAATGCAAATGAAGAGTCTTTAAAGTGGTAGAAAGTTTGGCCAACTTCCTGAACATAAAGTAGGGTGGATTAGAAGAATCACAGAGAGAGTAGAAGAGATTAGCATGGTGAGAAGTGGGGGAGGTTGGAGGGTTGGCATGGTGGGTGGTGGAGAGTTTGAATTTATTCTCAATACAATGAGGCAAAAGGAGTTTTAAGTAAGGGAGTAACATAATCTGATTAGATAGAGGCCAGGATAGTGTGCTCAAAAAACAGGAATAGCCTCCCTGATAAAATGTATTTCCAGCAATAGCGACCAAACTGACGTAAGAGTTGTCATTACTGATGTTGTATTTATCACCAGGTGAGATCCAGGGTCTCAACTGATTCAATTGTAAAGTAAAAGCAAAGTCTTAACTCAAGGAACTCCTCCCAATTCGGTTTTGCTTTTTTTTTTTTTTTTTCCTGTCACCCAGGTTGGAGTGCAGTGGCGTGATCTTGGCCCACTGCAACCTCCGCCCCGCTGGGTTCAAGTGATTCTGTTGCCTCAGCCTCCTGAGTAGCTGTGATTTTACGTGCCTGCCACTGCGCCCAGCTCATTTTTGTATTTTTAGTAGAGACGGGGTTTCACCATCTTGGCCAGGCTGGTTGTGAACTCCAGACCTCGTGATCCACCTGCTTTGGCCTCCCAAAGTGCTGGGATTACAGGCATGAGCCACAGCTCCCGGCTCTGTTTTACTTCTAATGAATTATGAAAGAAAAACCCTTATCTTACTTAACCTAGAATCTTATAACCACATCATTTTTATCATTAGATGATGAATGATTAGATGTATGTGTGTTTTCCTCTTTGTCAAAGATCAAAGTGTGAAGGTGAAACCTACTAATGAGAAAAAATTGACCATGAAATCCCAAGTATTATTGCCAGTTTTTGAAAATATTTTCATTTGGGTTTGGGAGGGAAAAAAATAATTAGCAAGAATTTAGTATTCTAGGATATCAAGACTTGGTGGAAGCACCAGGAGATGATGTAGGTGGTATTGAGAGCAAGTGAGTAAAATAATAATGATAATAATTTAAATAATAATAACAATGACAATAACGTATTTAACAAAGACTGTGAGGCTTGTTTAAAGAACTGGAAATGGTGGCTGGGCGCGGTGGCTCACGCCTGTAATCCCAGCACTTTGGGAGGCCAGGGCAGGCAGATCATGAGGTCAGGAGATCGAGACCATCCTGGCTAACACGGTGAAACCCCGTCTCTACTAAAAATACAAAAAATTAGCCGGGCATTGTGGTGGATGCCTGTAGTCCCGGCTACTCAGGAGGCTGAGGCAGGAGAATGGCGTGAACCCGGGAGGCGGAGCTTGCAGTGAGCCGAGATCGCACCACTGCACTCCAGCCTGGGCGACAGAGCGAGACTCCATCTCAAAAAAAAAAAAAAAAAAAAAAATTGGAAATGGTAAGGGAAATATCAAACGTCCACCCTGACTGTAAATCTCTGTCTGTATATCCCCCTCAACCCCATGTTTTTGTTTTTGTTTTTGTTTTTCAGATTCACATTATCTAACTTGCCGAATGCAGAACTGTACAGAGGCCAACAGGAATCAGCCTTTTCCAGGCTACATTGACCCAGACTCTTTGATTGTTCAGGATCATTATGTGTTTGTTCAGGTAGGAAAAATCCACTTCTGTTGATTGTCTCAGAAACCTTTCTTTTCCTTGTTTCTGTCCCTTTTGCCTGCTTTACACTCCATTAAGAGTCAAAAAGAGAGGATGGGAGGGAGGGAAGGAGGTAGGGAGAGAGGGGAAAATCACTATCTTTTCAATAAAAGGATAATTAGTGAGTGTGGAATCTTCTATACTAACAGACTAGTCATGAATTTCTTTGGGCTGTGTCCAGAGGATCTTATCAACATGGGGTCATGAAGGCATCGCACAGAGTAGTGAGATTGTCTCTAGGATGATGCACAGTACGATCTGTCCCCCACACCTGCATTCCAAAGAAGCTCCCAGTTATCAAAGGGACTGAACAAATATGTCAGTCTCTTTCTATCTGGGAAAGGGTCAGCCAATCAGCCCCCTCCCCAATACCCACCTTAAAAGTGGAGAAGCAGGAATGGGAAGGGAAGCTGTGGGGTGGCTGGAGATAGTGGGAGGCAGAGGCCAGGGGGAGAGTAATCAGCTTTTATTGTCATGCACCAACTGTGATTAGAATAAAGACACTTCAGAGCAGATGTATTCAGCCAGGTTTTTCACCCCCAAGAGAGTGGAGAACAGTTTAAGAAGCTGACGTTTCCTGAGTTGTTAGTAGAGACAAGAAGCAAATACGCTGCACTGCTTTTCAGCATTCAAGGAAAAATTTAAGCTTGTTTGGACAATGCATTTTAAAACTCAGTTACCACCTTCCATGTTAAAAATGACAAAGGTACAATTACTAAATAGCTTATACGTATATATAAAAGTATACATATATATATATAAAGACCCATTCTAGACAGTATTACATTTATTTCGACAAGAAATTGTGATTTGGAATATTTAATTACATGCTTTGAGGATGCAATTTGTTTAAATGCCTACCACCCTGTGTACTTATAAAATGTTTCACATATGATCACACACATACACACACACACACACACACACACCATTTCTTTATTCTTCAGGGAAATTAGTAATTAATACTCTGACAATTTCAGCATCAAGTTGTCAATGGACATTCGAATAGTTACATGTATTGGTTCTGTCTATAATAATTCATTTCTGTATCAGTGCTGCTCCCAGGAACCTTTTCTGGTTTCTAATAACACTTTGTGATCCACATCTATGACTTACAAATGAGAATCAATTCTGCATTTGGAATTTCACACAGTCTTTACCCATGCCACCATGAACATCCTGTAACCCCTCACTAGACCTAAGAGGTCATCTGGCCACATGACGGTGAAGATGATAACTTTCCAAGTCACATTCCTAATGTGATGAACATGCGCATTTGTTGACATTCTGAGTATGCAGACTCCAGCTGTCATTGAAACTCCAGGCATTTAGAGGGGTTAAGAGTGGCTGTGTAGGAGAGAGAGAGAGAGACGTGGTGGTGCCCTTGACACTGTGCCTGCAGGTTGCTCATGTGCTGGCTGGAGACCACACCTGCCCTCTCTACCTGCCCTCTGTACCTTCCTGCCCTCTCTCACACCCACCAGGATTCTTTGGGCTGCATGCTTTGGACAAGATTGGAGGGGAACTGGCTGTGGTGGCACCTGCTTGTAGTCTCAGCTCCTGGGGAGGATCACTTGAGCCCAGGAGTTGAAGGGTGCATGAGCTATGATTGTGCCACTGCACTCTAGCCCTGGGCAATAGAGTGAGATTTAGCTTTAAAAATTTTTTCAAAAAGGCTGGGCACAGTGGGTCATGCCTGTAATCCCAGCATTTTGGGAGGCCGAGGCGGGCAGATCACCTGAGGTCAGGAGTTCGAGACCAGCTTGGGCAACATGGTGAAACCCTCCCCCCCACCATCTCTACTAAAAGAATACAAAACATAGCCAGGTGTGGTGGCAAGGGCTTGTAATCCTAGATACTCTGGAGGCTAAGGCAGGAGAATCACTTGAACCTGGGAGGCGGAGGTTGCAGTGAGCCGAGATAGTGCCATTGTACTCCAGCCTGGGTAACAGCAGTGAAACTTCATCTCAAAAAAAAAAAAAAAATTAAATTAAATAGAAGAGACCTAGATTGAATTTGGACACCAATCCTAGCCTGGTTTTCCATCTAATATGCCAGCACTCCTGTCTGTGCCATGTGCCCATAATCATCAGTGTAACACCATCAAACTGGAATTCAGTGCCCAGAGATGTGAGCCTCCAGCTCTGCCACTGTTTGGGTTGGGCCATTTCATTCTGATATGGCACAGGGACCTACTTGTAGGGTCATAGACTTGGGTCTAGAGACCTGGGCTGGTGATGGCAATCAGCCAATGTACCCCATTTGAAAAAAATAACTCAAAATGTTTTCTGGCATCTGAGTCACAGTGCAAACTTAAGAATTGTATTTTTGTCCAGTAGGTTCAGTTTGGGCCGCTGACCAGCTCATATGTCTTTATAAGTTGTGTTTGAACTGAAGGCCAATTCTTTACACTTGTCCGCAATAGACATTAATGCCATTTGTTGTGTTGGAAGCTTCCTCCTTCCATTCAGGTGACTGTTCTGTGACCTGTGCCTGTTACAGTAGCTCGAGCTTCTTACAGTCTTGTTTTTATGATCCAGCTGACATCAGGAGGGCGGCCACATTACTACGTGTCCTACCGAAGGAATGCATTTGCCCAAATGAAGCTTCCGAAATATGCTTTGCCCAAGGTATGGCCTAAATCACTTTCTTCATTTCACTCTTGACTCTCATTCACAGAAGCCAGCCTCCATCCCTTTCCCAAGGACTCTTTCAGCCTCTCATAGTCATGTTTTCTTTACATCTCTCATCTCTGTTTCCCAAGTTTGCTCTGCCTTACTGTCTCTTTGGTCAGTCCTATTACCCTCCTCTTGTTTCCTCCCTCCCTCCCTTCCTTTCTCTCTCTCTCTTCCTTTCTTTCTTTCCTTCTTTCTTTCTTTCTCTTTCTCCTTCATCTTACTTTCTTTTTTTCTCTTTCTCTTTTTCTTTCTTTCATCTTACTTTCTCTTTTTCTCTTTCTTTCTTTTTTCTTTCTTTCTTTCTTCTCTGTCTCTGAGATTGTTGCTATAGGAACATTCATATGAATTTTAATAATTGATTTGCTTTTCAATAGTAAAGATTTTCAAGCCATATGTATTGGTTTTCTAACAAGACAGAAAATATTTTTTGGATGTGTTATGTATCAGTGCAACAGCTGCCGTCCATTTCTGTCCCATTTGATTATCAGTTGTTTACTGAGCAGTGATGCCGTGACGTGGCACCAGCCTTTGCTTTCTCAGCCAGTCAGCTCCCTGTAAACTTATGAGACTGGTTGTCTTTAGAGTTCTGAGTCGCAGCTAATTTTTTAGACTTCCCCAAAGGCATATCCTTTGGAAAACAGAGGCAAACAAAAGTTAAAGACCCTCAACTGTTGACATCCCCAGGCTGTCTTTCCAGAAGTGCTGAAGAACTGCGTTAATATGGAGCGCCACCTAGTGGAGGTCAAACTGACTCGGGAGCTCAGAGCTGTGTATTTGCGATCTTGCTGCCATCGTGATGTATTTGAAGTGACTAGGAACTGTAAATGTACTGTGCCTTAATCTTAGAGCAAGGGAGATGCATGTGGCTATAAGAAAGGGACTATGCAGGTTTAAAGAGAGTTATAGCTCAACTTTGAAGCCTTTGGGTTGCACAAAGAACATACCTAACTTTTTTTAATTGAGTTGCCATGCCTCTTTCTCTTATATTTTCATCCATCACTTTGTCGTATGTTGTCTTGAACCAACACCAGATAGCTGCCCAGGAAGTCATATAATAGACATAACACAAGGACACAGCACGCCTCCTCTCCCGGGAGAGCCAGTGGTAACAGATTGTTCTGGTTTCTCCAGGATGAATTCTCTTTCTTGGCTACCACCCTTCCCTCACCCTAACGTAGTGAAAGGTGGGATGTAAGCCTCAGCCCATTAGAGGTAATAACACACACTGAGTTGCACTATTAACTTGAAAGAACTATAGCTATGTTCGTGGTTGTTATTTTCAGCTGCTGAGAGATTAATGACTGTGGTAATTATCCAGAACTGTATGTATGTCTGTGTATGGATACATTTAAGTTCTTGTTGTTCTTGATTTGGCTTAAGTGTTTGTTTTTTTTTTCTCCAGTAAGACAAGAATTTACAACACTTAAGTTGTGCCTTAGATGAGAATTGGATAACATCACTATGTAAAAGGAAAACTGAGTGTTGTTCAAATTACCTCTGATAATCTCTTAGGAAGGTCTGTCAGAGAAATGAACATGTTAACTCAATAAATACAACAGAGCCAGGTTTTGTTTTGTTTTTTTCCTCTTGAGCATTGAAATAAATTGTTGTTTCTTTGATTGACTAATAAATGAAGTAGTTGACTTGCAGGATTTGCACCTTAAAAAAAGAATTATCCTCAATGTAATGACATGCTGCTGTTGTTCAAGGGGGATGTGGAAATGGAGACCATATCCTCATCTTATGCGCACTCTTGGGAATAAACTGTTTTTTGTTTTTGTTTTTGTTTTTGTTTTGTTTTGTTTTTGAGACACAATCTCGCTCTGTCACCCAGGCTGGAGTGCAGTGGCGCAGTCTTGGCTCACTGCAACCTCCACCTCCCGGGTTCAAGCGATTCTCCTGCCTCAGCCTCCCGAGTAGCTGGGACTACAGGAGCGTGCCACCAAGCCTGGCTAATTTTTGTATTTTTAGCGGAGACAGACTTTCACCATATTGGTCAGGCTGGTCTTGAACTCCTGACCTCGTGATCCGCCTGCCTTGGCCTCCCAAAGTGGTGGGATTACAGGTGTGAGCCACTGAGCCTGGCCGGTAATAAACTCGTTAAGTGACATAAGTTTTGGTGGAAATCAAATGCTATTTGTAGCATAATTGAGGCTAGAACTCAAGTCTCCTGACTCTCAAGGTAGTACTTTTTTATATTATACTTTCTTAGTAAATTAATAGCTTCTGTTATTAAAACATAGCATCATCACCCCATCAAAATTCCATATACTGTCAGGGGCATTAAGAAGAAAATCCCATTGACTTAAGGAGCCCCAGAAATCATAGTTTAAAATCAAAGAAATGTTTGTAGACTCATTGCTGGAGGTTTGGGAAACAGATACTTTGCATTGCTTGTTCATAGCCATCACACAGATCACTGCTGACAGTTGCCCGCAGTGGCATCTAGCCAATATGGAAGGAAAAAGTTTTACTTTGAACCCAAATTTGCATCTGTCTTCTTCCTCCTGTTCTCCCAGAAGAGCATGTTCCATTACTCAGTCTTATCTGGGTTCTGAGGGTAGAATGCAGTGATTAATTTAGCTTGTTCCCAGAAAAAATAGGGGCTAGTACAGCAGATGAATGTATTATTTAGTCCGGGTGGATGTTTATTATTTAAGGCAATGAGATTCTTTATTACAATCCCATTATACCTTCAAAAAGAAACCCCAGCTTGGGTGGAATGATCTGCAACAAAGGTGCATATATTTCATGGCCTGTCAGGGCTGGTGCAACTGGAAATGAACAAAGCTTCATGCCGACCAAAGGAATTGAGACAAACCAGCACTTTTATGCTCAATTTTCTTTAATCACCCACTACCATTGTATCAACTCCTGAAAGATCATAGTCACCCTGAGCTGTGCTCAAAAAAATATTTACTAATAGTAAAGAATGACAGTGGGTAGGGAGATTTTAATATTGCCATTGCCATTAAGAGCATGTGGCCCTCCAGACAGGGGAAAGTAATGAGTTTTCCTTCTTTTAACTTGCTGGGAACCCATTCTGAGCTACTCAAGTGAGATAAATGAGGCAATACATACGAAAGTGCTTTGAGCATTTTGGAGGACAGATACTCTATAAAAGCAAGGTAATATTATTATTAGTATGGATCTAGTTGTCTCCGTGGTGGAAGATCGATGTGGACCAGGATGCAGGTGATGTGAAGGCTGCTTGATTTGCAGCAGGAGACCTGGATTAGGGACCCAGATCTGTCACTAACTTGCTTTGAAACCTTGGGCTGGTTTGTCAATGTCTCTTTTCTTTATTTTTTTTTTTTTTAAATAAGGAGCTTAGATTCACAACAATATTTTCTCATATGTGTTACTTAGAATAAAATGTCCTTAGTAATCCTTCCTGAGAATTTGGTTGTGTGGTCAAATATGTCTGAAAAAAGGAATAAACTTCATTCTGTGTTTCTTGCCTAGAGAGTAACAGTAGCTCACTGGTGTGTTGAAGGTTTAGAACATCCAATAAGCAAGAAAGCTCTTTAATTCACCATTAATTAATATGTTTTACCAAAGGATCCCTTCCTCCTTTTCAAGTCTACTAAAATCCTAACAACATTGTCGTCCTATGGAGCAGACTTTAGAAAATGCTTCAATACAAAATCTGTAAGATCACACCTTGCTCTCAAATTCTGTGATTCGGTTAAAGCATTCAACATAAAGTGCCACATTGGGAGAAAAAGCGCATTTCTCCCAATAGAAACAGGATTTAGGGAAGGAGAAAAAAGAAGGATAATATATAAATATTTTAAACTTTTCAATTAAACTATTTAAGACCAATATCATTTGAAAATGGCTGTACAACATAATTACATGAAACAAAGGAAGGATTGGAACTCAGCTCATATCTAGAGATGGCCATTTTAATCTGTTATCATTGTGTGATTAGTTCTCTAAGTGACCTAGACCACAATATTTGATACATCTGTGTTTTCCTATCCAAATCTACAAAATAAAGTCTTGGGAGAAGTGGCCGGTATAGGTGATGCACTTTACTCTTCCAGCCTAGGATTATTTAATCAAATGTCTATTGTGAGAAACTCAGAGGTTCACCAGTGCAGAGATTCATTGTAAATCACAGAAGTGGGAATTAGCTATGCGGGGGTCAGGTTATTGTTGAGATATTTTAACTTGGCTTCAGGGATGATGCTGCATCTTACTGACAAAGAAGGGAAGATGAATTGGGAATAGTTGTTTGATGTTTCTCAAGGCCAAGGTAAGGATTTAGGTCTTTACCCTATAGGATGGGGAGCCATGGGAGGTTTGGTTGTCAAGGCAGGAACAGCTCTGGAGCTAATTTCCACAGACAAGTCTCTCCATTAGAAAGAAACCAAACACTTGGGTATAGCTTCTCCTGGTTCAAAGAATTTTAAATTTTATTTTAAACAATAACAACAAAAACACTTGGGTGAACCACTTTCTTATCGTGTATATAGTTAGGACTTGAGTATTTGCGATAAACAGAAAGGTCACATGAACCTAGATTAATCAACAAAAGGGATGTAAGGGCTCACTTAACTGAGAGTAGCTAACATACCTAGAGCATATGCTAAGTGCCAGGCACTATTAGGAGTGCTTAACACTGATTAACTGATTTCATCCTCACCACTCCATGGGGGACCTATTATCCTTGTCTCTATTTTGTAGATTGAAATTATGAGACACAGAGTTTCATTCACATGGCTAAGTTATAGAGCCAAGATTTGAACTCAACTAGTTTTACTCCAAAGTCCATTCTTCAGCCACTTTACTAGACTGTCTTCTTTAACTGAAAAGTCTGGCGGTGGGATGAGCTTCTTAAATGTCCACATTTAGGGACCAAAAAAATGTCACAGGATTGGGCCATCTCTCTCCATCCGCTGAGCCTGTTTTCATCAGGATTGGTTTCATCCTTTACCTCCAAGATATATCTCCAGCAGATCTGGAGTTTTCTTTTTTATTCTTACTGCTTAAAAACCAATAGTGAGATACTAATTTTGTCTCTCCCTAATAACTCCGCAGTCATTCCAGAAACATGTCATATTGACCTTATGTGGGCCACCTGCCCATCACCTATTCAGTTGCTGTTGCCAGAGAAATGGAATATTCTGAAAGCCGGTTCTAAAAGCTCATTTCTTGTGCTGCTGGTAGAAGAAAGTAGGAAAAAGTTTAGATTTAATATAGAAATATATCTGAGAGGGATGAGGCTGTTTTTCAAAAAACATCAATCCATACACTTGGACCTGTGTCTCCTCAGGTTCTGCATCAGATTGAAAATATTAAAAAAAATACAAAGTAATACAAATTAAATAAATGATACAACTATTTACATAGCCTTTACATTGTATTAGGTATTGTAAGTAATCCAGAGATGATCTGAAGTGTACAGGAGGATGTGCATAGGTTACATGCAAATATTACACCACTTTATATAAGGAACTTGAGCTTCTGTGGATTTTGGTATCTGAGGGCAATTGTGGAACCAATCCCCCTGCAGATACCTAGAGAGAGCAATAATTACCAGGAGAAATGTAAATAGACATTCAACAGATAGAAGCACACATTAAATTAATGGGCAGGATTCATTTTTTGACCTATCCACTTGGGGTTCTTTCTACAAAAATGTTACCAAACTTGAGTATGTCATATGGAACCTGAGTAGAGGTGAGGAATATAAAGCCCTTTGGATATGGACTTCTCCCTCTGGGATCACGAGTTTACTGTGATAAACGGTAAAGAGGATAGGGAGTCTTGTTCCTACACGTCTAGAGGAGAGTCAGAGCTGAAATGCTGCTTGATTGAGAACATGGGCATATATGACAATAAGAAATTTAGGTTAGTAGTTAGGTGGAATTTCCCCGCACTGGAATTGTTAACAGGAAGATTGTCAGATTTCCTAAAGCTTTTCAAAAATAGAGTATGGTGCATCTGGAAAGATTAGAGCACTAAGTGATGCCGAAAACAAGAATTGTTCTACGTTGTTCTTCTACCTTTGTGGTTATATGCAATCTTTGTTTTCGTTTGTTTGTTTTGGTTACTTAGCTTTAATTTTTTTGGTTTTTGGAAGTTGTTTTATGACTACTATCTTGGGCAAAGGGTAAAATGCAGGCTAGAGCATATGAACAGACATCCCATAAAGAAGAAAGCAGGCCTTGGTCTGAGTCAGCAAGCTTTGGACTGTGGTAGCTTCCATTGTACTTCTCTAGAGTTATGAATGGGGGAAAAAGAATTTGAAATTCCCACCCCAGGGGCACTTGTTACTGCCTCCGCGCTACCTTTGCTTTAATTCTATCTTCCAGGACAAACAGGCTCTGAAAACATCATCAGTTATGCAGGCTATCTTTTACCCTTTTTCACTGGAGGATTCCTGCAGAACCTCTCAGTTTAGATTTTGATAAGCAGCTAAGTCTTTGAACACACTAACATGAGGGTTAGTACTTTGGGTTTCTCTGGTGAATGTTTTCTTAGGGCTGAGGGTAGAGGAGACTGGCTAGGGGTTGCTGAACCTTTGGGCAGTGCTTTTCAAACTTTAATATGCATGGTAATTATTTAGCAATCTTATTAAATGCACATTTTGATTCACCAGGTGAGGCCCAAGGTTCTATATGTTTAATAAGCTTCCAGGTGATGTCCTTGCTGCTGGTCCATGAGCCATGCTGAGACATGCAGGGTTTGTCTATTTTCTCTCTGTTCCTCCAGCTTTTCCTCATATCTACCCCATATATGCCTTCTGAGCAAGTATCATATTTGTGCTTGGCAAAAATATCAGGATGCTTGATTCTCCGAATCATACATATTTAAGAAAGCATTTTTCGAATTATGTAATGAGGCAATTAAAACTGGTCTATCAAACATCCCTTCATCCTATTTTCTCATGACCTTATTGCCTAACCCCACAAGTGACAAAGGAAATATATGATTAATGCTTAACTATTATTTCTTATATATGCAAAAGGAAGCTATCTTCCATTAAAGTGCTCATTCTGGTATTCCTCATTTGATTCCACACTCTTTGGATGCCTGCCAGGTTAATGTATAAAACTCTTTTTCCCTCTTCACGACCTTGTGTCTTTTCACAGGACATGCATGTTATCAGCACCGATGAGAATCAGGTGTTCGCAGCGGTCCAAGAATGGAACCAGAATGACACGTACAACCTCTACATCTCAGACACACGTGGTGTCTACTTCACCCTGGCCTTGGAGAATGTCCAGAGCAGCAGAGGCCCTGAGGGCAACATCATGATCGACCTCTATGAGGTATGTCACGAGGCATATGTGGTCCTAAGCCACAGCAGTGCCCAGCTGGCTGATGGAAGCCCCGCATGGACTCTTTTCCTGGTCATTTTAATACAGTTCCTTATGTGGCCTCATTTCTCTTGGGAGATGGAAAGATTTGCAGAACATTTTTATTAGTTAATTTGCAATCCACAGAAGATCTCTGGGGGATTCTGGGAGGGATTCTTTTTTGACAAACTCCATAGGACATGAAGGCTTTGTGGACTTGCGGAATGTCTGGGGAGGCAGTCAATTACAGGGTTTGATGAGAGTGGTCTGCTTGTGATGTTTGGACATAGTTCTGAAAGGCAGACAGGGCTGTGAGTAAAGGGATGGTGGATGCACTCCCTTGTCTCTCAGAAGAAAGAATGAAGGGGATAAGGTCTCCTGCATCCAGCAGAAGACACTCCATTTGGACTTGAAGACCTTTCTGGTTAAATAAGCTCCCTTGGCTAATGGCCTTTTTCTCACAGGGCCAGAGAATGAGATAAGATTAACAGGTGCTTGTCTCCTAAATCCAGAAAAATAAAATAAACAACTACAACATCAAGAACAGAGCTTAGCAGAGTCTTTATTTCTCAAAATGGCCAAGATTCAAAAGAAAATCATGTATGTTGGATTGGTTGGCTTTCATGATAAATACCAATGCTTTAATTGCCATTGAAGGCACAGTTAGCTAGAAAGAAAACTGCTGCTTTGGCATGGATTTTAGCCATTCGTTACTCTTATCATGCGCTATGAAAGATTTATAATAGGTTATAATAAGCCATTTGAAAACAGTCAGAATTTGGGAAGTGTAACAATATACCTATATTCTAGCTGAAAAAAATCTAAAATGGATTCAGATATGTACAGTCATAATGACACTGTCATTTAGTTGAGAACAAGAGCAGTGAGTCAAGAGATTGTTTGTCTAAGAAGTAAGGGTATATCCAGTATGAAAGAAACTAATTTCACTTAAGAAATTTTAACCTATCATTGTAATTCCTTTCAATGATGTGTTCTATCTTCCTTCTCGTTCAGAGGTTCTTAGTGATTTTCTTCTAGTATCTAAACTTCTGTGTATGTATAAAAGCATGTTAGTAAACTGTATGCCAAATTTAGAGCCCAGGTATTTGTAATAGAAATTATGGCAGACTAGCATAGGGTCTAGTTTATGTGTATATGTTTAGAAAAATGCATTGCAAACTTTTTCATACTTTCATAAGTTTTTCCACTTCTTCTCCTGCCCATGTTTCAGATAAATACAATATCATGTATGACAGCCTCAGACTGTATTCTAGAAGAAATTTACATATTGTGATGATTTAGTTTCATCTTCATGTTGAATAAAATTTAATTTAGAGTACAGATTTTGGATTTAGGTTGCTTGTGCTTAAATCCTAGCGATGCCACTTGTATGTATTCTTGAGACAAATCCAGTAATTTCTGAGCCACAGTTTCGTTGCTTAAAATATGGAGATAAACATGAAACCTACTAGATGTGATTTTTCTGAGGATTAAATGAGTTAATCCTTTCAAAGCACGGAGCACAGGGCTTTAATATTATTTTCCAATGTGTTCAAGCACCACTACAGTGTTCTTCTACTCTCATAGCCTTAACATCTCCCTGCATTGTGTAAATGCCCAAAACATTTATATTATTTTGGATTCCTACATCTTCCCATACTGAAATTAGTGCAGCCACGTGACATTCTTTATACCAAGTAGTTGTCTTTTATTTATTTATTTATTTATTTTGAGATGGAGTCTCACTCTGTCACCCAGGCTGGAGTGCAGTGGCGTGATCTTGGTTCACTGCAATCTCCGCCTCCTGGGTTGAAGCTATTCTCCTTCCTCAGCCTCCCGAGTAGCTGGGACTCCCACTACCATGCCCGGCTAATTTCTGTATTTTTAGTAGAGACGGAGTTTCACCATATTGGCCAGGCTGATCTCGAACTCCTGACCTTGTGATCTGCCCGCCTCGGCCTCCCAAAGTGCTGGGATTATGGCCTATACCAAGTAGCTGTCTTCTTATAAATAAGTGTAAATTGCAACATTTCTCTTTTCATTTGTAAATAGATTATAAACATTTTAACTTGAAGTATGTTTTGTTGAAATGCCATGCATTTTCTTGCCTTGACTGAACACTTGAAATGGAAGGATTCTTGCTCTGAGCATCCACTGGCATGAAGTCAAAGCAACTGCCCAAGCTTAATCCCCAGTTTTCTTTCCTAGCCCTCGTTCTATCCTTAGTCTCCCAAAAACATATTCTGACTTTCAGGTTCCATTTTCCCCTTCCTGATTATCCTCTTCCCTCTTTTTGTGTCAACATGGAATTGATTCTCTGGATAAATTTTGTTTACTGCCAGAAATAAAAACCATTTTAATTGGTCCCTTGATGATGAAAAAATGACAAATTTAGACAGGAATGACTTTGCAATGTCTTGTTGTTTGCAGCTATTTTCATGACTAGTTTTCTGAATTCAAACATCGGTAACAGGTATGAAATGAAAAGAGGAAACAAGGCGACCTCTGGACATGCCAAACATTGCTTTGTTAATCTTGTGTTTCCCCTTTGTGCCTCTCTTGCAGTTGACTATCTGTAGGGAAACTGCTGGCTCTTATTATCATCATTTTGAGCAGTGATGTGACTGTATTATGTAAAGGTGCTCTGCATCCTGGGGCTGGGAGAGAGGAGTCTTTGTTTTATTAGCCTGACAGTTCACAGCAACTTGAATTGAAATTGATGTGATCAGAACGGCAGTGCCGTATCTGCTGATTACCTAGATAGAA
This sequence comes from Homo sapiens, assembly GCF_000001405.40. NCBI lineage: Eukaryota > Metazoa > Chordata > Mammalia > Primates > Hominidae > Homo > Homo sapiens. Next base: position 106,696,420 of record NC_000010.11, on the reverse strand, counting down.
AGAATATTGGCTGACACAGAGCCTGGCACAAATGTTCCCTTAAATCTGATTGTTCTGGCTAGCAGGAAGCTGAAAGCCATCCAGCATGAATTTCCCAGTAGAATTGCAATGAATGATGAGAGTTTAGAGATAAATGAGAAGTAAGAAAATCCATAAATGAATTACTAAGGAGCAAAGATGAGCAACACATGAGGTGGGGGTTACAGAGATAGCATACATGGAGTGCATGTCTGCTCACATTTGGGGTGACTGAAGAGGATGGCCTTTGTTCTTTGTTTGCTTCTTCATGCCAATTATGTGCTATTCCTGCCTTTGTGAGCTCTTCAGGCTATTTTAGCAGAGGTGAACTGTATAATGTATAAACATGTAGATGGATCTGTGTATCAAGGATGTGCATTGCTGACGGGTCTTTCTAAAAAATGCAGAAGGAAGCACTGTGCTCATTAAAATTAAGCATTTTGTTTGCAAATACATTGGAACCTGGCTACAGATTCTGTGTTCTCTACCCTAGAACTATGTGTGTGTGTGGAATGAGAGAGAGAAATGCTGGAGACAAAGTGTTGAGGGTACAGCTTGTATGGTTTAGTTATTGAAATATCAGAATTTTCCATCAGTGTCAATTGGACTCCATTCAAGAGAGCCAAGAAATGAGAGCCAGGAAAGTTGGCCACAGAGCAAAAATACTAGAAATGAATTTTGTTATCATTAATATCATTAATTGATATCATTAATAATGGCTAATATTTTGGGCCACTTTATGCCAGGCATGGTGTAAAGAACCTTCCATAACTCTCCCATTCAGTACATACATTATGAGGTAGGGACTGTTGTCACTTTCACTTCAAATATAAGTAAATGGAGGCAGAGGGAATACAGCAACTTTTGCAAGACCGCAAAGATGGTAAGTGGCAGAGTTAGGACCTAAACCCTAGAGTGTGCAAACTCTCAACTATAGACTGTCACATTTTTCCTGAAGGATCAGCATCTGGGCTTGTATTTGGTTGTGGAAGAGTGACAGCATTAAGACTGAAGAACGTAGAAGGGCAGGGTAAATAGGGTTAGACTTTGCATACCAGTGAAAACAGAAGACTGGAAGAAGAAAATGATCTGGGGAAAAGTCAATGTAAAGAGAATCAGAAGTTTGATTGCCCGAGACCTATCTATGCAGCACCTTTAGTACCAAGTCCTTAGTTACAGCTAAGTTCAGGCTATATTTACACATGGCTCACAGTCTTGTCGGGTGGATGTATTTGTGTAAGAAAAGCCTGGAAACAAGTGTCCTAAAACTCCATCACACCTGAATAGAATGAATGGTCCGGTGCATCGTGTGCATCATGCAGTGCATCAGGCTGCATGTCTGATGGTGGCCAGAGCAAAAAAAAAATGTGCTGAGTGTCTGTGAGAAGAGTGATGCCTGATGGTTTTGTGTAGTGTGGATGATGAGAGGGAGCCTGACAGGTTTGGATGGTACCTTCTCTCCTTTGGGAAGTGAATATTAATTAATGATGATGAAGAGCACTTTGGCTTAATAGACAATGACAGTTCACCCCAGCTGAGTGCAAAGGGTTGTGTTGGGAGTGAAGCCACCTGGCTGACAAATTCAGAATACACAAGAATGTGTGCATACATGAGTGAGCCCTGGTGGGTGTCATGAAGGACAGCCAGTGACCAGGGCATGTTCTGTTACACACAGTGTCTTCTGTACGTTATGAGTACCCTCTCTTTAAAAGAGAAAACTCAACGGTTATGATAATATAGCATACATCTTGATTTTTTGGAGCAAGACTGCCTCTTACAATCTAGTTTAGGAGGTAGGGAAGAAAAATGCTGTCCTATTGAAGATACATTTATTACAGGATATTGAATGTACTATTGGCCAGGTGCAGTGGCTCATGCTTGTAATCCCAGCACTTTAGGAGGCAGAGGCAGAAGAATCACCAGAGGGTAAGTGTTTATGACCAGCCTGGCCAACATGGCGAAACCATCTCTACTAAAAATACAGAAATTAGCTGGGTGTGGTGAAGTCCCAGCTACTTGGGAGGCTGAGGCAGGAGAATCACTTGCACCCATGAGGTGGAGGTTGCAGTGAGCCGAGATGGTGCCAGCCTGGGCGACAGAGCAAGACTCCTCCTCAAAAAAGGAAAAATAATAATAATAAAAGAATGTACTATTATTTCAGGCTACTGTCTCTAGAGGAGGAGAGTGCTGTTTGAGGAGGAGAGTGCTCTTTGGTTGAGGCAACAGAGAAGGAAAGAACATTTAGGTTTTTCTTGGCCAGTGGGTTCCCTGATTGTGAAGGCACCCCGGCCTCATGTTTATCCTTCCTGTTGTCCTCTCGAGAAAAATATCCCATCCACAAAGCCCAAAGAAATTGTGGCCATGAATATGTTCTCTTTCTTGCCACAGTCGTTGTTTCATCTTTTTAATTTTTTTTTGAAATTTTGGCACTTAGGATTTGTAATTTAAGTCTGAGACTGAGAGGGTGGTAGGTAGTATTCATCTTTTAGTCAGCATTAAAGGCAGAAATAAGCAAAAACTCTTGCACAGGAGTCTTCCCAACTTAGCCTCTGCATGGAACTTACAAAAGGTTTTCTTACACAAATATGTAAGTTCCTTTGAATTGATTTATAATAAAGAGCATAAGAAGTACTAGAGATATTTATGGGAAGACTGATTCCCATAAGAACAGGACAGAACCATCCAGAAAGTAAACCTAAAAAGCAAGGGAGATACCTGTGTTTTTTTCTTTAAGTCACCAAAGAAATAGGAATTCTCAGCACCTAGCACATTCTAACTCTCAAAAAAGATAGTTGTTGAGATCTTCTACATATTATATCTGCCAAGTGCCTAGAAGATCATATGATACGTAGTAGATGCTCAGAAAATATTTATTGAATGGCTAGAGTAAATGTACTAACGACTGAATAAAATACAATTTCTTTGAGTAGAACATTCTGATACGATATTTCTCTCAGGCCACTCTAGGATGAGAGAGAAGTTCGAAGAGACAGTACAGCCACAGGCCTAAGGGTGTAGACTCTGTAGTTAGACAGACTGACTTGGAGTCCAGATCTAAGATTCTCCAATGGGATGACCTTAGGCAAGTGATTAGCCACATCTGAATTTCAGTTTTCTCTTCTGTAAAATAAGGATAATATGAATTCTAAAGCATGCAAAGATTCACAAGTTCATGTTTGCAAAGCCTTTCATGTACAGGTTGAGTATACCTTATCTGAAATGCTTGGGACCAGTAGGGTTTCAGATTTTAGACATTTTTGGATTTTGCAATATTTGCATATATATAATGAGATATATTGGAACTGGGACCCAAGTGTACACACAGGGTTAATTTATGTTTCATATATACCTTATCACATAGCCTGAAGGTAATTTTAAACAATATGTTTAATAATTTTGTGCATTAAACAGTTTTTTTGTATTCTAGAAATTTATTTTTTATTTTTTATTGGTACATAATAGGCACACATTTTCAGGGTATATATAATAATTTAATACATTTATATAATTAGTAAATAACATATTAGTATACTTGAGATTATTCATCACCTTAAATATTTTTCTTTTCTTTAGAGTTTTGATTGTGTTTTGACTGTGACCCATCACATATGATTAGGTGTAGAATGTTACACTTATAGCATCATGTCAGTGCTTAAAACATTCCAAGTTTTGGAGCATTTTGGATTTCTGGATTAGGGATGTTCAACCTCTGGTACCTGAAATTTAATAATCAATAAATTTGGATTGTTATATCTTTCCTTTAAAACAGCTTTATTAAGATGTAAGTCACATATCATACAGTTTGCCCACTTAAAATGTAAAATCCAGTGGTTTCTAGTGTGTTCACAGAGCTGCACAGCCACCACCACAATTTTAGGTCATTTTCATTGTCCAGTACAGAAGCTCCACAACCATTAGTAGTCATTCCCCATTTCTCCTCCTCGCATCTTCTCCCCAGTCGTGGTTACCAGAGGCTTGGGTGTTGTACCTTCTAATGCAGAACTCTTACTACCTATTTCAGTAGGAAAAAAAACAGGGGCTGGCGCTGTGGCTCACACCTGGAATCCCAGCACTTTGGGAGGCCAAGGCAGGTGGCTTGCTTGAGCCCAGGAGTTTGAGACCAGCCTGGGCAATGTGACAAAACCCTGTCTCTACCAAAAACAAAACAAAACAAACAAACAAAAGAACCCAAAATTAGCTGGGCATAGTGGTGTGCAACTGTAGTCTCAGCTACTTGGAAGGCTGAGGTGGGAGGATCGCTTGAGCCCAGGAGGTCGTGGCTGCAGTGAGCTGTGGTCACACCACTGCTCTCCAGCTTAGGTGCCAGAGAGAGAGAGACCCTGTTTCAAACAAACAAACAAACAGGGTTCTTTGTATAAAGTTACTTTACTGTTATTAATTTTAAAGAGCAGGTTGGTGGAGTGAATGACAATCCGAAGGTTGTATTAGAGTAGGAGACCATAATGTGAGAGGTCACACAGGGGATGACCAAATTGGAATTAATTTATGATAAAGAGCATAAGGAGTACTAGAGATGTTTACAGGAATATTGAGTCCCCTAGGAAGATCCCACAGTTCTTGACAGTCAAGATACAGATACCATCTGTATGAGAGACAAATTAAAGAACAGAGAAGTGTTGGGATAATCAGGATGAAAAGAGATCCTGGTTTTTGGAAAAGGTTTATGAGCTGAATCTTTAAGGATGAATAGGTAGAGGCACATCAGGAGGCTTTCTCAGGGAGTTGGGGGTGGCCTTTGTGAACAAAGAGAGTCAGATAAGAGAAGGGAAGGAAGTGTTCTGAGACCATCACGTTGGCAACAGGAAATGCACCGATGTACTTTGTGTTAGGCTTAAGGTTTGAGCTATAACACTTCATATTTAGTCTAATTAAAATGATATCTTGACTTATATGATATTAAATAATAAGAAATAACTATTAATTACTTTTGAGATGTCTGGTAGCAAATTTCTCTGTAGGAGAAGCAAAGGGACTAAAGTAGCATTCCAGCACACTTAGAATTCTTAAAGATCTTTATGCAGAATTCAGAAGGGCATTAAAGGCAACAATTCTTTTCCCAAAGGAGGACAGACTTCCAACAGTGGGATGTACCATTCCCATGGGAGGTTTGTCATCAGAAATTCTGTGTCTATGGGAAGACATGGCTTCCGTAGGAAATATTACTTTACCCCACCCTACCCCATCCCTTAGCTCCACTCTATTCCATAAATATGCATGCAGTATGGATACAGAGAGGTTATCTAGAAACATAAACATGCTCCCTCATCCTCAGTGGAACCTCAGACCTTACACTCACACAAAGAGAGACATATACTACATGCATAGACAGGTACACCCATGTACACCCACACACATTCCACATTTGGGGCACTAATGCTTGGTATTAGTCCCCTTGATAGCCAAAGTCCTACAGTGAGAGGGTAGAGGTTCCAAGAAACGTAGGATGAGACCTTAGAATAGAGTACTGGAAGAAGGTGGCTTGTGCGTGCCTAGGGGTTTCCGTGAGACACACAGAAAGACGGATTTCTCAAGCTCAGAGTGAAAGGAACAGTGAATAGCACAAAAACCTAAGACTAGGGCTGACTACATTTGCAGACCAGGCCAAAGCAACAAAAGAAAACAACAAAATAAAAAACCCTACCTTAAATGGACAAAGTGCCTTGGCTGCAAGAGGAAAATAAGCAATAAGCAGACCCTCTCCAGCTCTATCCCCTGTCGATACACATTCCCTTTACTTTGCCAAGTTTTTATTCCTCAAGATAAACCTGAAGGCCAAGCTGCCAGAGATGAATTACAAAGCACAGCTCTTTGCTCAAGTGGCATTTGATAATGCCAAGCAGTCGGGGGCCAATAAAGTCGCCACTTCTGCGAATCAAATGAACCAGCTCCCAAACATGTATAACCCTGCGCTGGCACCCTTGCCAGAAGAGGGAGAGGGCAGGAAGGAAAATGGGCAATGAAACTACTGGAATAGGTAACATTTTTATTCCTTCTGCAGTTATTGTCACCCTTTAGAGTGTTGAATGGCTAAGACATGGTCATTTGTCATTTCTGGGAATGGTATAGAGGAAGGACCAGTATGACTTTGTGAAATTCTGATTTACGTAATTTAATTTTTTAAAGAACTGGCAGTTTATTCATATTTGAGTATGTAACAGCTTCTTGAACATATACAAAACCAATATGGAATTCCCTGGTGGGAAGCCCTTGCGGAGCTGGTGTAGTAAATTACTAAATATTATTTGTAATTAACACACTGCTGTTGTGAGGTAGAGTGCTCCTGGAGTTTATGCCTTCCACATTTGTTGAGTTTAGACAATGCACAAGAAGTTGGTCTGGCTGCTACTGATTGCACAGAATGCACCTTGTTTCCTGAGTATGATAGTTCAAAGTATTCCTCTCTGCAGCTCATTTATACCATTTAGTTGTTTAACATGCTTGTTGTTTCAAAAGAGTACAAATTTGGCCCAACTATAAATTATCCCAGATGCCAGATCAGCAGGTACACACTAATGAGGTCTGACTGTCAAAAGCAAAGGCAAAATGTGTGTCTTCTATCGATTGAAACCCAACCTCTTAGAATTGACAAATTCAAGCTGTATTTGTTGAAACAATCTTGGAAGTCAGGCAGATTTGGGTGTGAATCTCAACTTTCTGTGATCTCAGTTTCTTTATCTGTAGAATTGGGGTAAAAGCTGCAGGTGCAGGTTTGTAGTGAGTATTGGAGGTTTTGTAAATAAAATGCTGGACATAGTGCTTGGCGTTTGGCGAGGTCTGGAGAGGTGACAGCTAATTGCTTCACTATTCTGCTTAAAAATTTTTCGTGTTATAAAGGGCCCAAGTTAAGTAGGTTCAAATAGGCTTGCTAGCCTGCTCACTTACTCCCTAGGTGTGTTCCAGAAAGCCACCAAGTCAAAGTATCTATTTCCTCATCCTCAAAATGTGGCTAATGATAATTATTCCATGGTTATTCTGAGTATTAAATGAGGTAATGTACATGCAGCATTGGAATGCATTACTCAACATGTTTCAGTCCTTTTCCTCACTGCCCTCCAGTTTTCCTGAGCTGTTACAGTTGCAAGCAGGGTAAAATATGCATGAATGTGTTTGATAAACTCCAAAACACAAGAAAAATGTAATGCACAATTATTTGCTTTTGTAATAGTTTGACAAATTACTAATTACTACTTCTTACCTAACATATAGAAGGGAGGAGACAATCATATTTTCAGAGCCAAATAATTAATAGCATCTGTTTAGGCTGAGAACAACCATGTTATAAAAACAAAGTAGGGAGTATTTGATGATTTAGGGAAATCACCATTTATTTAAATTTAAAAGCTGTCCTCTTATGTTCCGTGTATTCTGGTGGCTTAACAGAGAGATCTTACATAGAAATAAAGCAACAGTAATTGGTTCAGGAGCTTTAACTGCCTCTTTCAACTGCCCAAGCCTGCAGATAGCTTGATAATTGAGGTAGGCATTAAGAGCATGAGCTGTGAAGCCGCAGAGTTGTGGGTTAATAATCCTGAGTCTGATACTTACTGTGTGCCCTTGGGCAGTGTGACCTTAGGCAAGTCACTTTGTTTGGATGAGCCTGAGCTTTCTTCATCTGTGAAATAGAATAAACGATACCAAAGAGGAGTGTTTTAAGGATTAAGTGAGATCTGGGTGCTACACTAGCATACAATAGAAGTAGCCCCTATTTATTTATTATTACTTACCAAGCAACAGAGCTGAAACCATGAGAATTTATCTCTTGGCAACTGCGGGCTCCTGTCAGCCTATGTTAGGGGTAATAAGAAACCCCTATCAAACTCCTGTTGTGACCCCCATATGATAAGGATCACCAATCTGTTGTTGTTTGTCCAGTAGCCTAGGAAGTCATTATACCTTGAGCCACCTCCTTCCCCCATCGTCAACCTTTCTTTCCTCCAAGGCAAGTGCTCTCAGCTGACTTTGACAGCCTTCTTTTTTTAAAAAGTAAACAAATATATCCCTTCTCAAATTGATGTATTTTTCAGCCATGTCAATTTTTCCCAGGTAGCAGGGATAAAGGGAATGTTCTTGGCTAACAAGAAGATTGACAACCAAGTGAAGACTTTCATCACATATAACAAAGGCAGAGACTGGCGTTTGCTGCAGGCGCCGGACACGGATCTAAGGGGGGACCCCGTGCACTGCTTGCTGGTGAGTCTTCCTATTGAAGCAGAATGCCTCACACAGTAGAGGGATGGAAATGGATATTTAACAGAGGGTGAGGATAGTTCTGGGACTTTTGCTCAGTTGATGAACAAAAGGGAGTGGGGAAGGGCGTGAAGGCAAAGGGTGTAGAAAACTCACAGCACTGCCTAGTGTGATGTGCCAAAGAGATGGGAGAACATGGGCATATTTCTTGTGCCCTTCCAGGATCCTTGTTTCCCGCCCAAGTTCTGATGAGGGCCTCAAATGGTAGTTTGAGGGAGAATATGACAGTTTCTATCCCTGGTGAGGATACACACTGAACAACCTATTTTCTCATGAGTAACCTGTTGCAGAACTAATGATACATAAATTCAGCTGTAGAGTTGATGAACTGAATGCAGAGTCGTGTAGGTGTATTTTCTTGTGGAGATGTTTAATCATATTTTCAGAGGAGTTTATGACTCAAAAAAGGTAAGAACCACTGATTTATACCCTTATTGGTATTCTTTACAATATATTCTGTTCATTTATGTCTTACTCCGTAAAACTGAAGTTGGCAAACTATAGCCTGTGGGAAAAATATGGCCCACCACTTGTTTTTCTAAATAGGGTTTTATTGGAACACAGTCATGCTTATTCATTCATGTATTGTTGACGGCTGCTTTCACTCTACAAAGGCAGAATTGAGTAGTCACGAGAGAGACTTTGTTTGGTGAACAAAGGCCAAGGTATTTATTATCTGTATCACAAAAAAAGCCTGATATTTATTATCTGGCCCTTTACAAAGGTTTGCTGACCCCTACTTTAAAGTATGGCTTTCTTTTAGTTGCCTTACATTTGGGCAGTATATAGATTAGTATGAATTTATTTATATATTTGATATATGATGGCATCCAAAAGGAGGATCAAAGATGAATCTTGCTTTCAAGGAGTTTGCAGTCTACTTGTCTACTTGAATGTGTCTAGATTAATAAATGGAAGATTGCAGGGTCACGTCTTATTCCTCTTAGTAGCTCTGATGCCTGCCCCAATTTTGACACACAGATAAGTAATGAGTGAATGCAGAAGGAGGCGAGGAAGAGGCAAATTGCAAATTGCAAACATTATTAATACTATCAATGTCTGTAAAACACTTCAGAAGTTGTGTCTACATTTAGAAAAAGGACAGCTGATTGTGTAAGCCTAGAGGGAGGACCACTTCATTTGAGTAAGAAGGGCTTGTAGGGGAGGGGGTTGTGTGTGTATGAACTACACATATATAGTTGTTCACACTCTTCATGCGGTTCTGACTTTGATGTTATCCGCACTCAGCTTGCTTCCTTCCATCCCATAAAGTCTGGACAGTCACTTTGCAGGTTCATCTCTTACAGCTGTAGGCGGGTCACCCTTCTAGTTGAGAAGATGCCAGCAGCCATAGCTTGACCTTATTAGTTGCAGAGGATATCACAGTTGTCACTGTGCATCAGGGAAGCAGTCTAAAATTCAGCCTCCCACTCAGCTTCTATCCTTATTACTGGCAACTTAAGAGGAGGAAAAAGCCAGTTGTTATAGTAAGTGCACAATGCCAGTGACAGAGTAAGTAAATGTAGCAGCTATTTATTGAATACCTACTCTACGCAAGGCACAGTTTGGTGGCATTTTAAAAAACAGGGCCACCTTCCTAGTTCAGCTATAGCAAGTTGGAGCGTAGTGCTGCTTAACCAAAGATGCATGGGATATGCCAGTTCCTTAAGCTGGTCTCTACTCTGCACTTTGGAGATTAAATGCCTATGAGAGATAATTAACCATGTCACCTAAATGGGCTTGCCTGGGGACTCTGGCATCATAAATGAACCATTAAAAATGGCTTTTAAGCACTTAGCAAGGTATTCCCTGCTTCACCCCCAACGCAGTGTCAGAAACTCTTATTGTTGTACTTCCAAAATATAAATGTAATATCAGCTTACTTCCCCATCACCACTGGGACTGCCCTAATCCAAGCCAGCATTGTTGCTCACCTGATCCACAGTGGCAGGCTTCTAACTGGTCCTCCCACTTTTACTTGGCAATCACTTCTCTAGACAGCAGCCAATGGGACCATTTTTTTTAAAAAATCAACTTTATTTTGAGGTAAAATATACTTACATACCGATTTTAAGAGTATAGTTCAATGAATTTTGACAGATGTATATACCGATATAACCATTGCTACAATCAAGACAACATTTCCATTGCCCTGAAAAATACCTTTGTGCCTCTTTGCAGTTAGAACCCACACTCTCAGCCCAGCACAACCAATGATCCACTTTATTTTACTATATATCAGATTGCTGTTTTTTAAAATTGTGTGTAAATGTTATCAACTTGAACTTTTGAAAAATCAGATCGTATCCCTTCTTTCCTTAAACCTTCTAATGGCTTCTAATACATGTAGAATAAATAAAAATACTTTATCATGACCGATGAGGCCCCATGTGATCTGGCCCCTGTGTAGTTCTCCTCCCTGGTCTCCAGCCTCTCCCTCCTCCCCTTCTTCCTTATATGTAAGCCAGAGTGGAGGAGGGGGTGTTTCTTTGCATACTGTGAACTCACCATGTTCATGTATCTCTTAGGGTCTTTGCATTTGTTATAATTTCTCTTAAAATGCCCTTCTCTTTGTCTGGCTTGTTCTTGGCCTTCAGATCATTGCTTCATTATCTTAATTTTAGAGAACTTTCTTGAGCATCCCCTAAAGTTGTATTTGTCTTAACTCTTTTTTTCTTCATGGTCCTTATTGTTATCTGAAATGAGCAGGTGTACTACTTAATTTTCTTGTCCATCTTGCCTGCTGAAGTGTGGGCTTCATGAACCTAGGGACGGTGCCTGTGTTTTTGACCACTCCAAAGAATCAACTCCAGGAATCATACCTGCCATGTGGTAGGGGCTCAACCCATGTGGTAGGGGCTCAACATTAGGGGTGCCACGTTGGGAGTGTGCACTCCATCGAAAGGTGTTGTGACAGTTTCGCGTTTGGATTTTAATGGAAGCTGTTCATTCCCTCTGAGAGTCCACTGGAGGATTTGTCACATTTTCTACCTTCTGAAGCTCGTGGGCTCAAGTGGAACCCAAAGTTAACAAAAGCAGGAAGCTCATTAAGATGGAAGAAAGAGGGATTATTGGGACACAGATGTATGGAACTCGGGAGTTTTCCAGCCTTCCTTCTTAGTTAACCCTGTTGTTTAATGTAGTTTCAACCTGAGCTTCAGAAAGCAGGCTGCAGGTGAGAAGGGGAAAATGACAAAGGGAAGCAGGGAGGAGAGACCAAAATCACTTTACAAAAATCTGCCAAAGGCACTAAATAGGAAAGAAAATCTTTGAGCTACAGGAGACGAAGACTGTTAAAAACCTTCTTTAGGCTTGGGAGCTGGTGGCAGAGATGAGATAAAAAGTGATTTCGATTGTGAGTACTTGGAAAGTGACAGTGTCACTGAAAGCACAGCCTAGTGATTAGAAAAGAGATTTTTTCAGCAGGGCTGTTACAGATGTGGAATAAGTTCAGAATTGCAGCCCGAATGCAGTGTTCCTGGTAAAAATCTATGCTATAGAAATAAAACATCTAGGGTAATTTGGGCTATATTTTTAGGACTTTTAGACTGATTGCCTGGAGGGCCCAGCTGGGATTTCTTTCCTCTGAAGACTGCATTGTACAATTAGATAGAATATTACAGGTCATGGTCCACCTGCGTCCAATGCCTCAGGATTGGGCTCCCAAGGGGCAAGATGTGAGCTGAACTGAGCCTGTGACAAATCCTTGGGCCCTTAGGGAAAGCACAGTGTTTAATGGAAAGAGGCGCTGACTTTGTGGATTCATCTGGCAGTTTTCTTTTCTTTTCTGTTTTTTTGAGACTGAGTCTCACTTTGTCACCCAGGCTGGAGTGCAGTGGTGCGATCTCGGCTCACTGCAACCTCTGCCTCCTGGATTCAAGTGATTCTCCTGCCTTGGCCTCCCGAGTAGATGGGATTACAGGTGTGTGCCACTATGCCCAGCTAATTTTTGTATTTTTAGTAGAGACAGGGTTTCACCATGTTGGTTGGCCAGGATGGTCTTGATCTCTTGACCTCATGATCCACCTACCTTGGCTTCCCAAAGTGCTGGGATTACAGGCATGAGCCACCGTGCCCGGCCTATCTGGCAGTTTGCTACTGGAGCTGAGCAGACAGCTGCCCCAGGAGAATCTGTTTTTCACCTTTCTTCCATTGGAGAATCTGTTTTTCACCTTTCTTCCATTGTCTGTGACTCTATATATTTTGCTGATTTGGGCTGGAGCTGAATTCCCCATACCCAGCCAGTTGTTCCAGGGGCCTCCTTCCTCTTTGCCGTTGACTCTTTATTGAAGATGTAATAAATTTGAGTTCCAACTCAAAGAAAGAAATTATACAAATGAGTATGTATTTCGGGAGGGAGAGTGTTGGGGATACTATTTGGGAGCTTGTTCTTTACAAAAGCTCTGATCTGTCCTTTCAGTACAATATTCAGATTAGATACCATGGAGATAAAGGTACCATGAAGATAGCATCTAAAGGCAGTTGATACAGAGGCTGAGGAGAAAGAATTGGGATTTGAAGCTGGTTGACCCTTAAGTAATATAACAGCTTTTAAAGTTGATTTATTACATGGTGGGGAAATGTCTTCCATTTTATGGTAATTCCCCAGTGGGATCCACAATGCTAGAAACACAGTAGATAATTAATGGATCAGCTGGAGAACATTATGCTAAGTGAAATAAGCCAGGTACAAAAAGACCAAGTCTGCATTTCTGTCTTCTATGTGGAACCTAAAACAATCAAACTCATGGAAGCAGAGACAGAATGGTAGTCACTGGAGGCTAGAAGTTGGGGGAAATAGGGAGATATTGGTCAAAGGGTACAATGTTTCAGTTAGACAAGAGGAATAAATGATAAATATTTGAAGTAAACAATAATAATGGATCAGTTAAATTCAGCAGACATTTATTGAACACTTGGAATAGCCAAAGTATTTTATTGGTTAAAAGAATCAGGCAAAGAAAGGTAACTAGTAACTAGAGGTCCACTTATGGGTTTCGGGGTTTGCAGACTCCCTGAAATTAAGTGAAAAACTCTGTATGGTTGTGTCTGTGCACTTTTTCTTGGTCTTTCATTTGCATCAGATCCCCAAACTTTGTACCTGACCCAGAAAAGATTACAGACTAACAGTCTAGTTGCTCCTAGAATTTACCAATTGATGATATGCCATGGCCTGTGACTATGTGTGAGGATGCAAAGGGCAGCTTCCAAGCATGTGTGCTGGTCATTCTGTCCTCTGTAGGTCAGCTGCTGGCATTGGTGGTTTGGGTGTACATTTCTACATTTTCTTAATGTGGAAAGGTCAGGAAAATAGAGAACTGCCTTTGGAACAGGCTGTGCTTTGACTCTATTGACTTGGAGATAACTATTGTGACTATTAGCATATGTAGGTACTCAGCACATATTTGCTAATGAGAGAAAAGAAGGCAGAAGACAAGAGAAATGAAGAGAGGGGCCTATGATGTGCCCCCAGCCTGGGCAAAATGTGCATAAGGACTGGAGAGCTTTGTCCTGTGTCCTTCAGAAACTTGGAGGGGTTTGATAAGCATTATAATAAAATATACTAATATAAACTATATTAATTATTTATGACTTAACTTGGACAAATGTCCAAAACTGGTCAGTACAACAGCTTAAGTTAAAAAAGTGAAGATGAATCACTTCACACTGTTTTTTCCTTAAATATTTGTGTAGACTATGTTACTTCCTTGAAGAAAATGAAAGAAAAAAGCCACAGAATATTTTCCTTATACCAGCTGGGGGCAATCCAGTACTACAAATGTGAGAGTGGAGAAAAAAGTACACCAAAAGATCATTTCTAATGTTGCTGTTACTGAGTGAACTGGTGTCTTTTTTCCTCAGATTAATGTATCCCAGCCCTCTGAAAGCCATAGCAACAGAGGCATGCTGAGGTAGCCAATGGAAAAATGACATCTTTTCTTTGTTCTTGTTTTTTGTTTTGTTTGTTTGTTTGTTTTTTGTTTGTTTTTGTTTTGGTTTTGTATTAGAGATGGAGTCTCACTCTGTCACCCAGGGTGGAGTGCAGTGGTGTGATCTTGGCTAACTGCAACCTCCACCTCCCGGGTTTGAGTGATTCTCCTGCCTCAGCCTCCCGAGTAGCTGGGACTACAGGTGCCCACCACCATGCCTGGCTAATTTTTGTATTTTTAGTAGAGACAGGGTTTCACCATGTTGGCCAGGTTGGTCTCGAACTCCTGACCTCAAGTGATCCACCCACCTTGGCCTCCCGAAGTGCTGGGATTACAGGCGTGAGCCACCATGCCCGGCCTGACATCTTTCTTTTGTAATGGCAACTGCCCCTTACCAAATAATCCTTAGGTCAGGTGGCAAATAACTCAAAATCTTCCAGCAGTGGCAAGCAACTGGCTTAAGATTGAAAGTTGGGTGCTCTCCTGGCTAGGGATGTCCTCCTCTGTTTGGTGGTGCAGAAAGTCCTCTGTTAAGCTCATATGTCTAGGGATAATCCGCAAGCAGTAGTCTACTTCTTGGAATGCCATACAGATGCTCACAACATTATTCAGATTATGTGGTTGATAATCCAGCCCACATACTCCTGGCATTGCTCTGAGTAAAATAGTAAAGTGATATCTTTCATGTCCCAACAAAAAAGCATTACTTGATATTGCAAGCTTCTATTTATTATCTTGTTTAGATTCTATGCTAGGTTTCACAAAAGATGCGAAACAGTACTTAATCAGTTATCTTTATTTATAGAGTGTATTCTTAGAGAGATATAATTGTATGTACCTGAAATAGATAATACAAGATTGTGCATAGTGAAACAAATTGTTGTGGATTAGAGGAGAGGAGAGCCTGATAGGCTGCAGTTATCGGGAAGACTTTCATGGAAAACTGGTTTTGCACTCCTGGTTTACCCTGTCTTACATCATCTGAGTGTTGTACTATGCTGTTCTGGAACATCCACAGCATTTAATTATATCTGTTCTAGTCTTCCTCTTGGACAAATAAAAGCCAAGAGTCTAGGCCTGATATTTCTTCTAATAGGGGCTGTCTTCTTTAGTCCTATAGAACATTATAAAGTCAAAACTCCTTTTTTTGAAAGCTTTACATGAAATTTTTATGCAAAACCAATCATTTGTTACTATTAGTGCACCTTGAGAGTTTTACTTTGTTGGCAGTAAAGAAAATATCCCATTGTGATCTGCTGTTTTATTTCACCAGCGTTCTGGCTGTTTTTATTCCTGAGTTTCATTTTCACTTTGTCATTTACTCCATCCTATATAAATTTAATCATTGTATCTGTAGGTGTCTGAATGTCTGCTGGCTGAAACTTACAGAGCAGAATAAAAGTAATAACAGAGATACACTGGTGATTCCAGAAACTCAAGTTGATAAGATTAGAAAGTAATCTTCCTGAGATATGAAAAGAAATGTGGGCTCAAACACAAACTTATATTTTTTGACAACTCAGTACAAGAACTATTTTAAACAAAATTCATATAAGATTTATTATCCTTTTTTCTTGAAAACTGTTGATATTTCAATCAGATAATTTGAATGAGGTTTCTGCACAAACAAGTCCCTTACATTTTCAGTTAAATTTTTACTACTAGTGCATTTTGTCTACAAGTGTGACTTTTATATTGAATATTTCTGATTCTGATAATATCCTGGTAGAGATACTGGGTCAGTTGTCTGGCGGGTATTTGGATAATTTCACATACTTTTTCTATACAACTGAGACCAAGGTCTCAAATGGAGAATGACTAAGAGATGCCAACCTACTTTTTCAAAATCCTCCCAGCTTGACTTGACCTTCTCTCCTGGCTTCATATCCCATTTCTCCTCTTCAGTCTTTTCTGATGACATACTGTGCTGCTCAGCTTTTCTGCTTCTTTTTCTTTGTTATTGCTGTTACTCAGGCTTGAAATATTCTTTAACGTCTTGAACATCTACCTACTGTTCATAGCCTATCCATCTTTGCTTCAGGCACTGTTTTCTTTTTGGAGTCATTCATGATTCAAAGTTCAGCATAGTCTCTCCACCTTCTAGAATCTCATACTATTTTGTCTCTTCATTTTTTATGGCTGTTAAAAGATTCTCTTTTTATGGTAATTAATGGAAGGATCTCATGCCCTCTATATAAATTGTAAGCTCTGTAATGACAAAGACCAAATTAGATTATACCTAAAATGAAGGTGGTCTTTACTAACTTGAAGGCTGTTTTACACTTAGTGGACACTAGATATTTGGGGGATGGAAGATGTTGGGTAGGTATAGATACAATGGGTGGTTGGAGTGGTGCATGGATGTATGGTAAATGGGATGGTTGGTTAGATGGATGGATGATCTGATTCTGAGCTTCAAATGACCATTTTGATTATGTGATTTTGTGGCACTTATTATTTCTCTTTTCAGCCCTATTGCTCACTACACCTTCACCTGAAGGTCTCTGAGAATCCCTACACATCAGGGATCATTGCCAGCAAAGACACAGCTCCAAGCATCATAGTGGCATCAGGTAAGAAGCTTACCTGGTTTGCTGGCTGTGGTAAATAGTGTTTATTTTAAGAAGCTAGATATCTGTACTTGGAAGTTTATTTTAAGAAGCTAGATATCTGTACTTGGAACTTAATGAGCAAGCTAAAAATAATTTTGAAAGGCACCTAAACCATTGGACCTGAAGCAAGTCTGCAGAAAACCCCTGCACAGACAGAATGCTTGCAGTCAAAATCTTTCTCAGGCAGTGCACCTGCCAATATAGTCCATTGTTGCTTTTGCAGAAAGTTCTTTTCACTAATGGCACCTTTCTCTTTCTAGGTAATATAGGTTCTGAATTGTCAGACACTGACATCAGCATGTTTGTCTCTTCAGATGCAGGGAACACCTGGAGACAGGTAAGAAAATACCCTGGGTCAAATCGCTGAAGTTTAAGTAACATAAAAATTGCCCAGCTTGGTTCAAATCTGGGAACTTTTTTCAGCGGTGCTACACATAAATCCTAATGACTGTGAATATGTTTATTTTTCCTTTTTATATAAAAGTCTTAAATGTTGGAGTGTAGCAAATATTTATGGAATTTGATTTTTTATCATTTAATAAAGATGTTCCTTACTCAGAGCTTGTATGTAAGGGTGTTTATAAGTCACAATGAAACCAAATTAAGTCTGACTAAATTTTTCCCACAGATGAAAACCAGAATTCCTAAGGGTTTATCATATAGGGAATATGCAGCCTTAAGGGTAGATTACATATCTAATGCTGAGTTGGCTCCATAAATTCCCCTTGCCTTGAAGTCAGAATAGGAAGGAATGCAGATATAGAAATGGCCATTACCCAGGT
Source organism: Homo sapiens (assembly GCF_000001405.40). Lineage (NCBI taxonomy): Eukaryota > Metazoa > Chordata > Mammalia > Primates > Hominidae > Homo > Homo sapiens. The sequence continues at coordinate 106,678,810 of NC_000010.11, read as the reverse complement.
GGTGTTCTGAGATGTTTAAATCTCATGTGCAAAAGACAGAGTAATAACCATCAGGATGCATATGTTAGAGAAAGTAGAAATGGAATACTTTAAACCAGTGTGTTTAGCTTAAGTGCTTCCTGCCTTTCTTCTGAATGAAAATTAGATACCCATAGCTTACAAAACAGGCATTTAATGAGGTTTAGCAATCTTAACAAGATATGCACCTAATGCTTGGTTGTTATACTTCAATCAATATGTTTTAATAACCTACTGACGTTTAATTATCATACAATAACTAGCACTGTAAATTGAAATCTAATGCACAGGTAATCACACTTAGTGATGAGAGCACTCTCCTTTAAATTTTAGTCAGAGGTGTCCACATTATATTCCAAATGCCATTTCTTAGCTTCAGACCCTCTATAGATCCTCAGTGGGATTCTGATATTTTGAGCGGAGGAGGAAGGGAAGAAATTTGCATAAGAAACTCCATAGCAATTGATCTTGGAGGTATGTAGAAACCTGGACTATTCTAAGTAAACTTCCTCTGGAGAATAGAGAGCCAGGATCCCATTTTCTTCTTTCCAACACCGCAAGCAAGGCAAAGAAGTCTTTACTTCTATAGTCTTGGGTTGCATCTTGGGTATAAGAAATAAACAAATTGGAAGAAGATTGTCTGTAATGTAACTCCAGGCAAGGCTACACTAATAATCTGACGAGAAAACAGCATGCATCTTATACAGAAAGGATCTAGAGATTGTTTCCATTGTGTCTCCATTTGACTTCAAATTTCTTTCTCTACATTTGGAGAAAGACCAAATGACACATGTACCCAAAGATGACAACAGAACTCACCATGATTTTGGTGGAACATCTATTAATTAAACAAGAACAGTTTTCTTTGATAACAGTTGGAAACTTCAAAATAATAAGATCTGGAAAGGGCACTGTAATGCAGCAAGTCCAAGCTCTATCCATTACTGTATGCATGATCTCAGGCAAGTTACCACATCTCTCTAAACCTTAGATTTCTTATTTATGAAAATGAGACTATTGGAGTAAATGATTTCTAAGGTTCCCTCTGTCTAGAGATGTATAATATATGACAGTTAACCAATATTCTGACATCATCATAACTGGGAATCAATAGAAATTATCATGAAAATGAAGGAATCTAAGCATGAACCCATAAATATTCATTGTTCAAATTTATTTTATACACACCTAAAATTATTTTGTACAACACCAATGGTATAATAGCCCATGTTGGGAAGAACTGTTCTATAGCTTTATTTTCGCAAAGATTTAGGGAAACCTATTTTTATCATGGGAAGGATTTTTGTTCTCATGTGAAGACTGATTCTCTGAAGCCTGGGTATGTGTGGATGTGGATGTGTGTCCATGTATGTGTTTTCCTCATCCAGATCTTTGAAGAAGAGCACAGTGTTTTGTACCTGGATCAAGGTGGAGTCCTGGTTGCTATGAAACACACATCTCTCCCAATTCGACATCTTTGGTAAGGGCACATGCTGCCTGTGAAATCTGCACCTGATGGTCCTGAACTGCTAAGATCAGTCTAGGAGTCAGGCTATCAAACCGTGTCTGTTTCTGTAGTAAATCTGTTACCAAAATGCCGAGGTTTGGTTCAGGTCCTGTTACTCTCCACACAAAAAGCCAATCCACTGAGACAACAAATATTGCCAGTGAAGAAAGCTTTAAGTGGGTGCTGCAGCCAAGGATATGGGCAATCAGTCCCAAGTCCATCTCTCTGATGACTAAAAGTAGGGGTTTATATAGAGGGAAGAAATGTAACCAGGTGTAAGGAAACAGGAATTAGGGAAGGGTAAAGAAGAGGAGGTGAGGAAGAGGAAGTGGTCAACAGGAAGCAAGTTGTCAATTAGGCAATCATGATGGGTAAGTAGTCTGGCTTCTCATTGTCCAGATGTCTTTATCTGGTAAGTTTCAGCTCCTTGATACTACCTGGGAGGCCTGATGGTTGGTTTCCTGAGAGAAGAACTCAGATAAGACAAATGTAACTTTCTCAAGTTTTAAGACAAGGAGGATCAATTTCTGTGTTTATTCAAAGAAACCATAAACATCAGTTCTATGGGACAGTTGGGCCAGTTTCAGAATGTCAAGGTCTACTAGAACAGTGGAGGTAGGAAAGAGAGAGAGACACAGACAGAGAGAGAGAGAGGGAGAGTTTTACTCCATGAGAGAGAAATTGCATTATACTTTGCAAATGTGATAATACTTTCACCCTCACACCCTCACCAGTATATTATTCTCTCAGCACGATTACAGGTAGAACAATGTTCATGATCAGGTATAGTCTCTGAATAGCTTGACTTCTTGCAGTCACCTTTCCCAAATAACATCTCCTGGAGTTTAATATCCATATCCATTTTTGCATTCCACACAGAGATGATCAGTGCATGACAGTTCTGCTCCAGTCTCATTTCTCCTGATCTTGCTTTCTTATTTTTCTTTTTTGAGGTGATATTCCACAATTCTGCCTGTGCGTGTCCCACAGATGGATGTATAAAGACTAACTCCCAGAGGAGTTATCAATAGGCTCTTTTAACTGTGTTTTTGAAAGTGGTTCTCTCCGTATATGAGTTTGTCCAAAATCAAAAGCCTGGTTTTCCTTCTACTGTTAGTCAGTTTGATGACTGAAGGGAAAGCTGCAAAAGAGAGAAAAAAGAAAGGCTAAGCTTGGGCAAGGGCATTCATAAAGAAATGCAGAGCAAAGAAAAGGTCCTCGGTGGCCATCTTAGTTCATTTGGCCTGCTATAACAAAATACCATAAACTGGGTGGCTTATAAACAACGGAAATTAATTTCTTGTAGTTCTGGAGGTTGAGATGTCCAGTATCAAAATGCTGGCAGATTCAGTGTCTGATGAGGGTTCCACTTTTGGGTTTATAGATAGCACCATTTTGCTGTATCCTCACGTGGTGGAAGGGCAAGGCACTTCTCTGAGGCCTCTTTTAAAAGATCACTAATTCCTTTCATGGGTGGTCCACCCTTAGGATCTAATCACCTCCCAAGGTCTCCACCTTCTAAAATCATCATATTGGCGATTAGATATTCAACATTTGAATTTTAGAGAGGACACAAGCATTTAGAGCATTCCAGTGACCATCAGGACTGAAGAATTATCTTCTCTTGCTTTCAAGAGCCTATCTTGTACTCATTCATTCAGTAAGGTCAACCAGGATTTATGGTTGTAAGAAGGACACACTGAGGACTTGGTCACTTAGAGATGGGTTGGTTGAAATCTAAGTAAGTCTTACAAGGTCATCGCTCTTCAGGATCACCTGTAAGACTTGTTAGACAGTAGAGAGGTTTTGGACAGGGTCAAGAGCTTGAGGCCTAAGATATAATAAAATATCCAAACTTTCAACAATTTTATAAAAGACTTATAGTTATTCTCATTTAATGTAGCTCTGCTTTTATTGATGTTTTAATACATCTGTGTCCCGGTGGCTTGGCTAACTGTATTTCTACTTTCTGATATAATTAAGAATACTTATTCATATGAAAGGCTCATTTTGACAAAATCTCAGCTACTTTTAAAATGTATTATCTCTGGGTTGAGAGTATCTTTCCTTTGAAATGACATTTTTTTTTCCTTTGGAGATCTGATGACTGATATTTTTTATATCATTAGGTTGAGTTTTGATGAAGGGAGATCTTGGAGCAAATACAGTTTCACATCTATTCCACTTTTTGTGGATGGGGTTCTGGGTGAGCCTGGAGAAGAGACTCTCATCATGACGTAAGTTGAAAAGTATGATGTGGTCCAGCCTTCATAGAAAAGAGTAATCCACAAAAATGTTTTATAGCTAAGCCTGTTTGATTTGCAGCTGTTAGGTTCAAGGTTGTTGCATCTTACTGCAAGAGTGTACAGCAAATAGGGAAGAAAAATGTGGGCAGCTATTTTCTTGGTTCTCTGATAGTTTTTAGGAGACCCAGACTGAGGCGCTTAGAGAAATTAGAAGTGATGATTTCAATAGGAAATAAAGCTGTACATTTAAAACTTCAGTAATAAAGAACCTGGATATGTAGAAAATCTCAGGTATATAGGAATGAGTTCGCTTTAAGTCAGAGCATAGTTTCATCAAAATGCCACAAAGCATTGTATTTTTCCCTGGCTCTTTACCTAACCCAATTGTGAGGCATATTAGGAAAATCATGAGAACAGTCTGTTATTGTGAAATTGCATTTACACTCATTTTTGTCTGGAATGTGATGATCATTAATTTGTGAAAGATTAATGACGCTGCCTATGGGTTTCAATACATGGACTTTGAATTTCAAGTATGAAACTGTGAGAGTTCCTTCCTTTGGAAAACTGGACATGGAAAGTAGAAAGGGAAGGTTATAAAGTAGTTGATCTGGTCATCAATGAAAACTTTCAAGCCAAAGTCAATACTTGGTAAGCTAATTCTCTCCCCTACCACTACTACTTTTTTTTTTTTTTTTTTTTTTTTTTTTTGAGACGGAGTCTTACTCTGTCGCCCAGGCTGGAGTGCAGTGGCATGATCTCGGCTCATTGCAGGCTCTGCCTCCTGGGTTCATGCCATTCTCCTGCCTTAGCCTCCTGAGTAGCTAGGACTACAGGTGCCTGCCACCACGCCCGGGTAATTTTTTTATAATTTTTTTTTTTTTTTTAGTAGAGACAGAGTTTCACCACGTTAGCCAGGATGGTCTCGATCTCCTGACCTTGTGATCCACCTGCCTCGGCCTCCCAAAGTACTGGGATTACAGGTGTGAGCCACCACGCCTGGCCTACCACTTCTGCTTTTTAATGGTAGAAAACAACAATAAAAATCTAATATGCCTAATAGCTACACTTTTCTCAATGAGAGACGTAGCTAAATTAGCAATGCATTCCATAATTTGTCTTTCTTCAATTTTTATATTTTCAAAACAGATTTTAAAAAACTGACCCAACAGGCCACTTCATGGCTTTTCTTCAAACCTATGGTTGGTAATTCAAACATCTCAGTAAATACTTAAGTCTCTCTGAGTAAAGAGAGTAGAATGTACAGTGTAGGAAACCATTATTAGTACTTGGTTCTGCTGATCACTTTCACTAGGGGCTGGTGGGAAAGTAAAATAGCATGGAAACCATGGGAACTATGTACATTAGCAAGATAACCTAGAAGTCTAATCTTGGACCACATAGAATACAGCATTTATGATTGTTTTTCTCAACCATATTTTCTCAACCAATCCTGTGGCACAATATGTACAAGTGGGCTCTTGAATTAAATACTCTGGGTCTGGTTCTGCCTGTTATTATGACTTGATTTTGTTTTTGCAATGTTAACAAAACTCATTGAATCTCATATTATCTATCTGCGAAGTGGATCCAGTAATAGTACCCTCCTCGGCCAAGTGCGGTGGCTCACACCTGTAATCTAGCACTTTGGGAGGCCAAGGCGGGCGGATCATGAGGTCAGGAGATCAAGACCATCCTGGCCAACATGGTGGAACCCCATCTCTACTAAAAATAGAAAAAATTAGCTTGGTGTGGTGGCTCGTGCCTGTAATCCCAGCTAGTCGGGAGGCTGAGGCAGGAGAATTGCTTGAACCAGGGAGTCAGGGGTTGTAGTGAGCCGAGATCGCACCACTGCGCTCCAGCCTGGTGACAGAGCGAGACTCTGTCTCAAAAAAAAAAAAAAGTACCCTCTTCATGAATGCGTTTTGAGGATTAAATGATATGATTCATGTAATGTGCTTAGCTCAGGGTGAACGCCCCACAAATGCTCTCTGTTGTTATTACTCATTACATTGTTATCATTGTAATTATTTTTATCACCATGAACTCTGTAGAGTGTTTGGACACTTCAGCCACCGCTCTGAATGGCAGCTGGTCAAAGTAGATTACAAGTCCATTTTTGATAGACGGTGTGCCGAAGAGGACTACAGACCTTGGCAGCTGCACAGCCAGGTAGGAGGAAAAGAACTGAGACTAAGGCCTGGGCAGGAAGCATGAGTGGTGTTGGGGGAAAGCTAGTTGCTAAGGTATAGGAACTAGGATGCTCTAGGCCAAAATGTCCATCTACTGTTTTCTTACACATTTGTGTTCCACAGCAGTGAACAAACTCACCATTAATAGCTTGTTGTGAAGTCATTTCTGTTTTTATTGTGCTAGGATATAATGAGATAAAATTCAAATGTGCTTGGCTTAGGCTTACAAATCAAAATGAAATACCAGTTCAGCACTCAGATCCAAACATATTTCATCTGAGAATGTCATATGGTTGCATGGTGGGGGCAGGGATGAGGAAGATATCTTCAATTTTATCTAGCAATGCAAGCAGAGACATAAAATAACAAAATTATGCTGGGTGAGTGTTGCCGGAGAAATCCTTCTTCCCCTTTGCCTTGATTCCTTGGAACTATATGGTACTTTTTGCCTCCTTGCAAGGTACTTCTGGTATGAGAATGCAGAATTATTAATAGGAAACTTTCATTTGTCCTGGCCTCTCACATATCCAGCTTATATCAAAATGCTTGGATGGAAGTGTCTCTCCCTTGATTTCCCAAGGTACAAGTCGTTCCGCAGATCTCTCAAAGGATTTGGTAGAAGTACCTGCTGCAAAGCCATCACCATATTCAGGCAGAAAAACGTCATATACCTCAAACCTAGACTAAGTAATATATGTAAATGTAGATGTATAATGAAGCCAGTTAAAGTGAGTTTGCTCAAGAAAGACGGTGTACAGTAGATAAAGCAAAATTCTACTCTGATCTTTCAGAAACACAAAAGGAGGAGTGTGTCTGATAGTGGGCCCTGCGTTAGCTGGAAACACCCACCCTATTCAGAGGCTTAACAATAGAATCGTTCATTTACATTGCTGATATTTTCTCCTTTGGGATGCACAAGCATTGTGATATTCAAAGCTTTTATTTATTTTGTGGGAAAACACTGAATTTAGCTCTCTCGCTTGTCTGGTAGAGGAACATTAAAATCTGTGCTGTAAAGTTGTGTGGGCAGAGGCATAATAAATCGAGGCAAAATTGATCTTTATATTTCTTAGCAATGCTCCTCTTTCATGCCCTCATAAATGACCAACTGTATACATCTTTTATTATAGGGGAATTGAACTTAATTACTGCAGATTTACTGGCAATACACTAGGTACAGGCTGAGTCTGTGTGTCCTTCATAGCACTGCACCCAACACTTTGCCAAATAAAGGCTTGATAAGTGCACACAAAATTAAGGATGTTGTTTAATAATCTTCAATGATTGTTAGGATTGCCTTTATAGTCAGGTTGTATAATAGGGCTCTAGACCGCAAAAGGAAAATGTTGTTAGCACAAAGAGGGCTACCAAAGTTTACATTACACTAAGATGTGCAAATGTCTCCCTAAATGTCACTCATGTGGAGCAGAGAAAGTCCAAGCTATGTGCCCAAGTATCTGTGATCCTTCTCTGCTTACAGGGGGAAGCATGTATCATGGGAGCAAAAAGGATATATAAGAAGCGAAAATCAGAGCGGAAGTGTATGCAAGGAAAATATGCAGGAGCTATGGAATCTGAACCCTGTGTCTGCACTGAGGCTGATTTTGATTGGTGAGCTTGTGCAATTATCTCCTGGAGCCATTTGGTGTATCAAATCCACATGGGCCTGAATGAAAGCTTAGAATTGAAATAATAGTAACATACATAGGGCTAAGTGGCCAGCTTCATATTCTTATAAAATTACCTCATAGTTTACTAGCTATGTGTATGTGTATGTGGGATAATCAAGAGTTTCTTTAGACTGAAAGAGGACTCGGAAGATGGCTGGTAATTATCTTCATTACCGGCAGATTTGGCCGGGCATGGTGGCTCATGCCTGTAATGCCAGCACTTTGGGAGGCTGAGTGGGGCAGATCACTTGAGGTCAGGAGTTTGGGACCAGCCTGGGAAACATGGTAAAACCCCGTCCCTACTAAAAATAGAAAAATTAGCTGGGCATAGTGGCGGACACCTGTAATCCCAGCTGCTCGGGAGGCTGAAGCAGGAGAATCGCTTGAACCCAGGAGGTAGAGATTGCAATGAGCCACGATCGCGCCACTGCACTCCAGCATGGCGTCAGAGTGAGACTATCTCAAAAAAAAAAAAAAAAAATGGGCAGATTCTTTCTGTGCTGCTTCAAACAGCAACACTGGAAACACTAAGTGGACTTTTTAGGGAGCAAACAAACATCTATGCTCAAGATGAAAGCTTTCTAGAATCTAGGATTTCCTGTAGTGGAATAATAGCCTTTTAAGGCAGAAAATTTTCTGTCCCTGCAAGTTTTCGATTCGTAGTTAGCTGACCATAGCTTATGAGATTCATGGAAGATGTTGCTGAACTCAGAGCAAGGATGGATTCAATGGCATTGCAAATCTGTAACTCGGTGAACGTAGTGATAAAGGAGACTTTTTGCTTTACCAGGATTAAGCTAATTTAAACTGGAGAAGTACTGAGACATTTAGAGGTTAAACTAAACTCAGAGTGCCATAAAGTCCTTCTTGAGACATTTGCTCAGCAGAAAGCTAGCTTGTGGGCACTGTGAAGCCCTTGGCTTGTTGTCAATGTTAATTGTTCAGGTAAGGCTTACAAAGTATTGAGGACAAGTAGGTGGTAACTCCCTTGATATTTTCCATCTCATTTTCCATTGTTTTCTTCCCTCTTCTTTTTGGTTTTCATGTATTCGTTTATTTGTTTTTAATTTAGAAAACACAATCGCTAAATATGTACATATGTGTTAAAAAATTAATACTTGACCCGTATAAGAACTAAAGTCATTTTTCAACAATTTATTTCTAGCTGTATAGCAACCTCAGGTTACATATTGAATCATTAAAATATCAGTGACTGAACTGAGATACTGTGTACATACACATCACATATCTTAGAAAAGTTAAGCCTTCTCTTATGGTAGACATCTGGAGATATTCTCTGAATAAATAGTACTAAGAAGGTCTGACAAGAGTGGCAGCCAGCCGTCAGACCAGTAACCCACAGCTGTATCCCCTTGTTGGTGAGGACGCCAAGCCAAGAGCGAATGAAGTATCTCTTTGGGCTCAGCCAGAGGGCAACAGAGCTTCAGTTACATTGGAGCTCAAATCTTCAGGGAGCTCAAATCATCGAAATCTTCAGGGGCCTCCCCAGTGTGACTTCTGTTTTAGTCAGTGCAATATTATTACAATGACAAAAATATTTTATCTCTGTACTACCCTTTGGGACTAACATCCTGAAATGCATTCACAGGGAAAACTACCATGAGATTTTAAGTCATTCATTGCATCCCTCTTTCTGAAGCCACTGCTGCTTCTTCGTTTACTGTATTCAAGGAAGATTTGCAAAGGAAGTTAGCATCTTACATTAGTGGTTTAGCTTTTGCCTTAAGAAACAGCCATTCTTTAGCAGGAGGCAAATTTATTCTCTGGTAGAAAACCAAAGAGAAAAAAAAAAATGAGATGAGATGAGATGTCCCAATGTCCTGATTTCTCCTTGAAACATTTGCTTCTCTGGGAATCTTTTCTACAGGCTTCAAAGTAAGCCAGTCTTTTGTTGTTGTTGTTGTTGTTGTTGTTTTTCTTTTTCAATTGTAAGCTAGTCCAGAATGAAAGGAATACCAGATAAGGAAGGCAATTAGATTTCTCCTCTCCCGTGTCTCTCGTGCCCCTTAGTCTTGGCCCAATCCCTGCATTCATTTGTGATTGGAATCGGCTACTCATCCCACCAGCTGAAATGCATTCTGAGAAGTGGGAAATGAATCATGAAGGAGTTCATTGTAAGGTTTTCTGGTCCAGTGGGATTTCTGTCACTGCATGATTTCTGAAAATATTTGGGAAGGCTCATCACAACCTTGTTGGGGTTCTACCGGTAGCTGGAGTTTCGGTGATTACACCTGGCTGTAGTGTAATGAAAGGTGATTGTCACTGAGTGTTTCTCCTTGGTTTGGCCCTCTCCTGGACAGTCCCCCAAATGACCTTGCCTGTCCCTCTCCAGCATTCGTAAAGTAACTTCCTGAAGCAAACACTGGTTGTCCTATAGGCAGCAATTCTGAAGTCTTCCTACCCATGCTGCATTGAACCAGCACCAAATCCTGCTGGTATGTGCAAAATTCTAAGTACCAGCTGCCTGGTGACAGGCCCCTGAGCTGAGCCTATTTCTCCCTTACTGACCCTTGTGTGCCAGCATCTCACCTCCATTACACAGATGGGCCAGTTCATACTAATGCTTGCCGATTGCTGCCTGCAATTTGTCTGTGCATGTGGAGGTGCAATTTGTTGTCATTCTCTGTGCCCAGGTTCATCTGCCAGTTGCCAAGAATATCAGGCAACTCAGAGGCTCCTGGAAGCATGAATGAGAGGAGGCTGAGAGGGAAGTCTTTGGCTATTTCCGAAGTAGAGAGAGGATTTAAAACAGTTAGTCCCAAGTGGCAGCGCTAACTGCCTAGTGTGAAACATTTCCTTAGGGGAATGCTCGAGACACTCCTGAAGGACATTTCCTTTTTGGCTGTAACTTTGAAGCATATGGAGTGTACACAGAGAGACCTGGCTCAGTTCTCTTGGTAGATCCAGATGTCTTGGAAGAGCATCCCAAAGACATCACCAGTAATGAGGACTGTGCCACATGTGGCCGTGTTAAACTCTGCGATGAATTTCTCACCAAGGGTTGAGTTCCACCACACCCGTTTTCTCATTACAGCTTTCTCTGGGCCCAGCCACCTGTATTGTGTATCGTTCTAATGAGAGCACAATCTACTCTCTCAGCTTGAGAGTGTTTAAATGGAATGACCAGTTGTGTAGGATATTTTCCTGAATAATTAATTGATAGATATTCTATGAAAAAAGTTCTATTTTTGAGAAGTCATTGATTCAGGGAATGCTTGTGTTTTTTTTTTTTGTTTTTATTTTTGTTTGTTATGACTAATTGATTAGTGTGGAACTTGGCTGTGGACTGATGTAGAATTGTTTTCAGTAATTTTGCCACCTAGTGAAAGGTTTTTCTCGGCTCTTTCCTAACAGCGACTATGGTTATGAGCGACACAGCAATGGCCAGTGCCTGCCGGCATTTTGGTTCAATCCATCCTCTCTGTCAAAGGATTGCAGCTTGGGACAGAGTTACCTCAATAGTACTGGGTAAGTGTCTGGAGTAGTGACCTTGAGAGGCCAACCTTTGCTGCCTTTCAGCACGTGTTATACTGACAGAATTACTTCTGATCAAGGACCAAGCATATTTCCTTACAGCACAATGTAATTGCTTTTGTTCATTTTAACAATGAAGCACAACTTTGCACTAATAGTGCAAGTTTCATGTGAGAATAAGATTCCAGTTGCAAATTGAAAAAAGAGAAATGTTTCTTGATTGAAGATCACAATGATGATATTAAAAGTGTCTTCATTTTCTCGACACTTTGTTTTCAAGCTATTTAATCCTGTGAAGTTACCTTTTACCGTCATTGTATCCATGATGAGGAAGGCCAAATAGATATTTAATATTTGCATTTTCTGTTTTATAGATGTGGAACCTGGAATCACAAAAGGAACTCACTGACTTTTCAAAAGTATACTAGTGTTAATACGAATGTATTTTGCTTTCTCTTTATGTTCAGTCTTGACACATTTAAACATGCATTCTGACCTTTGTAAATCCAGAATCACATTCTGAAATTTGGTATTTAATATTCTGTGTCATGGGGCTTATGCAATATTATTTAAGAAATACCATAATAAGGAAAAAAAATCATAAATTTGTCTCAAATGTAGTAGGTATCTATAAACTTTAAAATAGTGTGTAGAACCTATTTAAATTCTGATTCAAACAAATGATCTGTAAAAAGGCACATTTGAGCCATTGAGGAAAATTGAACATATACTAATTCAGGTAATGTATTAGTTAGGGCTTTCCAGAGAAACAAAACCAATAGGATGTATATTTATTTAGAAAGAGATTTATTGGCCAGGAGCAGTGGCTCACGCCTGTAGTCCCAGCACTGCACTTTGGGAGGCTAAGGTGGGCGGATCACTTGAGGTCAGGAGTGTGAGAGCAGCCTGGCCAACATGGTGAAACCCCATCTCTACTAAAAATACAAAAAAAAAAAAAATTAACTGCACATGGTGGTGTGCGCCTGTAGTCTCAGACACTCAGGAGGCTGAGGCAGGAAAATCACTTGAACCCAGGAGGCAGAGGTTGCAGTGAGCCGGGATTGCACCACTGCACTCCAGCCTGGGTGACCGAGTAAGACTCTGTCTCAAGAAAAAAAAAAAAAAAAAGAGAGAGATTTATTGTAAAGAATTGGCTCATTCGATTATGGAGGTAGGTGGGTCCCAAGATCTGCAGGGTAAGTCAGCAAGCTGGAGACCCAGGAGAGCTGACAGTATAGTTGTAGTTCGAATCTGAAGGCCTGAAACCATAGAACCAATGTTGTAGTTCTAGTCCAAAGGCCAGCAGACCTGAGACCCAGGAAGAGCCTATCTTTCGGTTCAAGACCGAAGGCAGGAAAAGAGGCCAGTGTTCCAATATGAATGCCATCAGGCAGAAGGAATTCTCTCTTACTTTGGGAACTGTCAACCTGCTGAATTCAGGCCTTCAGCTGATTGGATGAGGCCCACCCTCACTAGAGAAGTCAATCTGCTTTACTCAGTCTACTGACTTAAATGTTAATCTCATTTAAAAATACATAGAAGTGGCCGGGTGCAGTGGCTCACGCCTGTAATCTCAGCATTTCGGGAGGGTGAGGTGGGCGGATCACAAGGTCAGGAGATCGAGACCATCCTGGCTAACATGGTGAAAACCTGTCTCTACTAAAAATACAAAAAATTAGCCAGGTGTGGTGGTGGGTGCCTGTAGTCCCAGCTACTTGGGAGGCTGAGGCAGGAGAATGGCGTGAACCCAGGGGAGGCAGAGCTTACAGTGAGCTGAAATCGTGCCACTGCACTCCAGCCTGGGCGGCAGAGTGAGACTCTGTCTCAAAACAAACAAACAAACAAAAAACCCACAGAAGTGTAACATTTGACCAAATATCTGGGCATACTATGGCGCAGTCAAGTTCGCATATTAAGTTACCCATCATAGGTGATATTAAAGAATTATATATTTAGGCATGATAAAGTCATTTTGGTTAGGCTAAGAAAAAAATAAGTCTTATTTTTTAGAGATACATATTTTTGTGAGTTTTGTTTTAATGTGTTAAAAAGCAGATAAGTATTGATAATTTTTGGAGATGGGTAATGAGTACATGGGAATTTATTACATTACTTTTCTTCATGCATATTTGAAAGTTCTGATAATAAAAAGTTAAAAAGAAGCTATTGTGGTAGCACATGCCTATAGTCCCTGCTACTCAGGAGGCTGAAGTGGAAGGATCGTTTGGGTCCAGGAGTTCAAGGCCACCCTGGACAACATAGGGAAACCCCCATCTATTAAAAAAAAAAAAAAAGAGAGAGAGAAAAAAAAAGGGAAGGAAGAAGGAGAAAGGAGAAGTAAGGAGATAGGAACCTTACCAATCAGCCAGTTTTACTTGACAAAGCCCCTTCTCCTTTCTTGAGCCAGCTACAGTACAGAGAATCCACTTGAGGGGGTGAGACTTCCATTTATGTACTCTGTATTTGAAATTTTAAATGTGTTTAATTTTTATAAAAGATTATCAAAATAATAGATACTATTCTTTTCAAGGAAGGAAAACACATAGAAAAGGATTGTAATGATTCCTATTTCTGATGTTAGGGATTCCTAGAACCTTTGAATAAAGGAATAAGCTATGATTTTTTTGAATGATAACACGACATCCAAGGAAATATAAATAACACTTTTATAGCAATGGGTCAGTGAGGTCTTAGCATAGTACCATGGAGGAAAAAAATGAAAAGGTTAATAAAATAACTAAACTTAATGGGGAAGGAATGCAAAAGACAGGAGTTTTATTACTTGCTGGTACTAGCATGTTTAGATACTGTAAAGGGCATTGGAAACCCCTCAAGCTAATTTAAGAATTGATTTTTTTTTTTAACCAGCTCAATCAGTCAAGGAAGTTATATTAGTCTGTCTTTGGTATTGATGATAGGAGGCTGAAACACAGAGGGATCAAATTGTTCCAGATGCTACTCAATCATAGACCAAGGCTGAATGATACCTGTGACCCCTCACTCTTCAGTTCATTGAGATCTTTTTTTTCCTCTTTGTTTTTGAGATGGAGTCTCACTCTGTTACCCAGGCTGGAGTGCAGTGGCACGATCTCGGCTCACTGCAACCTCCGCCTCCCAGGTTCACGCCATTCTCCTGCCTCAGCTTCCCGAGTAGCTGGGACTACAGGCACCCGCCACCAAGCCCAGCTAATGTTTTGTATTTTTACTAGAGATGGGGTTTCACCATAGTAGCCAGGATGGTCTTGATCTCCTGACCTCGTGATCCACCTGCCTCAGCCTCCCAAAGTGCTGGGATTACAGGCATGAGCCACCGCGCCTGGCCCATCTGAGATCTTATAAATTCTGACTAACATCAAATAAAACATCAGTGACGATTAAGTAATTTTATATTCAAAAAGAATACCATCTATGCCATATAAAATTAAAATCATAATGTCAATTAAAATGTGACTTAGCAATAAGCATCCAGGTATATAAATGTTGGTCAATGCAGTTGTTATGTTTAGTAGTCACGAAATTACAACACTACCTTCTAGGACTCCACCTTAACTCTCAGGGGCCTGTTCATTTCTGTGGGTATTACACGATAGCATCTGACCCCAAATGATTTTTGTTAAGTTGCCACGTCCACTGGTTTCGTCTGTTCCGTTTAAAGATTTTGCAGAAAAGCATCAGCATTGGTGAGCAAGCTAGTGTAAAGAGAACATATGATAAATACCAGCCATCAGCGGGTATGGTAAATGTCCTGCTCTCATAAGTAAGATGCTCACAGGTGGAGGAGTGAATACCCAAATAGGGTCTTATACACTAAAGTCACGGGAGTGGTTGTCAATAATAACCCCACTGATCAGCATGTTGTCTAAGCTACACATTTTGCATTAGGAACACGAAGACCCTTAGCTGGGACAAAGGCCTGAAATCATCTACAAAGAAGGCCTCACACCACTGAATTCACATTAGCAGTGTCTGTAGCCAACTCAAGAGTTGGCAAGAGGTAAAATGTTGGTGAACTTGGAAAAGATGGAAAAGAACTTTCTGCCTCCCTTAATGTCACTTCAGCCCCTCACCACAGATGTCATTTGGCTATGTGTTGATTCAGTGGTATTTTATAAGCAGATTCAGTATATAATCTTGTAGCCACTAATAATGCTGACACTATACATTTAGATTTTTACTTAAAAAATATTTAGTTACAAAATAAATGTGTATGTTTTATATGTTTAAAAGCCAATTTACATCATCATCCCAATCCTGGCCCCCTTTCCCCACACAACTGTGATCTGTTTGATATGCATACTTCTAAATACTTGTCTTTGCATTTGCTAGTAAATACTTGTCCCAAGAGAAAATACACAAATTAATTTGGGAGGTTGTTTTTATATGTGATTTCCTACTAGATACATTGTTCTTCTATTTTCCTTTTTCATTCAAAAATATGTCTTAAACATCTTTCTAAGCCAGAGTATATAAGGGCACTTTCTCATTTCTTTAATTTCATAGTATTAAGTATTATTATAATATTATCAGTTATCCTTCTTCCATGGATGTTTGGGTTATTTTGTTTTTTCTGCCACTATAAATAATGCTGCAGTTAATATTCTCATCCCATAAAACTTGTTATACAAATAATACAAAGATAATTAAGTCTCTTTTGGCAATTGGAGGTGTTTCTGTTAGCTCATAATGCAAATTCCACTCAGCCAACTGGGTACGTCTCAGACCTGGGTATCAGACATTGCCACATCTCTCCCTTGTAAGGGTTAAAACACTGGCTTCCTGCTCATGGGCTGCCTGTGAGTCCCAAAAATTAGAGATTCATTTGTATTAAGTGCCGTCCTCCTTTAAAATTCAAATGCCAGTGGATTCTGTAAAGGAAAGCTGAGGGGAAGGAGAAGTAGGATTTAGCCAAATTAATAAGGTGAGGAAGGTCATTTCATGCAAAAAGAACAAGAAATGATCCTGGGGAAGGGCCACAATAGTAGTTTTCTCAAGGACAAGCCCAGATGCCAATGCCTGCATGCTTATAGAGTTAAGCAGCCACTGGGAACCCTGTGTCCAGTGCCATTTTAAGCCATCCATGGTCACCTCATGCTCAGTCAGTGCAGAATCTGTATTAGCCTCAGGGCTGGGATGAAGTGCAAAGGAATCGCAAGTGTAGGGCTGGCCAGAGAGTGAGCCCCTTCATAAATGTTGCTCCCTGGGCACCTCATTTGTCTCACACTTTTCTTACAGCATAGCTCATGATACAGACATGCAGTGGGAAAATGAATTAAGTGGGGTGAATGACCAAACCTCCCAGCATCACCTTTCTGAGAGTTTATTTGGAAGCATGCAGGAAATCATTCCTTTAAAAAAAAAAAGTTCTTAAATAACTCACTTTATAAATGTCTATGGTTACTTTCACTGTCAGCTTATTACCCTGTGTATATGGCAGTGTTCTCAGGTTTACCTGCTTCTCCATGATGGGGAAATCCTGGCATCGGTTATTATTGTGCCCAATAAAATGCTATTTTGATGAGATGCCAAAATATTTATCATCTTTACTATGTAGAAGTGAATGGTTGCACAATTTTTGTTTTAGTTGCTGGCTAGGACTTAGAAAGGATGGATGGAATAAAAAGTGAACTTGGTGCAGAATGTCCCTCCAGGTGGCTGTAACCACCAGTCCTGCTCCTTGGTCCAGTGGCGTCAGGGTTTCTCATACCCACACAGTGGAACAGTAGAGCCTGCTGTGTTCTCCACGATTGGCTCCCTGCCTCTATTCAGCCTCTGTCCTCACAGCTTCTACATGTCATTTGACATGAAGGTGGAAAGCAAGGAGGCTGGTACTGGGGCCTTAGCCTGTTAGGGATTGAGAGTGAAATACAATTGGGGATGTTTTGTTCGGTGAAAAAGTGAGTAATTGGAATGAAACAATTAAGGATGTTCAATCTAACCTCTGCCATTTACTGTTATGTTTAGTAAGTGACTTTGTTTCCTTGACCTTAGTTCCTTAACCTATAACATTTTGCTATTTGCCTTCAGAATTTGATTAAATGTCACACTGTATGTAAAGCATGTAGCACAATGCCTAGCACATAGTCATCACCTTACAAAATGTGTGTCATCACCAATAGTTATTGTCTGAAGACTCCTCTAGAGTAAAGAAAGAAGGGAAAAAACTTACTTTTATTATGAATCCACAGTCCAGACATGTATTTGATGTTTAATTGTCACTGCAGTAATAATATCTGAGACATATTTAATGTAAGTCTCTGTTTTCTCATTTGTAAAACAAAAATAGTAACCTATGCGGCTCATAAAGTTACATAATTAGAAAGTGATGAAAGCACTGTACACCAAAGCACGTCTGTCCCTTTATGCCACTCAGGCCAGATAATGTGTTTAGCTGATTACTGAACGAGTTCCTTTTGCTCAAATAAAATGAAAGCAGTATTCATTTGTATTTTATTTCATGTTAGTGCCGAAATAACCCCAAATTTATTCCTCTTTGTTTCTCTTTCGGTATCTATAAATATCTCAGTATGCACATCCACAAGCACAAGCTCATTCAGTGATACTTATATATGGTTAAATCTTGTTTATACTGTTTTGGAACCGGGGAGCATACTGCAAAATTTAAGTTGCTAAATTAACTAGCATGTTACTTGTTTCATGCCAGTGGTAAAAGATTCTGTAAATATAAAATAAAGTGGGCAGTGGGTTGGTTTATTCTAAGAAACCAAGATAATCTTCTCAAGGGAAAGATTTCTTCCTGCTATTAAGCTGGAGATATTTCTAGAGGTGCTTTATAAAGTACGTTTAGAAATTTCTATCTGTAGAGTTTCTTTATAGGGGCCATTAATTCCTCATGGAAGAAGGTACAAAGACAGTTCTTACTGCTCTTCAGGGTTAGTTTCTCAATATGCAATGGGGACTTTTTTTTTTTTTTTTGAGACGGAGTCTCACTCTATTGCCCAAGATGGAGTGCAGTGGCGTGATCTCAGCTCACTGCAACCTCTGCCTCCTGGATTCAAGAGATTCCAATGGGGATATTTATACAATAAAGACATTTTTAAAAAGTTTAAGTTAGGTATCTATTTACAAATATACAGTGGGTCCAAGAAAAAATACACACATAAATTCTAGCAAAATAGTTATGTTTATACTATCAAGATACATTTGGAATGTTTTAAAAGATGCTTTTTATAAATAACTTTTGGTGTTTCATTTCACAGTAGAGTGACTATAGTTAATAATAGCATGTTGTGGATTTCAAAATAGCCAGAAGAGAGAAGTTTGAATATTCTCACCACAAAGAAAGGATAAATGTTTGAGGTGATGGATATGATGGATTTAATCATTACACAATGTATATATGTATCAAAACATCACACTGTACCTTATAAATATGTATAATATGTCAATTAAAAATAAAAACTTGAAAACTTCCTCTCTACATAAGCCATAAAACACTTAGATTCTGCTAACCTGCCACTTCCTGGATTTGCTATTTCCAGTGTCTCTGGAGCTTTGGTCTTTTCCAGGTGATTCTGTTTTGGTTGCCTTGTGGGGGTTTTGATGTTTGGTCTGATCTCCTCTCAAGGATACTTTTCAGTGTGCGTCAAGGAGAATAATTGGCCCTAAAAATGGTGCATGTGTTTAAAGTCCACAAAAAGGCAATCACTTGCATTATTTACAGACTCATCACTGCAGGGGCCTCTGTAGCTGTTTTCTAGCCAAGAACCATACAGCCTCACTGCACACACTCAATAATTGTTGGTTGCTACAGAGTCAACTTTCTGAAGAAAACTTTCTTAAGAAAACCTTTCTTAAATGAGGTTTTCCATCTTTTCATGCATGACACTGGGGTTGGGAAATGAAGGAAAAGGTGAATATCACTGTACATGGAGACTTGCTTTCTCACATGGCGATTCTTGCCCACATCAATGGCCTTGGCATTAACAATTCTTATCCTGGTGCTATGGTACAGTGGCAAGAGAACACCAGACTTAGTCCAGAGTCCCAGACGTGCCAGTCATCCCCTGTGTGAGGTGCAACTCTCTAAACTGTGTTTCCTTTTCCTTATGTGAAAAGCAAAAGGATAGTGTTGGATGATCTTAGAGACCCCTTCAAGCTTTAACATTTCCATGACCAATTGAAAGGATTCAATATTAGAATTCCTTGGACTGTAGGCCCTCAAAAGATAGAAAACAAATTCATATTAACTTAGTCGTACAACTGGTAGGCTCAGATAGTGGATTCTGTGAGCCATTCTCAATCAGTATGATTCTCGATATTAAGTGATTTAGTGAAGTGTGTGTGGCCATATGTCCCAGTTCACCATTTCATCAAGCTCATGTTCAAAATGAAGTCACATTCCTATTACTATTCAAATTAAATGACGTCTGCTTCCATCCTGCTTAATGCAAGAGAAGCTTTCTTCTTTTTACCTGGTCTTCTGTCTTATGCCTATCCGCTAATTTCTAGGTCTGTTTACTCCATTGAGGGGAATAGTCCAAAGAGCTGTTGCCTTGAAGAGAGAAACTTGGAAAGCCTGCTTAGCCAGCCATGGAAGTCTATTCCTGATTGCTGATGCTATGGCTGCTACATAAGATTATTGTTGATATGTGGACACATTGTCACTCCTGAGCATACTTTGTCACATGGGATCCCAGTTAAAGAATAAATGACCATTTTGGGGCTGCCTGTGTCTATTGATGAAGAGTCACAATGGTTAATATACAGCCACCAATGAGGTCTGTCAGCCTGGAAGTCTGGTATAATCCCTATTCTGGTATATATAATAGGAGATCAGGAAATCTAGGCTGCCACCACTACTGCTTTTTCAGAAGCAGTTTCTCTGGATGCAGGGGTAGAAGAATCTCTCTCTACCCTAATTGTTAAGCCATGCCATCGTAGCCCTGTATCTTCATGTGAGAGATCTATAGTTACATAGCTCTTTTAATTTACACACATGAACATAACACATATAGCTGTTTTGTCATTGCACACCTACATTACTAAGGTGGTGGATTTGGAAGATTTTAAGTCTTAGCCACATACTCTATCAAGAATTAGCCCCCTTCTCCATCCCCAAGGCTTCCTTCATTTCCTGCTTCATTAAGCCTAGTGTCATTGTAACAAGGCAGTATTTTCCCTTGAAAGCAAATGCACATAGCACAAGCCAAGAAATTAAACTATTTATGCTTTTTTTTTATTGTGAGTGCAAATGAGGACCACCGTTGCTCAATGACAGTAACACCCCCTGGGGTACAAGAAGACCTAGAGTTCCAGTTTCACCTTGGTTGCATGTGATAACTACCGTGACAAAAGGGAAGAGGAGGTTTCACAAAAAGCATGATTTTGAAGCTGATTTTTTTTTTTTTAAGGATGAGTAGAAGTTTGCCAGTAGGAAAGAGCATCCCGGGCAGAATGAACAGCACAGGCAAAAGAA